>NC_000014.9:57793531-58096561 GCF_000001405.40 Homo sapiens
CCTCCAGTTCCA
Organism: Homo sapiens; assembly: GCF_000001405.40. Lineage (NCBI taxonomy): Eukaryota > Metazoa > Chordata > Mammalia > Primates > Hominidae > Homo > Homo sapiens. The sequence continues at coordinate 57,793,544 of NC_000014.9, forward strand.
TCCAAATTGCTGCAAAAGACATTATTTAATTATTTTTTATGGCTGAGTCATATTTCATGGTATATGTATACCAAATTTTCTTTATCCGTTCATATTGTTGATTCTATATCTTTGTAATTGTCATTTGTGCTGCAATAAACATATGTGTCCAGGTGTCTTTTTGATATAATGACTCCTTTTCCTTTGGGTAGATTTCCCAGCAGTGGAATTGCTGGATTGAATGATAGATTTACTTTTGGTTCTTTGAGAAATCTCCATACTGTTTTCCATAAAGGTTGTACTAATTTACATTCTCTGTGTAAACCAGTGTATAAGCATTCACATAGACCAATAGAACAGAATAGATAACCCAGAAATAAAGCCAAATACTTACAACTAACTGATCTTCGACAAAGCACACAAAAACACAAATTGAGGAAAGGACATGCTATTCAATAAATGGTGCTGGGAAAATTGTAGAAGAATGCAGAAGAATAAAACTAGATTCCTATCTTTCATCATATAAAAAATTAGCTTGAGATATGTTAAAGACTTAAATTTAAAACCCCAAGCCATAAAAATTCTAGAAGAAAACCTAGGGAAAACTCTTCTGGACATTGGCATAGGCAAAGAAGTTATGACTAAGACCCCAAAAACAAATGCAACAAAAATAAGTAAGACCAAACTAAGCTAAAAACTTCTGCACAGCAAAAGAAATATTCAACAGAGTAAACACACAACCTACAGAATGGGAGAAAATATCTGCAAACTATACATCTGACAAAAGACTAATGTTCAGAATTGACAAGGAACTCAGAGAAACCAGCAAGAAAAAATAATCCCAAGAAAAAGTGGGCAAACAACATAAACAGACATTTCTCACAAGAAGATATACAAATGGCCAACAAACATATGAAAAAATGTTCAACATCACTAATCATCAGGGAAATGCAAATTAGAATCACAATGAGATACCACCTTACCTCAGCCAGAATGACCATTATTAACAAGTCAAAAATTAATAGATAATAGCACAGATGTGGTGAAAAGCAAACTTGTTCTTTTTCTACTTTCTCTTTTATAGTAGCCTTGACTACTGAATGGGTCTGTAGGCCCATTCTGTTCATTTTAATTCATGCTTTGGGTTTGAACTTCTTTTAGATTTCCAATGTCATTCATCATTCTGGCCACTTGACCTGGGACAAAACTGCTTCTTTGGGTGTGTTCTATAAATGCTATGACTGTAGTACCCTGCAAATAATATGTAAATGAAACGACTCGAAAATAGGTGCTTCATGAGTCCAAGTAAAACATACTTCTGGGAAAAAAAACTGACCTTTTGAGCATTCAACTATTATATGTACTGGTTTTGGAGATTAATGAAAAGACCTTCAGAAATCTTGAAGATGCTGGTGGAATTCAGAAGATGGGTTTTGAATTCCTGCTCCATCAATTATTACTTATATAGCTGTGAACAAATTACACCCATCTCTGGAAGCCAAATTTTCCTCATCTGTATGTTAGAGATAAAATTAGCTCCCTTCCTCAAAAGGTTGTAACTAGGATTTAAATGAGCTAATGTGTGCTTATCACAGATGTTGGGACTTTGCATATATTCAATAAATGTTAGTAGCTAATATTTTCATTAAATGTAATCATATCCCTTCCTAGTCAGTTTGTATATACAGACAAAGCAGAATATTTACTAGGTTTGGATCGATGGAAAAATAGAAAAATCTTGGTAAACAAACTTAAAAGTTTTTGTTCTGTCTATGACTTTCACATATGTGCTCAGCCTTCAAGTTTCTCCCTGGTAGTCTAGAAGAAGCTGAAAAGACTTCACTTATTTAGGAACCATTCACTAAGAACCTAATGTGCATAAGGAAGGAAAAATAATTCAAGAGCTCGCCACCCAACAACCTAACTGAACATATCGAAGTCATCAGAATTTCTGGCCAACTTTACATATTCAAATCATTTAGCCAGTCTGCTTATGTATTGATCCAATATAATAAAAATTTCTAAATCAGTCATGTTATAGCATTATACATTCAGTTAGAACTATCAGCTACAGGAAAGTCACCCAGAAATCCAATGGACTAGAAGCCAGTAGATGGCAAAAACTCCTTTGAAAAAATAACACATGGAAATATAAAGCTGATTTCCAAACAGAATTAAATAAATGAAAATGATATATATTCTAGTATAAAAATATTTATATGATGAACTTACGAATAATTTAAAAATTAATAATAGACATCTTTCACTTTTTTTTCCTTCCAACCTTTATATTAGGTTTGGGGGTACATATGCAGGTTTGTTACATGGGCAAATTGCATGTTACTAGGGTTTGGTGTACAAATTATTTCAGCACTCAGGTAGTAAGCATAGTACCCAATACCTAGTTTTTCAATCCTCGCCCACCTCCCACCCTCCACCCTCAAGTAGGCCTCAGTGTCACTTGTTTCCTTGTGTCCATATGTACTCAATGTTTAGCTCCCACTTATAAATAAGAACATGCAGTGTTTGGTTTTCTGTTCCTGCATTAATTCAATTAGGATAATGGCCTCTGGCTATATCAATGTTGCTGCAAAGAACATTATTTCATTCTTCTATATGGCTGCATAGTATTCCATGGTACATATACCTCATTTTCTTTACCCAGTCCACCATTAATGGGCATCTAGGTTGATTCCATGTCTCTGTCATTGTGAATAGTGCTGTGATGAACATATGTGTGCATATGTCTTTATGAACAACTTTTAGAATGACTTTTCATTTCAAAACTTTCATCTACCCCTATATTACAGGTTTTTATATCTGAAACATAATCAATCTATTTTCACCAGATTTGTGGAACTTTGCTTGATTACCTCAGTTAAAGAACAAACTGCATCTAATCTGACCTGTGAATTAAAATTTGTATACAATCTTTTTATAGTCACAGTCAAACAATTGTATTTTCAGGTAACAGGAAGATAACATATTTCTGCTTGTGCAACTTGTTTCAAATACACATAAATTAAAAATATTAAAAGTCATAAATAAAAGCATTAAGAGCAGAGTAGGTAGTGAAAGGAACTCCTCTAGCAGCAAAACATTGAATTTTAGTTCTTCCTCTTAAAAACATTTATTTAAATTCTCATGTAAATAGTGTCATTCTAAAGTACTACACATGCAGAATGAAATAAGTAGGCATAGCTGGCTCCTGGCCATAGCAGATGGAAGGAAACCAATGAAGCAGTTAAACATCAAGCTAAGGAGTTCACATGAGCACACACTTGCACACAAACACACATACACACAAACCCTCAATGAATATTATCCAGTGTTAATGAAGTATTCAGTTTCACTGGGAATCTCAGATGACAGGTGACATTAATTAAAATATTAACAATTTTGTAAACACTAACAAGGTGAATGTGCTCTTGCCACTCAGTGAAAATATGCAAGGACATTAATTTGCATTTGCACATGCACAAATCAGCTAAAACTTTCTAATTTCAGGGCTCCTTCCTACACAGAACAGCTTTCAGAAGCATGCCCCAAAATGCACACAAAATCTTTTGCTATAACCTCTTGGCAACTTCCAGGATTCATAAAACCATTTTTAAAAGGCACCCTCAGTAACCTTGACATTCAGAAGATCTGTGAATCTTATCCATAGTCTAGCAGTCCCATGTTCCATCACCTCTGCTAGCAGAGGATGGACACTTGCTGCCTGCTGGGCAATTTGCGGGCAGGATTCATTCATGTTCCCTCTGCCCCAGGTAATTTATGATTCTGTTTTTAGCATTTCCAATGTAGCCAGGCCAGCTGGATTCCTCCTGGGAAGTAGCATTGGGATTATTCATGAGGCACAGAATGAGATAGGACAGCTGGGTCAAAAGGGAAAGGAACTGTAGAATGTCCTCATCCCCGCTTTGCCCATTAAAATATATTGTCACTGACTAGCTGTGTATTCTTCTGCCAGTCACCTCATCTCTTTGGACTTCAGTTCCTTATCTGTAAAATAATAGAATTAAAACTCTGAAGTACCTTCCAGCTCAAACAGTCTATGAAAAGTAGCTTAGGAGTATTCTATGCACCTAAAACGTATATAAATCTACTGAGGAAGAAGGGTCCATGATGAAAAAGGCATTTAAAAATGCACAGAAAAGACCAGATGTCTTATAAAAATGGAAGTTAACTGAGAAGAAATTTGTAAACTCCAAACAAAACATGAAACACTGGGTGATAAGTAGAATTCTTGCTCTCAATTTGTCACTCCCCTGTAATAGTTTATATCCTTGCCATATATCTTGACAGTATGGGGAAGGTACTTCCCCATCCCTTAATCTTGGACTTGGCCACGTGACTCACTATGACCAACAGGATATTAGTGAAAGTAATACAAAGTAGAGACATAAAATGTGCTTGTGCATTTGGGTTGCTCTCCTAACCTCCTGCCATTGCCAGAGGGAAAATATACAATAGGTCGTCACTCATCAGTCTGAACTCCAGAAAAGACCCATGAAGCAGTCTTGAACCAAGCCTGCAGCCTAGAGCCAAGACCAGCTGAGCCTAGGTAAACTTCACACAGCCCACAGACCCACGAGCAAAAAAAAAAAAAAAAAAAAAAAAAAATTGTGATAGACCACTGAGGTTTAAGGGTCATTACAAACCATTATTACAACAAAAGCTGACAAATACACTCTACATGGAAATAACATATTGAAAATGGAGAAAATGCCTAGAGGACCTGAGAGGCTAAACACCTAGGTAGGTATCACAGAACCTGGAATGAAGTGTACTCAACATGGTCACAAGTGTGTAAAAATGACAGTGAAAACAATTTTAAAACCATACACGAACGACAGCAGGATCCTCTGTACTCAATTTTAAATGAACATCATTAATAACCATATATGGTTAGCTTGATGACCTTAATTAGGCCTTAACTGGGTAGAAGGTAAAACTAGTTCAAAAATCTAAACAATTCTGAAACTTCCTTCAGACCATTTGTTCTCACAAACTACCACATACCATCCTGTCATATTATCTGAGCCAGGGAATGCTACAGATGCATCTCATAAGCATGATGCTGTCGAGCACACACCTGCTGAAGAGACAATGTTTCAGCATTTCTCCTAGGATCCAGAGGCTACTAAATCTGAACAAATCAACTTTATAGGAAATGTGCACATATCTGTTCTGTAATTAAATGGTAAATGTTGCCATTTGATTTTTATGCTTCTCTATTGGAGCCAGCGGCACGTCCTGCTCAGCCAACTTTAGGGCTTTTACAGTAAATGCAGCAAGGTCTTAGGTTTAGCAGCTTAGTTCTGTTTAAAAACTAGATAGAGAGAAGCAGAGAATAAATGAAGCAGAGAAGATAAGCTCCAAAAACTCAGTCAATATCAGAGCACCACTCACGCTAAGAATGAAGTATCTGTTATTTTTACCACTTGATAATAGAATTATGTAGCCAATTAAAACAAAGTTTGGGATTGACACAAGATGTCCAATTAGAAGCAGCTGCGGTCCTCAGCGCTCACAGGAATGAAAGGCTGCGAATAAATTCTGCACCTTCAACTGAAATATCGAGGTTCTTGCATTGGGACTGACTAGGCAAACAACTTGACCCACAAAGAACAAAGAAAAGCAGGGACGGAGCAACGTCCCTAGGAGCTGCTCAGAGCCAAAGAAACCCCCACCCCCAGCCAAAGGAAGCAGTGATTGTGCAGCCCCAGCCGGGAAACCACGCTTCTCCCACAGATCTGTGCAACCCATGGATCAGGAGATCCCTCGTGAGCCCACGCCACCAGGGCTTTGGGTCCGATACACAGAGCTGTGTGGAGTCTCGGCAGAGCAGACACTCAAGCATACACAGAGACCTAGGAGTTTTACCTGTTCTGGCCCCGGGATTCCCAGCGAGGTGGCAGATCCGTCTGTACATATCCCTAGGAAGGGGGCTGAATCCAGGGAGCCACACAGCATCGTTCTGCAGGCCCCGTTTCCAAGCACCTCACAAGTTAAGACCCACTGGCTTGGAATTCCCGCCAGCCAATGGCAACAGGCTGGAATCTGCCTGAGACCGGCGGAGCTCCTGGGGGGAGGGGTGGCCACCATCTCTGTGGTTCAGTAGACTCAGCTGCTTCAGCCCACCAGCTTTGGAGAATACAAATGGTCAAAACGAGGAAGGCTCCCCCTCAATGCAGCACAGCTGCCTTGCCAGATCATGGTCAGGATGCTTCTTTAAGCAGGATCCCGATCCATTCCTCCTCACTGGGTGGGACCTTCCCATAGGGGCTTCAGCCACTCCAGCAAAAGTTCTATGGACAGAGCTCTGATCTCTCCCTGAGATGGAGCTCTGAGGGGGAGGTGCAGACACCATCTCTGCGGTTCAGTCAACTCAGCTTTTCCAGCCTGCCAGCTGTGGAGAATACAAATAGTCCAGACAAGGAAGGGTCCCACACAACCTAGCACAGCTGCCTTGCCAGCAGTGGCCAGACTGCTTCTTTAAGCCGGACCCCAATCCCATTCCTCCTGACTGGGGAGGCCTCCCAACAGGGGTCTCTAGCCACCTCCTACAGGCACGTTTGGGCCGGCAACATGTCAGTACCTCACTGGGACAGAGCTTCCAGAGGAAGGATCTGGCTGCCATCTTTGCTCTTTCACAGCCTTCACGGGTAATACCTCCAGGTACAAGAGAAACCAAGGCCGCTGGGGTCTGGAGCGGATCCCCAGCAACCTGCAGCAGTCCCTGCAGTAGAGTGGCCTGACTGTTAAAAGAAAAACAAACAGAAAACAACAACAACATCAACAAAAATGACCCCACAGAAACATCATTCAAATGTCGGCAACTTCAAAGACTGAAGGCAGCTAAGCCCACAAAGATGAGAAAGAATCAATGCAAAAAATGCTAAAAACTGAACAAGCCAGAGTGCCTCTTCTCCTCCAAATGACCACAACACCTAACCAGCAAGGGCACAGAACTGGACTGAGGCTGAGATGGCTGAATTGACAGAAGTAGGCTTCAGAAGGGGGGTAATAACAAACTTCGCTGAGCTAAAGGGGCATGTTGTATCCCAATGCAAAGAAGCTAAGAATCATGATAAAACAATACAGGAGCTGATAGCCAGAATAACCAGTTTAGAGAGCAACATAACCAAACTGATGGAGCTGAAAAATACAACGCAAGAACATCACAATGCAATCACAAGTATCAATAGTAGAATGGACCAAGTGGAGGAAAAAAAAACTCAGAGCTTGTTGAAGATTATCTGAAATAAGACAGGCAGACAAGAATAGAGAAAAAAGAATGAAAAGGAATAAACAAAATCTCTGAGAAATATGGGATTATGTAAGGAGACTGAACCTATGACTGATTGGGGTACCTGAAAGAGACAGGGAGAATGGAACCAAGTTAGAAAACATACTTCAGGATATCATCCAGAAGAACTTCCCCAACCTAGCAAGACAGGCCAACATTCAAATTCAGAAAATGCAGAGAACCCCAGTAAGATACTCCATGAGAAGATCAACCCCAAGACACATAATCATCAGATTCTCCAAGGTCAAAATGAAAGGAAAAATATTAAGGGCAGCCAGAAAGGCTGGGCCACCTACAAAGGGAAACCCCCATCACACTAACAGTGAACCTCTCAGCCAAAACTCTACAAGCCAGAAGAGATTGGGGACCAATATTTAACATTCTGAAAGAAAAGAATTTCCAAACCAGAATTTCGTATCCAGACAAACTAAGCTTCATAAGTGAAGGAGAAATAAGATCCTTTTCAGACAAGCAAATGCTTACGGAATTTATCACCACCAGGCCTGCCTTGCAAGAGCTCCTGAAGGAAGCACTAAATATGGAAAGGAAAACCATTACCAGCCACTATAAAAATACACTGAAGCACACAGACCAGTGACACTGCAAAGCAACCACATAAACAAGTCTGAAAAATAACCAGCTAGCATCATGGTGACAAAAGCACACATAACAATACTAACTTCAAATGTAAATGGGCTAAATGTCCCCTTTAAAAGACACAGGATGGCAAGCTGGATAGAGCCAAGACCCATCTCACATGCAAAGACACACATAGGCTCAAAATAAAGAGATGGAGGAAAATTTACCAAGCAAATGGAAAACAGACAAAAGCAGGGGTCGCAATCCTAGTTTCTGACAAAACAGACATTAAACCAATAAAAGATAAGAAAAGGCAAAGAAGGAAATTACATAAAGGTAAAGGGTTCAATTCAACAAGAAGAGCTAACTATCCTAAATATATATGCACCCAATAGAGAAGCACTCAGATTCATAAAGCAAGTTCTTAGAGACCTACAAACAGACTTAGACTCCCACGCAATAATAGTGGGAGGCTTTAACATCCCACTGACAATGTTAGATCATAGAAACACAAAATTAACAAAAATATCCAGGACCTAAACTCAGCTGTGGATCAAGTGGACCCAATAGATATCTACAGAACTCTTCACCCAAAAACAACAGAATATACATTCTTCTCATTGCCACATGGAACTTACTTTAAAATTAATCACATAATTGGAAGTAAAACACTCCTCAGCAAATGCAAAAGAACTGAAATCATAACAAATAGTCTCTTAGACCACAGCACAATTAAATTAGAACTGAATATTAAGAAATTCACTCAAAATCACACAACTACATAAAAATTGAACAACCTACTCCTGAATGATTCTTGGGTAAATAATAAAATTAAGGCAGAAATCAAGAAGTTCTTTGAAACTAATGGAACAAAAAGATAATGTACCAAAATCTCTGGGATGTAGCCAAAGCAGTGTTAAGAGGGATACTTATGCACCAAATGACCATATCAAAAAGCTAGAAAGATCTCAACAACCTAACATCTCAACTATAACTAGAGAACCGAGAGCAAAACCCACAACTAGCAGAAGACAAGAAATAACCAAGATCAGAGCTGAACTCAAGGAGATAGAGACACAAAAACCCCTTTGAAAAAAAAAATCAATGAATCCAGGATTCAGTTTTTGAAAAAAATTAATAAAATAGAAAGCTAGCTAGACTAATAAAGAAAAGAGAGAAGACTCAAATAAACACAATCAGAAATGATAAAGGGGACATTACCACTGACTCCACAGAAATAGAAACAACCATCAGAGAATGCTGTAAATACTTCTATGCACATAAACTAGAAAATCCAAAAGAAATAGGTAAATTCCTGGACACAGACACCCTCCCAAGACTGAACCAGGAAGAAATTGAATTCCAGAATACACCAATAACAAGTTCTGAAATTGAGGCAGTAATAAGTAGCAAGCAAAAAACACCCAGGACCAGATGGATTCACAGCTGAATTCTACCAGAAGTACCATTTCTACTGAAACTATTCCAAAAAGTTGAAAAGGAAGGACTCCTTCTTAACTCATTCATGAGGCCAGCATCATCCTGATACCACAACTTGGCAGAGATACCAAAAAAAAAAAAAAAAAAAAAGAAATTGCAGGCCAATATCCTTGATGAACATCGATGCAAAAATCCTCAGTAAAATACTGGCAAACTGAATCCAGCAGCACATCAAAAAGCTTATCCACCATGATCAAGTTGTCTTCATCCCCAGGATTCAAGGTTGGTTTAACATATGCAAATCAATAAATGTGATTCATCATATAAACATAACTAAAGGCAAAAACCACACGATTATCTCAATAGATGCAGAAAAGGCCTTTGATAAAATCAAGCACCCCTTCATGTTAAACACTCTCAACAAACTAGGTACTGAAGGAACATAACACAAAATAATAGAAGCCATCTATGACAAACCCACAGCCAATATCATACTGACTGGGCAAAAGCTAGAAGCATTCTCCTTGAAAACTGGCACAAGACAAGGATGCCGTCTCTCACCACTCCTATTCAACATAGTATTGGAAGTTCTGGCCAGGGCAAGCATGCAAGAGAAATAAGTAAAGGGTATTCAAATAGGAAGAGAGGTAGTCAAATTATTTTTATTTGCAGATGACATGATCCTATATCTAGAAAACCCCATTGTCTCAGCCCAAAAGCTTCTTCTTTTTTTTTTTTTTTTTTTTTTTTGAGATGGACTTTCACTCTTGTCACCCAGACTGGGGTACGAAGGCACGATCATGGCTCATTGCAACCTCTGCCTCCTGGGTTCAAGCAATTCTCCTGCCTCAGCCTCCTGAGTAGCTGGGATCACAGGCGCTTGACACCGTGCTTGGCTAATTTTTGTATTGTTAGTAGTGACAGGGTTTCACCACATTGGCCAGGCTGGTTTCGAACTCCTGACCTCAGGTGATCCGCCCACTTCAGCCTCCCAAAGTGCTAGGATTACAGACGTGAGCCACCCAGTCCCAAAAGCTTCTTAAGCTGATAAGCAACCTCAGCAAAGTCTCAGGATACAAAATCATTGTGCAAAAATCACTAGCATTCCTGTACACCAACAACAAGCAAGCAGAGCCAAATCATTAATGAACTCCCATTCACAAGTGCTACAAAGAGAATAAAATATCTAGGGATACAACTAAAAAGGGAAGTGAAGGACTTCTTTGAGGAGAACTACAAACCACTGCTCAAAGAAATCAGAGAGGACACAAAGAAATGGAGAAACATTTCATGCTTGTGGATAGGAAGAATCAATATCGTGAAAATGGCTATACTGCCCAAAGTAATTTACAGATTCAATGTTATTCCCATTAAACTACCATTGACATTCTTCACATAAGTACAAAAAAACTATTTAAAAATTCTTATGGAACCAAAAAAGAGCCTGAATACCAAAGACAGTCCTAAGCAAAAAGAACAATGCTGGAGGCATCACGCTACCCAACTTTATACTATACTACAAGGCTACAGTAACCAAAAAAGCAAGGTACTGGTAGAAAAGCAGACACATAGACCAATGGAACAGAATAGAGAACTCAGAAATAAGACCGCACACCTACAACCATCTGATCTTCAACAAGCTCACAAAAACAAGCAATGGGGAAAGGACTCCCTATTTAATAAATGATACTGGAAGAGCTGGCTGGCCATATGCAGAAAATTGAAACTGGACCCTTTCCTTACACCTTATATAAAAATTACCTCAAGATGGATTAAGGACTTAAATGTAAAACCCAAAACTATAAAAACTCTGGAAGATAATCCAGGCAATAGCATTCAGGACATAGGCACAAACAAAGGTTTCATGACAAAAATGCCAAAAGCAATTGCAACAAAAGCAAAAGTTGACAAATGGGGTCTAATTAAACTAGAGCTTCTGCACAGCAAAAGAAACTATCATCAGAGTGAACAGACAACCTAAAGAATGGGAGAAAATTTTTGCAATATATCCGTCTCACAAAGGTCTAATATCCAGAGTCTACAAGAGAAATTTAAACAAATTTACAAGACAAAGACAAAGAACTCCATTAAAAAGTAGGCAATGGACATGAACAGACACTTCTCAAAAGAAGACATACAGGTGGCCAACAAACATATGAAAAAAAGCTCAACATCACTGATCATTAGAGAAATGAAAATCAAAACTACAATGAGATACCATCTCACACCAGTCAGAGTAGCTATTATTAAAGTCAAAAAAACAACAGATGCTGGTAAGGTTGTGGAGAAAAAGGAATACTTTTACACTGTTGGTGGGAGTGTAAATTAGTTCAACCATTGTGGAAAATGGTGTGGTAATTCCTCAAAGACCTAGAACCAGAAATAGTATGTGACCCAGCAATCCCATTACTGGGTATATACCCAAAGGAATAGAAATCATTATATTATAAAGATACATGCATGCATATGTTCATTGCAGCACTATTTACAACAGCAAAGACATGAAATCAACCTAAATGCCCATCAATGATAGACTGGATAAAGAAAATGTGGTACATATACACCATGGGATACTATGCAGCCATAGAAAGAAGAAGATCATGTCCTTTGCTGGGACATGGATGGAATTGGAAGCCATTATCCTCAGCAAACCAAAGCAGGAATAGAAAACCAAACACCCCATGTTCTTACTTGTAAGTGGGAGCTGAATGATGAGAACACATGAACACATGGCTGGGGGAACAACACACACTAGGGCCTGTTGGAGTGGGGAGTAGGGGGAGAGAGAGCATCAGGAAGAACAGCTAATGGATGCTGGGCTTAATACTTAGGTGATGGGATGATCTGTGCAGCAAACCACCATGGCACACGTTTACCTATCTAACAAACCTGCACATCCTTCACATGTACCCCTGAACTTGAAAGTTGAAGAAAACAAAAGTTTGTAAAAATTTGCAATCATCTATAAATTGCTTATGCTATAATGTTAAATGAAAAAAGCAGCATACAAAGTAGTATCCAAAGTAAGGTCACAACAATGTAAAAAGAAAAGGCACTAGAAAACCAGGTTTGGAATATTCTCAGAATTGTTGACATGTTGTCTTTAAGTGATGAAACACTAGGCTGATAAAATATTTTTATTTCTATTTTTCCACATTTTTCCATATTTTTCATATTGAATATGCTCTATTCAAATAAAATACCACTGGAAATTACATTTCCTAAATGACAAATTTGTTTTTATAAAATGTAGTTTTCCATTTTTGTATGCCTCCTTTTTCTGTCTTCTCCCACATCCTTACCAAAAAAGGTGAAAAGCAAATTAATATTGCAATAGAGATATCTGATCTTCAAAAGTTTTGTTTATTAGCAACGACACAAATGTTTGTTCCCACAGCTAAAATTACAGCTGCATTTTTAAAGTACATTGCTAACCAGAGCAATGAAATACTATAATCTCTACAAAATAGTTGACATTGCCTTATAGTATAGTCATTAAAAATAAAGGTGCTATTTTATTACTGTAAAACCAAGGAAATTTTGACATTACCAAGCACATGAAAATATTGTGTCCCAAACACACACCAATCATGTCTCCAAATTTTAATTATTTTCAGCCAAATAGACTGGCCTGCCTCAAAAGTTATATTAAAATAAATTGTAAATTTTGTAATCTCAGAAATAGTTAGCATGCTCTTTCTCCCAGATAGCTTCAAATAATTTTATTTAATAGAATATCATGATCTCTATTTCTTCAAAGACAAGTAGAATATAGAAATATGAAATGATTTTCCCAGGGTCACACAGAGTAAAATATAATTCTGTTAGACACTCTCCGATTTATGAATGTTTCTTGGATTTGTTTGATTTAACAAACATTAAAAGCCTGAAAATATGTTACCACTGGGTTGTGTGGAGAAAATGGTTTTTTAAAATCAAAATTCCTACATTGCAAATGTAATTTTGAATATATCAATATTTAGTGTTTGTATTTCCAAAGCAAACATTTGGAAAAAATAAAGCTACTTCCTACTTGGCTTTGTGGGGAATTGCTACTAATAACTATTGTTAAACATTCTGCAAAAATGTGACATGCAATCCCATTGCCTGCTAATAAGCTTATCAGAACAAAGCATAAATAAATAACTCTTGCTATTGTTTTTTAGCTTCAGAAAATAACAAGTCCTCTTAATCATTGATAAATTTTATGCATTTAAAATCTAGAAACATTTATGAAAAATTAGTAGTAAAAATAGTAGTTTTTCCATTTTCTGCCCATTTTACTTACTCCATTTTGAGGAAGAAGAGTGACAAATAGGATTAGTAAATTCAGGCTGAATGGAAAAGGTATGCTCCAATTAGCTTGACTGTTCTTCCTCTTGAGAGCATGAGTTCTCTCTGCTCCTTCACATCCAAAGCCTTCACCCTCCTCCTGGAGGGGAATTCTGCCCCAGCTGGTGCTACCTAGGTGGGGCCAGGTAGTTCTGCCTAACTCAGAGCTTCCCCTGTTAGCAACCCACAGAGCCAACAGAGCCAAAGCCGTTGCCTCCCTCCTGCCTCCAAGCAGGAAACAGGCAATTTTTGGCCCCATCTTTATGCTGTTTTACATCTCAACTTGTTCAGAAACCAAGCCTCTTTGAGCACCACTTTTAGGGAAGTTTTGTTCCAACAGGGCTGTAGCAAAACACTATACTTGCTCTCAGAGGAAGAGTTTTCATTCAGTACTGATTGATTTGAAAAAACTCCAAGCCAAATCTACTGACTGATTTATAAGGAAGCCATCAATCATCACATAAGACAGTGAGTTCCACACTTGAAAAATTTGCTTACCAACATCACAATTTCTGGCCATATCACTCTACCACTTATATTATTATTTATTACTTTTTTTCTATTAAAAGGCTCATTTATTTTTACTTGCCAGGCACTGTATTAGTCTGTCCTCATGCCGCTAATAAAGACATACCTGAGACTGGGTAATTTATAAAGAAAAAGTGGCTTAATAGATTCACAGTTCTACATGGCTGGGGGGCCTCACAATCATGGTGGGAGGCAAAGGAGGAGCAAAGGCATGTTTTACATGGTGGCAGGCAAGAGAACGTGTGCAGGGAAACTGCCCTTTATAAAACCATCGGATCTTTTGAGACTTATTCATTATCATGAACACAGCACAAGAAAACCTGCCCCCATGATTCAGTTACCTCCCACCAGGTCCCTCCCATGACACACCTGGGGATAATGGGAACTACAATTCAAGGTGAGAGTTGGGTGGTGACACAGCCAAGCCATATCAGGCACAATTATAAATGCTTTATAAATATTAACTCTTTTAATTCTCACAACAATCCTATGAGGTAGGTATTATTATTGCTATAATTTTAGGATGAGAAAACTGATGCATGGAAAGATCAGTAATTTGGCTCAAAGTCAGACAGCAACTGGAATCCGCTCCACCTGTGCTGGCTCCATGGTCACCTCTGACCTACCACAAATATAGAAAGTGATCATGACAAAGGCAGTCAAAAGACATGAATGTTATCACATTATAAAAATGAAAATAAAATGCAAAGCATAATACTAATTGATTAACAAAAACTCACACCTGGAAATTCTATTTTTCTTTGTGCCAAAAATAGCTGTTAATGATTATTTGATAACAAAATTTAAAACTTAAAAATTAAAATGAAATACACAGAGTAATAGCCAGTCAATTTATAAAAATATACTCCTGAAAATTCTTTCTCCAGCTTGGGCAATATGGCAAGATCCCATTTCTATAAAAAATTAAATTAAAAAACCATTTTCTGGGTGTGGTGGTGCAAAACTGCGGTGCCAGCTAGTCAAGAGGCTGAGGAAGGAGGATCCCTTGAGTCCAGGAGGTCAAGGCTGCAGTGAGCCACGATGGCACCCCTGCACTCCAGCCTGGGTGACAGAGCGAGACTCCGTCTCAAAAAGAAAATTTTTTCTCATGCAAGAAATTAACTGCTGATAAGTCAGTATCAACAACTTCATTTTAAGTGGCTTTATGACTAATTAGAGGGAAGTGCCCTGAAAAAGGATTTTAATCCATTGTTCTTCTTTTTTTCTAGGTCCAGAGCAGAAATCTACAGGAGGTTGAATAGCCCTGAATCACTCTGAGTTTACATAGTGGCATTTTTTGCCCAGCCACATTCTTCAATGTCTTTTTGGTAATGATTTTTATTCCTCCTATGCACCCCCACACGTTTTTCCCCGCCAGGAACCTACCTCCAAGTGATCCATGTGGTCAGCAGAAAGCGAATTACAGTTCTTGGCTCTACCACTTCAGTTTCACCTAAGCAATAACACTGTATCTGTGAAACCAAGGCTTTGATGGGCTATTCTTTTCACAAAGTTTGCATGTAAGGGAGACAGTGTTAAGTGTCTCTCCCTCCCCCATTTCATTTGCCTCCTAGTCACACAGCTAGGATACATTTCCCAGCTTTCCTTGCAGTTAGGTGGAATCATGTGACTGACTTCTGGCCAATAGACTATGAGTAGAAGTGATTCATGGCATTTGCAGTCCTGGCCCCTAAATAACTCCATGCCCTCTTTTGGTCTGTGCAGTGGCTAGAAGAAGCAGACTCCACGACCCAGAAGAACCTAAAGCCCCAAATAGGGGTCTGATTCCCTGATTGACTGTGGTACAGAAGATCCACCCCCATCAAAGCCCACATTGGACCATAGTGTGAAGTGAGAAATCACCCTTTACTGTCTTAACTCATAGGTTTTCAGGTTCTTGATTACAGCACTTTATTCTAATTAATATAATGCATTACAGCAAATGCTTAACTCTTGATATTTAAAAATTGTTCATCTGTGATTCCCTTAAAATGACCATTATTTGGTAAACACTGTTATCGGAGACACTGCCCCACACGGCTTGATTATTCTTTCCTTAAAATGTGCTTCCAGAAGCTGACAAAATTAATCAAAGACTGCATCATACCAAGTCATCTTCCAGCAAACTCTGCTCTGTAATTTAATGAGTTTTCTCTTTCTGCCAATCCTTCACTATAACTGGCACATTGAATAAGCAGGACTCATGGGATTTAATCATAAAACTTGTTTTTTTCCACTGTCTCTTTAAACCTGGTCAGGTCCTTCCCTTAACCTTGACTATTATGGTCATGCTTAGGTAAAAGAACGATCTACTGTCATTTTAAATCACTATTGTAGTCTCAACTCAGTATTGAAATATGTTTAGTTGGATGCAGTAATCACAAGATCAATCATCATTCAAGTTGAGACTTCTCCCTGTCACATGCCCCTCCTCCATCCTGAGCCAGCAGCCTGCTACTCCCCCATCCTAGGGAAAGAGGCATTGTTAACACCTGTACTAAATTCTTGCTCCCCCCACTACTTACCAGCTGTTGTTTCTGACCTGTGTCCCACCCAGGGTTGAAGCCGTGAGGGTGAAGAAGTAAAAGGCCAAGAAAATTCTTATTGGACAGGTACTATAATAAGATAGTACTGTCCTTTCTGGTTCTGGGGAGCATTTGAAGCTGACATTTTCTATTGCGTGTATCCCTGTGGATTTTCATAATTTTACTTTTTGTTTGTTTACAGCAGTTTAGAACAGTTGATGGAGATTATGGGACAGGGAGCCCCTCAAAATTATTCCTGACACCATCACTGGCTATCCTCAATTTTAGCCTCTCTTCTCACCGTCCTCAGTATCAACACCTGGTATCTTTCACACAGGATCAAGTGAGCCCAATCTTCCTGCAACAAAGTCTGTAGTACCTGACAGCTCTCAAGATTGTCCATAGTAAGCTGTATAGCCCCTTCTTTGACCTTATCAGTGTCTGCTCATGGCCTATGCAGTATTTCAGAGAACACTATGCAAAAAGGCCAGGCCTTAGCTTGGAGGTGAGAACTCTGAATTGCACAAGTCTTAGCTAGTCTCAAAGAAAAAGGCTCATTCTACCCCATATAGGAGTGAAAGTGACCATTCAGACTATACACACCTGGAAGGTGTGGCCCCATCTTCATAATTCCTCTAAGGCAGATGAATGTTTTGTCTAGATTTGCATAGTATTAGGCAATTCTAATATTGTCAGGTGACAAACTGACTTATTAAGGGAAGCTCTGTCCCAAATCCCAGTTTTTGAGACAATAAATAAAACATTTCTTATAAATATCCTGACTTCAAAGTAGAGGACACTGGGTAACAGAGACCTCTCTGGCAGAGCTAAGCAGGAGAGGCGACTCACTGAAGTTTGATTAGGGATCTGGAATTACAGCGAAAGCAGCAACTTCTCTGAACTTAACTACCCAGTATTTATCACTTGAATAGAATAATTTTTCCTCATTTCCCACCAAAAGTGGGCACCAAAGTTTAGAAAGGTGGGGAAAGGTAGAGTGGAAAGATGAAGCATTTCAGTGTGAGCTCATGTTCAGAATCTCTACTTACTAGCTGTGTGACTTGGGGCAAGTTACATAATCTTTCTGAGCCTCAATTGTCTCGGCTCTAGAATAAGCCAAGTAGGTATGGCAGAGGTATTATGAGAATTAAATAAAATGTATATCAGGAGGCCTAAAACAATCAGTGCCTGGCATTTAACAGATACTGAACAAATAGCCCTTCCCCTTTCCACCTTCAAAGGACCACCACAGATGTGGAAGACGTGGTATTCTGCAGGTGTTTTCAGTTTGTAAAGTGCTTTTAGCTTTTAAAGCACCTTCATAGCTGTTTTCTTTGTTTTCTAAAGAGAAAAGGAAGATGTGAAGAAAAGAAATACAAAAAGAGGAAACTCTGGAAGATGGACAGAACATTGCATAACAAAAACGATGGCTAGCAGACTTGGAATGTGCATGTAGAGTTTTCACAAGGCAAGCGACAGTCAAGTGAGAGTGAGTTAACTCTGCAGTAAACGTTCTCCAATTTAAATAATAAGTTTGAGACTAGCCTGGGCATCATAGTGAGACCCTGTTTTTACAAAAAAAATTTAAAAATTAGCTGGGCGTGGTGGAGCACACCTGTAATCCCAGCTACTTGGGAGGCTAAGGCAGGAGGATTGCTGGAGCCCAGACATTTGAGGCTGCAGTGAGTTATGATCATGCCACTGCACTCCAGCCTGGGTGAGAGAGCAAGATTCTGTTTCTAAAAATAAAAAATAATAATAAGGTCAAATGTCTGAGTTTGCTATGAATTTGACTTAGAAATTCATTTTTTAGAAGAAAAATGTCTTGCTATTGCAGTTGCCCACCAGTGGAGCAACAGTGACACTAGCTAATCAGTGATGTGTATTCCCTAAGGGATACCACCAAGCCAGGCTATTAAAACTTCCTAAATATAGCTTGTGTGGTGTCATGTCTGCTGGGCTCTTTTAGATCTCAACATCCAAAGCAAGTGTAAATCTGCACTACAGATAAAGTGTGGCCCAGCTGGAACCCAAACTGTGCCCCTCCCCTCCCACCTCCCTTTCAGAGTCTACTTACATGAGGCCACTCGGTATCCACCAAGATATAAATCATGCTAAAGAAACAGAGTGTCAGTCCCTACCCTCCTGGCCCACCAGCACTGTTCTTCTGGCCTTTGACTAAGTCCTGGAAAAGGGCGGCTTAGGGAGATATTTCACTAAATATATTCACACATCTCTGAGAGGCCCCCAGGCAGCTAGGCTTTGGGAGTATATGACAAAGTGGAGCAAGGAGAGGAGTAAAGGAGCTGTCCTATGTCACTGGAGTAAACTGTGGCATTTCACCCAGTGCTCAAGGGTCCTGGGGCCCAATGAATTTGGATTTAAATTTATGCTCTGACATTTTCTAAGTGTATGACTTGGGGCAAGTTTGTTAACCTCAGCATCATCATCTACAGAACGGACAAAGAAAAAAAAAAGCATCTGTTAGTCTTCCTGAGACTTAAACTAGAACCATGTAAGAGCAATGCCTTCTGACTTTTCTCAAGTCATGACAGTCACAGAAAATACCACATGTACAGTATAATCCTATGACATAATGCAACTGCTCGATCATAGAGTTAACAGCATTAGATGTCCTGAGACCACAGGCCGTGACCTTCCTCCCTGAGGGTTGAAGGGATAATAATAACAGTGATAGCAAACAGCATCTGTGTAGTGATTCCTGTGTGCCAGAAGCTGTTCTAAATGCTTTACTTGATTAATTCATTTGATTCTCAGAGCAATAGTATGATATGGGAGTATTATTATCTCTTTTTCTCAGATGAGGAAACAGGCACAGAGAGGCTATGGAATGTACATAAGATTACACAGTCTGTGAGTGTCAGGTCCAACCCAGCAGTTAGATCCAGCATCCTCACTTCCCACCAATTATGCAGTAGAACCTTTCAGTATCATGGCCCAACTCCACCCCAACACCACGCCCTACTGGGGCACTCTGCAGTATGGCCCTTCTCACACAGCAGCTAACTTATAATAGCATTAATACTTATAAAAAGTACTTTTATAGGCCGGCTGTGGTGGTTCATGCCTGTAATCCCAGCACTTTGGGAGGCCGAAGCCAGTGGATTACCTGAGGTCAGGAGTTCAAGACCAGCCTGGCCTATATGGTGAAACCCCATCTCTACTAAAAATACAAAAATAAGCCAGGCATGGCAGTGTGTGCCTGTAGTCCCAGCTACACGGGAGGCTGAGGCAGAAGAATTGCTTGAACCCAGGAGGCAGAGGTTGCAGTGAGCAGAGTGAGACTGTCTCAAAAAAATAAAAAAAAGTATTTTAATAAATATTAATGCTTCCTTATAAAAAGTATTTTATAAGTATTAATTTTTTATAAGATATGGGGTTTTATAAGTATAAAAAGCATTAATACTTATAAAAAGCAGCTCAATCAAGTGTGCAGATGGATGCACCAACAAGTTGCACAGCATCAGTGGGTTTGACAGAGCAGGACAGTCCAGAACAATGGGCACTGGCCTGGTTGGTTGTGGTGGGAATCACAGAGACAGGCAGGGCTGGCTCAGCCGCAGGCCACACCACAGGAAGGGAGAAAAAGAGGATGGATTCCTCATGGTGGTGCAAATTCCCTTAGGTGGTCCATGCTCTGGGGTTGTATCACTGTCCAATAAATCGTTGTGGGGACGCTTTAGGGTCTAGAAGTCTAGCATTAGCGGTGGGAATTAGAGCCATTCTGTTTTTAACTATGGGCTTAATGTTGCAGTTACCCGTAATCAGTCCTGGCCTGAAAAAGCCCAGGATGCAGCTGTATGTATGTATTGAACTTTAACATGTTCATCTGCTGATTATAAATAGTAAACTTCTGAAAGGCAGAAAATGTGTCTCTTGCATTTGCTTGCATTTGCTAGCTATCTCTTGATAGCTGCTAGCATTTGTCAGAGCCCTTTTCACATAGTAGGCCATCAATAAATGTGCAATCAAGTTCATTAAACATATTTAATAAAGATTTACTACCTAGGGCTAGCCCTTGAAACAATTACTTCTAACTTCAGAATTTTCTTTTGCAGAGGCAATGGCATCAGTTTCTCTGCTCTAAGTTTAAGGAAGAACAGGAAAACTGGCAGAGACAAACCCAAAGACCTAGTCCAAACTGAACACATTTATTCAACACCAACTCTATTCAAGACTCTCTCTTAACATAAAGCAGTCTTTCTTCTCTATAGAAAAGGATACAAATGAAAGATGCTGTTTGCAAACTCTGACGCTTTCCCTAAATCAAAGAACTCATTCCTAACAGTAGTTTTCATTAATTATTAATTTATTATGAATACTAATTCTGAATGCATTCAATCAAATGTGATTTGATGAAATAATAGTTGCTGCCATGACCCAAGAAAGAAAAGTTGCTGCAATGTGTGCCATTACTCTTTAAGTAAATGGTTTTCAAGTGTATAAAGGTGGTTTCAGGTAGGTTTGAAGCACTGATTGTCATGTCCAAACATTTGGACCCTGGGTATGGCGATGGAATAGGGGCAGAATGTGATGCAGCGAACATAAATTAAATGAGACTGCATTTTCTTTCATGGAACCCTTAGAGATGCTTGCCGTGGAAACTGAAACATCTGTTTTAAAAAATAAACGTCATTTAGGAGTGCTTTGCCAGATACAAACATCTCAGTGACAATTTAGAACAGGGGTTGGCAAGTTACAGCTCATGGGGCAAATCCAGCCATTCTTCTGTATTTGTAAATAAGATTTCATTGAATACAGTCATACTCATTTGTTCATGTATTGTCTATAACTGCTTTTGCTGCACTACAACTGCAGAGTTAACTAGTTTCAAAAGGCACCAAATGGCCAGCAAAATGAAAAATATCATCTAACCCTCTACAGAAAGTTTGCCAACCCTTTATTTAGAATAACACCAAAAGTCACGGATACCAACATCTCAGTGACAATTTAAACCAATATCAAAATTAATTTCACCAATTCACAGCCCAACCTGCTAAGACATCTCAAATTAATTAGGGTGTTTTTTAGCATTTGTGTAATTGACTCCTTGAATTGTCGACATGATGCTCATTAAAGAGAAGCACATTTTGCCATAAGTTGGTCATACGGGAAGTAGAAGATATGGGTCTTCCCCTTGATATTGGCAAATTGGCATCTAAGTCGTGTACAGAAAATCATATTTGTGGTTCTTATTGCATTTCTTACCATAGGTGAGTGTTTACCTGTCCCCTTAACTTCAAGGGCTGAGACAAACTCTAAAACATTAAGATGTATAAGAAAGAAAAATAATTGAAAAATCAGTCTCTCAATTTTTAATATGTGACCCTTCTTACTTCTACCTCTGATGCTTGCCTAGCTATGACCTAGCTTCTGGCAAGGCAGAATTTACTTAAGGATGCATCATTGTCATTTGCAGGAGGCGCTCCTACCCACACATTATTCCCTTTTAGTCCCTCACCCAAAACTCCCCCTAAATAGCGCATCTCCCAGGATGCTTGACTAGCCGAGAAGACCAGTGTTACCAACCTTGCCAGCAATAACTTTTCTTACATTCCTCCTCATAGGCACAAATTTTTTTAAGTGTGGAAAAAAGGAAATTTAAGAAGTAAAAAAGATAGTGATGAAAAGTCAGCATGTATAAAGAAAAAGTCTGTTGGAAAAGGGAGAAGAAGCATGCAGGATTACCCCAAAGGCAAAAACCTATTGATAAAGAAGCAAATAGAGAGCCAAGCTTTCAAAAAAGAAGGAAGTAAAAATTTGGGGGTCTGGCCTAAAGCAGGGCATTTTCATTTTACCCAGCAACATTGTTCTTTCAAGACACATTTTATATTGTCTCTGAGTGGAGAGTTGCACTTCACATATCTGCAATCCAGGGAGAATCACAATGATGGTGGCATATCTCTCTCTTAATTGTCATTGGGCCCCATGCGTGTAAAATCGTATTTTCACGAACTTCATAACACAACGTAATGTCTTTGTTTTTCTTCTCATTAAACAGAGCCAAATGGCTACACTGCAGAGGAGGCTATTGTCTACTGATAGTTACTGATCAAAAGCAAATCAAGTACTGCAACTCAGGCACCAACACAGGATCCACCCCCACTCTTTCAGCCCTCCCAGTCATGCAGAAAATGAACCTCCCTATAGTCTAAATTTCCACTATTCAGAAACCTTAGCTCAGGGCCTACCTGATTTGGGGTTCATCAACCCCTGAAAAAAAACTCAGTTTACTATCTCAGAACCAGAAAACATATACGATCTCTTAACATTTTGTAGATGCTAATTTCTTGTGTTGAATTTACTGATGTAGTAACAACAAAAGGTACAATAAGGTCTACTTCATAACACATTGAACGCTGTATATTCATAAGCTGAGAAGCAGAGCTAAGAATGAGGCAAGTCAAGTGACTAAAGCACAAAATTTAAGAAAGTACTCACTTTTGGGATTGTATAAGCAGAGTCAGCAATCTTTGACCAATGGGGGATGGGAGTTTGTAGATAAGTGCTCCACTGTTACCTCCTTTGAGTGCATGACTTGAGCTGCATTCTGTAGACTACACAGGAGGCATGATTGAGTTTCAGCTGCCCACAACAGTGACTACTTGATAATAAACCTTTCATTTGCCTTTCCCTCCTCTGTTTTATTCTTTTGAAACTCTCATCCCAGCTCCATGGAATCACCTCTTAACTACCTCCTAAGTGCAAGCCTGTATCTCAGGCTCCACTTTCTGAGAAAACACAAGCTAAGAGAGTTGCTACAGGAAGTATATGTTCAGAATGGGACTCTGGAACTAGTGACTCACCAGTGACCAGTATCACTATCAAAAGGCTCACCTCTAGTAGATGAAAATGAGGTACAGATGACAGATGAATCACTAGTTTCTGCATTTGAACAGTATGGGGGAATGCGAATTATAAGGATTGTGGGGTTGGCTGGCCTTAGTAAACTGCAACCATAGAGCTACAGAAATCTCTAACAGATCTCTTATGTCTTAACCAGTGCCCTGATAAGAGTGGGCCCTTGAGCCTTAGATGTAGAAAGCCCTGAGAATTTTGAATACCTGGATCCTTTTGAATTCTCCAGCCTGGAAGAAGCAGCATCCTCCCTCTTATTAGAGAATGGCCTCCTTTCCACTGGAGATGCTGCAAGGACTTCACCTGAGGCAGGTGCTTCACGTGACGAGGCTTTTCATCCCAAGAGCTACCATGCTTCCCCTTATTGCCTCCAGAATGGGCTGCACCACAGCCTGAGGAAGGAAATAAAATCTCTGCTGTGGCAGGAACGAGGATATATGCAATGGAACTGCAGGATTCTAATGTGTGCTGCTGGGAACCTGGAGAGTGGAGAATACATATGAGACAGGTCTTCAGGGTTTTACAAGCAGAAAATGCAGTGGGGATAGGGGAGGATTTATTGATGTGCTATGATTTGAGAGCTTAATGTTCTGGCAAAGCCACCTGATTCTGACCCAAAAATGTGGTTAGAATGACCCGTTAAAAATTGATCATGACAATGGCCTACAGTGAACGAGGCAGAGATTATGGAATTGTCTCAGCAGAGTATTGAGGTAGGAGTCAGAAGCCTCTGAGAGGTGAGACTGTTAGAAAGGATTTAAGTGCTGCTGGAGAACTCACCACCTGAATGTATTCTCCAGAAGGGTCCAAGGATAGTCACTTCATTAAAGCAATAGGGAATGCACAGGTGAGAGGCATACCAGACCCACTGAGAAGCTAGGCAATGGCTGTCCTCTGCAGGTTAAAATTGACAGTAGGCAATACTGCTGTGGAACTGGGCTCCCAACTTCAACATCAGTATATATATTAGGTTGTGGAATTTGGTAATGGCAGAGGCCAGATGTTAGCACTTAATAATCAGAGACAAGGAAGAAATAATTGCCCCCATGGCATCAAGGCTGGAGGAAAAGTCAGGGGCTCTCTCTCCAATAACTAAAATTCATGGGTCTGGAACCAACAGTGAAGTAGGATTGAGCCCTGTCAGCATTCCGCTCAGTAACCCACTTGCTGAATGTGTGCTGCTTCTCTCCACAAACAGGATCTGTTTGTGAACCCCTTGATTCACAGTGTAGGTTAGGCTTCTACCAGAGGATGCAGTAAGGGGCTTGACCACGAAGCTATAATAATCAATTAATCATATGAGCTCTTCATTCCAGTAGACTACTGGGCAAAGAAAGGATCACTGTAAAGATGGGAGCTATTGACCCTTGTTGCTGTCAAGATCTAGGATTGATGCTACACAGTAGGAGCAGAAAGAAGAGTGTCTGTACATCAGGGAATTTACTGGTGTGTTTCATGGTGCTTCTCTGCCCTGTAGTCACATTAAATGTGAAATCTCAGCAACCATGGTCCAACAGGTATTAAAAAATAAAATAAACAAAGGCTCAGACCTCTAAGGGATGAAGATCTGGGTCACTGACCAAGCAAACAACTTAGAACTGCTTAAACACAATGTAAGCATGAATGAACTCTAGAATGGGTTACAGAAGAGTGTGCTGATGAATATCAATTACAGCCTCAGGACGAAGTACAACATGTGGACTGTAGCTTGTTTCAATAACCCTGCTGTTTTACATTTGTCATAGGTTGCAGCAATTCTGCCAATAACCTGATAAAGAGACTTTACCAAAAACTTAATGGCAAGCATCACATTGAATGATACAGCATTAGAAACATTCCCTTTAAATTCGGTTTCAAGACAAGAATCTCTGCTATGGACAGCCAATTAATATCCTGCAGACATCCTAACCAATACATTAAATTTAAAAAAATTTTTTGAGGGGAATAAGAATTAGAAGAGACAAAATTGTCCTTGATTACACATAATATGATTGTCAATGCAGAAAATCTAAGAAAATCTGTAAAGAAATTACTAGCACTGATAAGAAGATTGACCAAGTTGTGAAATACAAGATTCATATTCTAAAACCAATAACACTCCTTTTTACCCATAATATTGGATTCAAAAATAAAATTTTAAAAATTATTAAAATGAAATATATAAAGATATGTCATATGGAGAATATTATACAACTGTATGGGGAAATTTTAAATATATAAATAGATACACAATGTTTAACAATAAGGAGAATCTCCTAATTAATTCATTAATCAAATCTAATACAAACAAAAACTTCAACAAAGTTGTTCATGAAATTTGATAAGTTGATTCCATAATGCATAAGGAAGAGCAAAAGGCCAAGAATGACAGAGACAGTTTTAGAAAGCAAGATAGAAGAAATAGGCTGGGCACAGTGGCTCACGCCTGTAATCCCAGCACTTTGGGGGACCTAGGCAGGCAGATCACAAGGTCGGGAGTTTGAGACCAGCCTGGCCAACATGTTGAAACCCCATCTCTACTAAAAAAAAAAAAAATACAAAAATTAGCCAGGCATGGTGGTGTGCGTCTGTATTCCCAGCTACTCAGGAGGCTGAGGCAGGAGAATTGTTTGAACCTGGGAGGCAGAGGGCACAGTGAGCCGAGATCGCCCCATTGCACTCCAGCCTGGGCAACAGAGCAAGACCCCGTCTCAAAAAAAAAAAAAAAAGATAGAAGAAATAGAAGAACTAGCCCTACTAAATACCAAGGCTTCTTATAAATCTACAGTACTTAGGACTGTGTGGTATGGATGAGGAAATTAGAAAGCTGTCTTATGGAATAAAGGATTCCAAAATAGACCCACACCTATATGAAAACCCAATACATGAGAGGGGTGGAATTGAGAATAACTGGGAGAACTGATGGATGAGTAATTCAATAAATATACTGAAACAACTGGTTATCTTTGTGGAAAAAATAATAAATTTGTATGCCTATACCACACCATAAATAAAAATCAGTTTTAGGTATTAAAATCCTACACATGAAAAATAAAACTTGAAACATTTAAAAGCAAATATAGATTTTTAATGAATTTTTGCTAGGAAAGGGTTTCTATAAACACATACACACACACAAAACATAAAAAAGACTAGCACACTGTTCAGCCCAAATGTAAACATCTTTCAGTATATGCTTATTATTACTGATCGCTCTAAATAAATGTAGATAAGAGTAGGCTGAAAAGAGTTTTTAGGGCAGCAACTGAAGGCAAAATGTGAGTCTGGGTAAGAGAAAAATGGTATACTTTATCCAAGAGTTAGAATTCTCCAGAGCACAGACAGCATGCCACAGCGGAGAAAAAATAACGTATAAGCCAATGCAAGACACATTTCTCACCAATGATCAGAGGTAACTCAAAAGCTATATATGTCTCAGTAATTAATGTTTTCTTCTTAACTTCAATGAACTGTTCTCTTCAGAGTATCTGTAATGCCACAAACTACATCGTTTAATATTTTTCTCTTTTGAAAATGTATCTGCGGAATGAGTGCCAATAGAGAGGAGACAAAACTTCCTTTTTGGTAACAGATAAAACTTCTCAAGGTTTAGAGTATGAACTGAGTAAGCCTCTGAGGATTGTATTTTTAGTGTCAGATCTCATGACAAGGCACTGCTTCTATAAGGATCATCAGACTTACAAATTCCAATTGATTGGAGTAATAAGAATACCTGGCAAAGATACAGGTATTCTTAGAGAATAGAGAAATGGCTGATTTCTAATCATGCCACTAATGCCTTGGAAGTGTCTGTTAACAAAAAGAGAAAGCTTGCTATCACATAAGGCTTATAAAACACCTATTCTTTACTGTGACCTAAATTTTTCAGCTTGATTTACTTTATCAGTTATTAGTACTTTCTTTTTCATGTTTGCTTTATTTCATACTTGTAAGACAATTCACTCATGACCCTTAATTGCCATTGTTGCCTGTTCTGTCATTGTCGTGTTTTCCTCCTTATAACAAGCCAAAGGCAAAAACAATGCTAGTTCAGCCACAGCTTCCAAGTCACACAGACAACTTCTTCCCAGGCTTTTGGATTTTTGTGATGCCAAAGGCAAAAACAATGCTAGTTCAGCCACAGCTTCCAAGTCACACAGACAACTTCTTCCCAGGCTTTTGGATTTTTGTGATAGTATAGAAAATTATACTAGAATCCAAATACTAAAGGTGGCTCTTTTGGCAAATAATGATTACAGCTTCATGTAGAAATTCATTTTGGTGTAGAAATTCACTTTGCAGCTAAGGCTACCACTGGGCAAAGGCAGATTTTAAACTATCAATAGCTTTTCAATGGTAAGAAAAAAGCTGTGCGCATGCAGTATACAAACCATAACAGCAGGTAATAAGGGCATTCAGTAAAACTAAAGCAAGGTGTTAAGGAGCCTGGAGGAACAAATGTAATAGGAAAGTTCACTTAATAACTTGTCCATTCAAGTAAAGTTTATCCGTGGACAACCATGAGCACCTCAAGTATAGTCAATTCTTTGCTTTCCACCATGGCTGGGGAAGGTTGGTTAAATCAAATATTCTGGTCAAGTACAATGTTAGAAAAATTAATTTGTAGGAAGGGATTTCTAGTAAGTTGAAAGCCTGGTGCTGGTCTAAGCAACCAGGTGACCTCCATTTCACCTGATGCTGAAGTTATCACTAATAAATATGCTAGAATTGTTCTGCATCAGTTCTGAGGAGGCCAGCATACAGGAAATCCAGAACAGTTGGGAGAAGCTGGGAGCAGGGCCAGGAATAGGGTTGGATAAGTGAGGCACCTAAGGAGGTGCCCACTCTCAGGCACTGACCCTGCCTACATGTCCATGTCCCTGAGAGTAGGTGTCTCTTTAGATTTGGTGCTTTAGGCTCTTGACTTCCCTTGCCCTACTACTGGCCCTGGCCTGGCAAATACAAGGAGGCAAGCAAAACCTCAGTCTGTACCCAGTGGCTGTTCTCTGGCTATGCTGATGCTTCTCTGACAGCTCAGACCTCATGGGAACTTTGGGGACCTGAGAGACTTTACCTTTGTCTTGGAGCACATTGCATTGTCTGATTTGTGTAGTTACCTGACTAGAGGTAAGTTTCTGTGTCCTTTGCTTTATATCCTTTATCCTTTTACTGTGTTTCTTGGCACCTTTCCATCAATTACATCATTGTTCTGCAGTATCACCTATGCAACACTTAACACTAAAATAAGATTCAAAAATCAAAGCACAGAAAGAAAATCAAGGTCAGCATTGTGAACAGCAGTGATTACACTGCAGGGGTAAGGAATTAGCAGACAGTTGCAGACCTATGGGAAGAAGACAAGGTAAACTAGGTTATTCTCTACAGTCACCTAAAAAATTCTGGTTGTTAGCCATCTGACAGTTCTTAAGTTTTATTTTCTCCTTTTTTTTCATGGCCTCTTATTGCTTAAAAAACCCAACATATTACTAGCTCCAAATAAAAATGAGTAATTCAAAGACCCATAAAGAAACAATATTGTTGTCTCTATGCAAAAAGCAGTGGATCTTCTGCCTTAATACAGCTGACTATAATGTCCAAGGGGTCTCTCCTAGGGTTCTGATT
This sequence comes from Homo sapiens, assembly GCF_000001405.40. NCBI lineage: Eukaryota > Metazoa > Chordata > Mammalia > Primates > Hominidae > Homo > Homo sapiens. Next base: position 57,822,722 of record NC_000014.9, read on the forward strand.
ATCTATTGCTGAATAACCTACCCTAAAATTCTGTGGCTTAAAACAACATCATTGGTTTTCCTCCTACTTTGAGGTCAATTTTTTTCTCCACCACTCTTGTGGCTTTCTCCTCTTATGTCACATTTCTAAAGGCTGGGGTGCCATGGGTGCTAGCACCTGGGGTGTCCAGGGCCTGATCTCTTCTGTATCTACAACTTCATCCCCTAAGTGTTCCCAGGCATCAAAAAATCCATCTAGTGATATATTCCAAGTTAGTATCTCCAGCTCGAAATTCTCTGGGGGAACTCCAGGCTCATGTCTGTGGCTGCCTATTCAGTGGCCAGAGAGATCTTAAAACAGAATCAGATCATGACACTCCACTGTTTAAAACCACCCACAGTCCCCCACTGCACTCAGAATACCCTCCACACTCCTCACCACAGCCCTGAGCCCTATGTGAGATGGCCCCACCTACCTTCTCGGCATCATTCTCTTGGATTGTGCTCCTTACTCACCACACTCCAGGCTTCCTAGTCCCTTTTCTCTCCCCTTCTGCCTGGAACACTCTTGCTCAGCTACCTCAGCCTCACCCTTCAGGTCCCAGCATAAATGTCATCTCCTCACAATATTGTGATCACCTACCCTGTCCTCATAGATCTCAGCAAATCTCTAATCAGCTCATTTATTGTTTACTTGTCATTGTCTGTACTTCCTTCTAGAAAATCAAGTTCGTGAAATCAGGGTTAGTATTACAACATAGCATATTTGAATCACGCTCCAGGGGAGTGGCATAAATTTGAATCACGCAAAGCCCCTGAGGGGCCCTGCTGTCTTGTTTATAGCTATATCCCTGGTGCCTGATATAGTGCCTGGTTCCTAGTTGGTGCTCAATTAATATTTTTCAATGAAGGAATGAACTAATGACTCTGGCTCTATGATGTTAAAAGTCTTGGGAGTCTTGGGCAACTTGCAATCTGACACTACATCTATTCTGGTCTTAATAGATAGGTGTTTATTACATAGAAATTCACAGAATACTGTTAAAGTATGATGAATAACATCTTTAATTATTAAAAATCAGTTTGGTTTTGTAATCATTTCAATTATTATTTGACTAAATTATATAAAAATTTTAAATATAGACATGGAAAAAATAACAAAATAAGGCACCCATAATCTCACCTTTCAGATGAATAATGCATTAAACATATCATTAACAACTTTGTTTTCTTGTACATTTTAAGATTTGTCTCTACCTTGTAGATATTTCTCAGTATGGAATTTCAGCTAATTTTATATCATATTCCCCAAATCAGGAAGTAAAGAACAATATTCTAACATCTGGCAATAATTGATGGAACCTGAAGGACCATTTTCATGCTTTTAGATGATCTTTACTAGCCCACTGGAATAATGTCACTTAAAAGATTTATAATCCGTTGATCAACAAAACATGACACCGAGAATCCAGAATTCTGTTTGCATGTATCAGAAAAGTTTGACTACTAGGTCAGAAGTCTGAATCACTGGAGTTGAAAGTTAGCATACATGCTTCACACATTCATTCAGTATTTAATCGACAAATGCTAACTGAGCATCTACAGTGTCAGCAATGTTCTAGACCCTGGGCAACACAGCAGTGACAACAGTCAGAGCTTGGTCTAGTTGGAGGACAAGAGATAGAGAGTAGATGGTAGGTAGGTAGAAGATAGATAGATAGATACATACATACATATGTACACGCATACATATATAGGTACATACATAAATAGAAGATAGATGATTGATAAACAGATGATAGAGACATGTAATATGTTTGATGATGACAAATGCTTTGGATAAAAACAGGCAGTGAAGGATGATGGAGAGGGTACAATTTTAGTTTTTCTTTGGGGTTATCAAGGAAGGTCTCACTGAGAAATAAAAGAAGTGAGAGAGCCAGACATAGAGATATCTGGGGGAAGAGTGTTCCAGGCAGAGGAAACACCTATTGCAAAGGTTCTGAACTTTGAAAGTCTGATTGGTTTTAGAAAGAGTACAAGGTCAATATGTCTGGAGCTGACTGAACAAGGGAGAAAGTAGTTGATTGTGTGCTCACGGAAGTGTAGATTATTCAGGGCCTTAGAGGCTATTGTAAGGATTATGGATTTTACATTGAGTGGAAGAGAAAGCTATCGGAGGAACTGGGGTTTAAAGATGATATCATCTTGATTAATATTAAAAAGATCCCTCTAGCTTCCGTGTGAAGAACAGACTGAGAGTCAAGGGCAGAAGGAGGAAAAAGAGTCAAGAGGGTACAGCAATATTTCAGGGGTAAAAAAAGACTTGAACCAGAATGAGGAAGTGCAGGTGGCAAGAAAGGTCAGTTTGGAATATATTTTGATGGTAGAACTTAAGCTTGTGGAGGATTTGGAGGTGGGATCTGTATGGACCATGCCAAGGTCTTAGGCCTGAGCCTCTGGAAGGTGGGGCTGCCATTTACAGACAAGGAGAAGACCATGAGAGCAGGAGGTTTCAGGCGAATACTTCAACCATTCAAACAAAAAAGTGTTTTGTTTAAACAGCAAAAATGCTTAAGCCTTAGAAATGTCTGGGAAATAATCATTTGGCTACATTAAAAGGGAGAAGGTTGAAAGCAGAGTAAATGATGAATGAAGATAAGTGGAGGACTTAAATGCTGGTATGACTAATAAACAGGATACCTTGAGTCTGTTCTAATACTGGGTATATGTCTTTCAAAAGGATCTCTAGGCAACCATCACAAGGATTTGACACTCCCTACCTACCTCTGTAGAATAGCTTCTTAGAGCTGATCAATTCACCAAACAATAAAATGCAGTTCTACAAGCTTTAGAACATGTTCAGTAACAAGAAAGTAACTACTTTGCAGATGACATGATCCCATATCTAGAAAACCCCATCATCTCAGCCCAAAAGCTTCTTAAGCTGACAAGCAAATTCAACAAAGTCTCAGGATACAAAATCATTGTGCAAAAATCACAAGTATTCCTATATACCGACAATAGACAAGCAGAGAGCCAAATCATGAATGAACTCCCATTCACAATTGCTACAAAGTGAATAAAATACCTAAGAATACAGATAACAAGGGAAGTAAAGGACCTCTTCAAGGAGAACTACCTACCACCACTCAAAGAAATCAGAGAGGACACAAATGGAGAACTATTTCATGCTCATGAGCAGAAAGAATCAATATCACAAAAATGGCCATACTGCCCAAAGTAATTTATAGATTTATTGCTATTCCCATTAAAGTACCATTGACATTCTTCACAGAATTAGAAAAAACTATCTTAAAATTTATATGGAACCAAAAATGAGCCCATATAGCCAAGACAATCCTAAGCAAAAAGAACAAAGCTGGAGGCATCATGCTACCTGACTTTAAACTATACTACAATGCTACAGTAACCAAAACAGCATGGTACTGGTACAAAAACAGACAAATAGACCAATAGAACAGAATAGAGAACTCAGAATTAAGGCTGCACACCTACAACCATCTGATCTACAAAAAGCTCACAAAAGCAAGCAATGGGGAAAGGACATCCTATGTAATAAATGATGCTGGAAGAGCTGGCTGGCCATATGCAGAAAATTGAAACTGGACCCCTTCCTTACACCTTATATAAAAATTACCTCAAGATGGATTAAAGACTTAAATGTAAAATCTAAAACTATAAAAACCCTAGAAGAAAACCTAGGCAATACCATTCAGGACATAGGCATGGGCAAAGATTTCATGATGAAAATGCCAAAAGCAATTGCAACAAAAGCAAAAATCAACAAATGGGATATAATTAAACTAAAGAGCTACATAGCAAAAGAAACTATCATCAGAGTAAACAGACAACCTAAAGAATGGGAGAAAATATTTGCAATATACCCATTTCACAAAGGTCTAATATCCAGAGTCTACAAGAGAAATTTAAACAAATTTAAAAGAAAAAAAAAACTAGTAAGAAGTGGGTGAAGGACATGAACAGACACTTCTCAAAAGAAGACATACATGTGGCCAGCAAACATGTGAAAAAAAAGCTGAACATCACTAATTATTAAAGAAATGCAAATCAAAACCACAATGAGATACCATCTCACACCAGTGAGAATGGCAATTATTAAAAAGTTAAGAAACAAAAGATTCTGGTGAGGCTGTGGAGAAATAAGAACTCTTTTACACTATTGGCAGGAATGTAAATTAGTTCAACCATTGAGGAAGACAGTGTGGTAATTCCTCAAAGACCTAGAATCAGAAATACCATTTGACCCAGCAATCCCATTACTGGGTATATACCCAGAGGAATAGAAATCATTATATTATAAAGATATATGCACACGTATGTTCATTGCAGCACTATTCACAATAGCAAAGACATGGAATCAACCCAAATGCCCATCAATAATAGACTGGATAAAGAAAATGTGGTATATATTTACCATGGAATCCTATGCAGCCATAAAAAAGAACAAGACCATGTCATTTGCATGGACATGGATGGAGCTGGAAGCCATTATCCTCAGCAAACAAACGCAGGAACAGGAAAACGAATATTGCATGTTGTCAGTTATAAGTGGAAGCTGAATGATGAGAACAGGGAGGGGAACAACACACACTAGGACCTTTCACGGGAGCTGGGGGAGGGAGAGCATCAGGAAACATAGCTATGCATGCTGGGCTCAATACCTAGGAGATAAGTTGACAAGTACAGCAAACCACCATGGCACATGTTTACCTGTGTCTTATGTAACAAACTTGCACATCCTGCACATGTATCCTGGAACTTAAAATAATATTAAATTATTTTTTTAAAAAAAGGACTAATTTTTCTCTGAAGGAATTTATTTTCTATTCTCATTAAATATTTCTCCAATACCTATAAAGATGGAAGGCAAGAGGACATAGAATTTTGCAGCAAGTACTGACCCGTTGTCCACTGACAACCACTGAGAGAAAATTAAGAGTTATATATGAAATCTCCACAGTGAGGCACAATAGAAGCCAATACTTTGGTGATTTTTTTGTTAACAACCTTGTTTAATATACAATTATAAGGCAATACTTCCCTTCACTCCTTATTTTTCAAAAAAAAAAAAAACAGTAAATAAGTAACTTGTTAAACAAGAACTTGGACATGCTATTTTTCTAAATGCATGAACAATTTCCATAAAGCATGAACCTCAGCTGAAGACATTACCAAGATTTCAGCTAATAACCTGCATCTACATTTGTTTTGGTCATGAAGGAGCCCTAGGATGAATCCCAAATTCTAATTGTCTCTTCTTCTAAGTTTCTTCTCATATAATTTCCATTAAAGGGACCTGCAGATGTAATTACTGAGTAAGGCAAAAATTAATATAGCTGCTCACCAACAAGCATGCACTTTGCAATAAGCTCCAGTTGAGATCACAGGAACCCATGAGATCAGTGGTCCTCAACTTCAGATGCACGTTTGAATCTTGGGAGAGCTTTATTTAAACAAAAAAACCACACCCATGCCCCAGATCCAATGCCAGAGATCTCCATTTGATTGGTCTGGGAAAGCGATGAGGATCTTTTTTAAAGCTCCACATGATGAAAATGTTCTCTCAGGACTGAAACCACCACATCAGAAAAAGCTATGAGCATAGTCAGCATTGCAAGGAATTCTAACACTAACAGAAAGAGAGTATTATAAATAATAATAATTGGTAATTCAATAGACACACTGGGCCAAATTCTCATGTGATAGAAAAATTCAGGGTGGGAATTTAAAAATTCAGGCAATGGGTATATTTTAATTTTAAAAAGATGAAAAGATCACTTTTCTATGGTAGTAGAATTTCTTCACACACATCTCTCCAGAATCCTTTCAAATTAATTTGCTTTTTAAATTTAATGTAAACAGCCTGTGCTCTCTGCCAAATTCTTAAATATGTGCAAGAAGTCCATTGTGTCACAGAATGTCACCAACACCACTCCTGGTCTCAGTGGCCAGCTCATTCCACACGTGGCTGGTGATCCAGGATAGGAGTTGGACTGTTCTTTCAGAAAACAGCAAACTCTGGGCAACCCGAGGTCTGCCATGGGGTGAAGGATTCAGCAATTCTGCCTTAGAAATAAAGGTGAGCAGAGCTCCACAAGGGTATTTTGAAAATGGAATAATATTATGCAACAACAATAATAATTTCTCCATAGCCCAAGCTCACCCACGGGACACTTTTTAGCCATGTTACACAACTCATTGCTTTTAAACAGCCATGCTCACTATGCCTCCTTTTAAATGCCCTTGGAGTTAGATTTCTGGGCATTCACTATGCACATGCTTATTAGGTTCTGCAATAGGTACAAAATATAATATTTGGGCCTGCCTTTAATTGCAGTTTTATTGAATCAGGGATGTTCACACAAAGGTTCTGACATCCAAGCACCAAATGAGCTACACAGACAAATGATGTTAGAGGCATTCAGAACAGGACCACCAGGGGCAGAAGTCATTAAATGAAAATTAAACCAGATCTTGAAATGTAGTTAGGATTTCAGTAGAAGAAGATAACCAGGCAGCTGGGATCACTGTGAGCAGAAGCGCTCTGGCAGGAGAGAGAATGCCTATAGGTCTGGGTCGTGGGGGAAGGGAACTATGCAGAGATGTAGTTCAAAGCTGGAGCAGCTCCCTGTGGAAGTGACTCTCAAACAGGTGCCCTGCTGTCATACTTTATTAATGAGAAAAACATAGTTTGCTACCACTGAGGAAAGCTATTGTTCCCTCAGTGACAGAATACAAGCTGAAAGAGTTGTACAAAGCAGGTCTAAAACGCTGTGACCAAGAGGGCAGGCCAAGTCTGCAGGAAAGATGGTGTCACTCTGGAACCTGAAAGGATGCTTCCTCTGAAGTACACAGGAGAGCACAGCCCTGGCACCAGGCTCAACCTGTGTCACAATGCCGAAGAAAGGCCAAGAAGAATGAAGGTGCCAAGCTGTGGCTCCTTTCCTGGGTGCTGTGAGACCAATCGCTACTGCAACAGGGGTTGTGGGTAGTGATCACTGGCTGGTTGTGTGTGATTCTGAGTCTTTTAATCCCTTCAGGCATGCAGATAAAAATTCCAATATTTCAAAGAAGGCCGTGAATATAAAAAAGAAAAAATTTGAGAATCTCCAGATAGGGGAGTTGAATTGTATTTTATAAGCAATGGGAAATCACTCATGGTTTTTTAACAGGAGAGTGACTTTATGGAAAAAACACAGCAGGAAGAATAATCTTGCAGTTAAATGCAAATTGGAATGAAAAGAGAAGAGAGTGTATAAGCAAGAATAAAACTTATTTCCATTCCTCTACAGTTTTAATTTTGAAGAGTAGAAAAAAGTATATAATTTTTAACTTTACAAAAATATTCCAATACATTGTCTGCTACCTACAAAAAAAAAGTAATGGAAGTAAAATCTAGAAATACTACTCCAAAAGAAAGTGTTTATGTAGCATTATTTCCTCTTCACATATGTTGCCTTTTTTTCAGCTTTGTAACATTTCAACTGTGTGGTTTTGGTCAAATTGATCAATCTCTGTAATCCTTGGTTTCGTGATCTGTAAAACGGAGAAAATGTGGTGTAATGCCACCTCATTGAGTCACTGTGAGGATTAAATGAAATAATGTATGTTAACTACCACTTCCTTTATAATATCCGAGGAGATTTTTATTTGGATCTCCCTAGCTTCGGACAAGAGAAATACTTCTTACAGTCTAAGAGTAACTTAGAATATGCCCCAAATATGAAGTTACAACCCAATTTTATGTTATGCTATGGAAATCCTAAAAGATATTTCTTAGAAAACCTGAAGTCTAGCATGAGAAAGATTGAAAATTTAAAGAGCAAAGTGATTGGAAACTCACTTATGAAGCCTATAACTTAAAATCTCATAATTAAATGAGCCAATATGGTTCTGGATGGCTCTGCTCAGATCTCAGTTTCAGACCACCTACCTTCAATGGGAAAATGGTATATGCCTGATATATTCTGTAAAATACCAACTTTATCTATGAGGAGGGAAGCTGTCACTGGTTACAAAAACAGACCATGGCTGGAGGTGTTGCAAGACAAAGAATCACACACTCTTTTTACACTTTCTCTGTGACCCCAAAATCAAAAACCCAGAGCCAATTTATCAGAAATTCACCCTAACTGAACACAGTGCCCATTTCTGCACAGACTACCTGTGGAGCAAGTTCAACAGCACTTGTATAGAGAACACCAGCACTTATTTGAAGCACTGGGGGTGCAAAAATGAAATAGAATGCATCCCTGCTCTTGAATGCTGGTGGGACATGGTATGCATGCTCTGTCAGAATTTATCATCTTCTCTCTCAACTCTGATTTCTTCACTGTGTTCCCATTTCTGTTTCTACACCATTACTCTGCACCAATCACTCAGGCCAGCAGAGCAGGGAGGTGATTTTCGATTCCTCCCATTCCTTTCCTGACTTCTTACAGATGCCAAGTTCTACCATTCTCCTTCCACAGTATCTCTAATATCTTTCTCTCCCTGCCATGTGAGAATATAGTGAGAAGGCAGCCTCTGCAAGCCGGAAAGAGGGCCCTCACTAGACACAGAGTTTGTTGGCACCTTGATCTTAGACTTCCCAGCCTCCAGAACTGTGAGAAATAAATGTCAATGTTTAAGCCACAGAATCTTTGGTATTTTGTGATAGCAGCCCAAGCTGACCAAGACAGTGATAGACGCAGGCATACAGCATAGCCTCCCAGGACAGAGGAGGGTGGAGAAGGGCCAAGCGTGAATCTGGAGGGACAAACTAAAGCCACCCAGTACAGACAGCTCTTAAGAGATAAGCAGAATTTGCAGTACAGCAGCAATCTATGTTTCACAAACTGCCACAGTAAATAATCTATCCTGTGTTATTGTTTTCTGTGGAATTCTCAAGCAGCAAGAGGGAATATTACCATGTAATCATTTCCCTTTATTTCAGTAATTTAAAGAGTGAAAACCTTGGAGCTTTTTTCTCCTTGAGAGACCAGAGCATATTTGTGGGTCCAATAACACCTTTGCAAAACAGAAGAAACATTAACTTTATCTTTATATTATCCAGGCAGAAGAATGCATTCTAATAAGCAATGAAGTGAAAAACCCTACTGTGATTGAATTTATTTTTCCATAGAAATGCAGGAAATAGTCATGAATGTTTTACTAAAATGCTTCCTAATCATAAGTGTATATCCGTGTCTTCACAAGTCATGTTTTTGAGCACTGCAACTCTCCAAGCCAGCAAAGAACTCTGTAAAATTGTCTTTAATCCCTCACAAATGACTCAGGAGTCCCACTGAGGCTTTATCACGTATTATTTAATAAATTCATGAATCTACAAACCAGAAGATGTGGAAAAACCATAGCAACCAGGAGCAAGATTGGAGAAGTTGGCCAGGGTTGAAGGACGCTAGGAGGCACATACAGCCTTCCTGAGCTCTGAAGCCCCTCCCTCCCGGCCCACCCCACATCACTTGACGTTGCCTTAGCCACACCTCTGCCTTCCGCAGACTCAGTACAGGAACTTGCAGCAGAATGGGCTTCAAGAGTTTAACTGCTCTAGTCACCTGCCTTCAGATAAATTATTAACACTTTATACATGAGGAAAATAAGACCCTAAGACTTTAAGTAGCTTGTCCAAAGTCACAGATTAATACATAGAAGAAGAATATGTAGGATGAACAAGCCTAGAATCTCATGTATGACATGAGGACTATAGTTAAGAAAATTATATTGTATTTTTGTTAATAAATAAATTTTAGCTTTTCTTGTTACAAAAAGAAGTAACTATGTGAGATGATAGACATGTTAATTTGCTTTATGACAGGACTATTTTACTATCTATATGTATCCCATAACATTGTGTTGTAAACCTCAAATATATACAATACAATTTATTAGAAACAATAAACAGAGAATGATAACTAAAGTCCTGATCTTCCTAGCACAATACTTTTACCAACTCCAATTTTTGCATGTTCTGGCTCTACAAATGAGATGAGGGAAAAGAGAACACAAATTCCCTATACATTTCTGATGCAGTAAACATAGCAATTGAAAATAGAATGCTGGAACTGTAATTCATGTGTAAAATTACACTCACTGATAAAAAATTTTTTCACATTACAGTAAATTTGCCCTTGAGAAAACGTGGTGAAATATTTCAGGTATTATTTTCTGTCAGCCTAGCCAACACGACCCAGGGTACTTTTATTCTTTCCAAGTCCTCATAATTGCTAGAGAATTTGTTCATTTCTTTAATGATAAATATTGTAGGAACACGAGAGCAGGTGTCCCTGAAATAACATTAATTAGGCAAACTAAAATCACATATGCATAAAGAACAAGAACAAAAGTTCTCTATTTAGAGCTAGTAAAAGCATGACTGGTATAAAGCTTACTGTCACGTTGTTGTCATTGTCACCATCATCATCCTTGTTATCATCTAATCGCAAGGCAATCTCACTAAAGACAGACAGAATTCTCATATTCTTTCACGGTCCCTAATGAGATTACCTTAACCCTATCCCTAGCTCTGCACATCCTGTGACATTAAATGATGCTTGTAAAGGACCATCTCTGCTAGATAATTTTGGTATTTTCATTCTTTTCTGAAAATCAGTACAGATTACCCAGGCTTTGCACCCCCAGAGGATCTGAGTCAGTGTTTTGGGATAGAGCCCAGCCATCGGTATGTTGTAAAAGCTCCCCAGGTGATTCTGATGAATCAAAACACAGAAGACTGGGCTCTGTCCCAGAATGACTGACTCAGAATCTCTGGGGCTCAAGGCCTGGGAGACATTCACTTCAAAAAACCTCCCCTGGGTGACTCAGATGCATATCAGAGAGTGAGAAATGCTCTCCTCAATTGACAGGCATAAATCTATCCACAACATCAGGAGGATACACCGGAGTTACAACCAATATCAAATGAATATTTGAATACAGACTCCAGCCATGGCCATAGCTAATCTCCCGTTGGCTTTCCAATTTGGATAAATGCTAAATTTGCTCATTAGGGTAGCTGTTGGCATATTTAAATATACCATGGAGACTGCAACTTTAGTGCATCTCTTGCATTTTCATATATTCACAAATCACCTTTATGAAGACTAGCTTCACAGAAAATAATTTTTTAAATGCACGTTAACAAGAACAGAAACCAAGCAACAGCCTCAATTTGAGAAAATGTTTAATTTTACCATAGGAATCTTTTTGTTCCCTCTCTTCACATGTTAAAATAAATCTGAGGCTATTTACAAAACCTTGTGCTGAATTAAGTGAAACACAAATGAAACAACCCTCATTATTAAAAGTCTATAAATTAAAATAATAACAAAGGCTGACCCCAAACTCCACCTAAGATGAGAGCAACCCGACATTTCAAGAAGAAACACTTTCCCAGAGAACAAGTCATGAAGCATGACATCTTAAAACTCCAGAGTACAAAATGTCAACACCAAAAGGACTGAGTTGGTAAAAATTGAGAAAGAGTGGGTACTGAGAAGTAAAATCTGTTTCAAACAAAACTAACTCCTGCAAGATTTTGCACTTCACTGAATAACTACAGCACATTGGTGTGTTCATTTTTTTCTTTTTTCTCTACAGATTCATTCCTTCTACTTTGTACAAGCCCTAACAGTAAGCTATAAAAATGTCATAAATTATTACAGTGCAAATAGTGTAAAATCTTATGCTCACAAGGAGGTCCAAAGTGGTAATCATGCATTCCTTAGTTTGAAATACAAAGAAAAACATGCTTTTTGCTTACAAAGTAAAATGATGACAATTGCAAAACATCTCAGTAGAACTGGTACCTAATTTCTGTTGCCAGTGAAGGGAGGGGAGATATTAGGACAGGTGTTAGAAAGGACAATGGTATAACTAAACCGTCATTCACTTAATGGAAGTCCCAGTATGATGAAAGAACAATGTTATTTTTAGATCAAATCCTTCCTATCCAGCATGTCAGTATAAAAATTGCTTCTCAGAGAACCAAAATAGGCCGGGCACAGTGGCTCATGCCTGTAATCCTAACACTTTAGGAGGCCGAGGTAGGCGGATCACCTGAGGTCAGGAGTTCGAGACCAGCATGGCCAGCATGGCCAGCATGGCGAAACCCCATCTCTACTAAAACTACAAAAATTAACTAGGTATGGTGGTGCATGCCTGTAATCTCAGCTACTCAGGAGGCTGAGGCAGGAGAATTGCTTGAACCCAGAAGGCAGAGATTGCAGTGGGCCGAGATCGCACCACTGCACTCCAGCCTGGGTAACAGAGGGAGACTCTGTCTCAAAAACAAAACAAAACAAAACAAAAATAACCAAACTAGAATGGTTGAAGTATTAACAGACCAATACAGAAGTTGCTGTTTGCCACAGAAACATGAAAATAGAACCAGTGTTATTCACTGTGCCCATGGGGCAACCCGTGCTTGAAGAAAAGGGCCCCTCCCATCTCCTTCAGATCCTGTAATCATATTGTTCCTCCTCACCAGACACCAACTCATTTGGAAGGATACAGAGTCCAAGTAGGTCCTATAGTATGTCTCCAGTGAGTCCTTGCAGTTCACAAGCTGTGGTGAAGCCACATTAATACAGCTACTTCTCAACAATTGGAAGTCAGATAAAACAGTGGATGGGAAATATAATCAGAAGTCAGTCATAATGGAAAAATTTGCATAAATCAACAGTTTCTAACTCTCCCAACCCCCAAGACTTTCTCAACACTCCTAAAAAGCAACAAATGACTGATTTGCTTTTCACATCCTCTCCCTTCTTTTGCTCTTTCTCATTGTCAGCAGAACAATACGCAAAATGTGACTGACAAGAAAGAGAAAGAGGAGCAAAAGGACTCTATAACATTTCTGTCATGTAATTACTGAGGACTCAAGAGTTGGCTGGAGAGGAATGACCCCTGCCCAGTTTCTGCTGCTAGTAATAATTTGGAGTCCTGGAGGACAGGCCAAACTCAACATGCCTAAAATTTAATTTAGCACTGATCACCCACGAACACCTCTCTCCTTCCAGCCTCGCTAGTCTGTCAAAGTTGCCATGTTAAAACCTAAGTGTTACCCTTGGCTCCTTCTTATTCTGGCATCAAGCCATGTCTAGTCTCCAAATGATTTCAGCTCTTTCAGAGTTCTCAGAATGTTCCTTTCTTTTAATTTCCATTGTTTGGGCTGAGAGTTAAAGAATGCAGGAATTTTCTAAACAACACATTTGGGAAACATTCCAAGAAACAGAACCATCTGCATCAAGATGCAGGTTGTGAGAGGATGGCACACTAGGAACTACCGGTGACCTGGTATTATTGCAATCCAAAGTGGCAAGAAAGGAGGTGAGAAAGGCCTGTAGCAGGAAGGACCTTTGATTTCTCAATGAGAAGCTTGAATGTTTTCCAGCAGCCAGTGTTTTGCAGACTTCAGTAGTTTAACTAATGACTTACCTACATACCACCCATATTATTCTTATTTGCTTAATAGTTTTTCTCTGAACTCACTTATTGTTCCATATTAATCAACTTATTTAACATTGAAATTTTATTTTTTATTTTATTGATTGATTGATTGATTGATTTGAGATGGAGTCTCGCTGTCACCAGGCTGGAGTGCAGTGGCGCGATCTCAGCTCACTGCAACCTCCGACTCCCTGGTTCAAGTGATTCTCCTGCCTCAGCCTCCCGAGTAGCTGGGACTACAGGCATGCGCCATCACATCCAGCTAATTTTTGTATTTTTAGTAGAAACGGGGTTTCACCATGTTGACCAAGAGGGTCTCGATCTCCTAAGCTCGTGATCCGCCTGCCTCAGCCTCCCAAAGTGCTGGGATTACAGGTGTGAGCCACTGCGCCGGCCTGAAATTTTATTTTAACTCAAACATTTCCTTATGAAAACTTTGAAATATACACAATAGAGACAATAGTATAATTAATCTACATGTACTCAGCACAGCAAATATCAGCCCATGACCAATCTTGTTTCCTTTGTACTCCCCTAAGCACCACCGCTACCTCCACCTCCATCAGCACACACACAAGCACACCCTTCCTGAATTACTTTAAGCAGATCACAGACATTATATCTTTCCATCTATATATAATTTGTATCTGTAAAGGATAATGACTATAACGCCATCATCACACCTAAAAAAATTAATAACAATTCCTAAATATCATCTTACATCCAGAACATTAAAATTTTACATCACTGTCATATATTAAAAACTGAAATAATTTGCCACAAATTTTTAAAAGAAAATGTTATTAACATTATGGCATGATATGCTTGTAATTGGAACACTTAGCTTGAAGGCTCTTCTCCTTACTAAAAACTGAGATTAGAAAATGTTACACTGGTCTTCCACTTATACATCCTCATTGTCAGAAGGAGAAGGATTGAAAGGGAACTTAAAATGAAATAAATTTTTCACTGTGTAATTTAAAATTATTTAACACCATGTCTGAGTACCACCTAAATCTTGCATTTAACCAGGAATATCTGTCCCACACTTCAAGAGACACTGTTACAGGGAATCATCAAAGAATTTAGGGCTTGATGGAATTCCTAATTGCGAAGAATTTTTCTAGCAGCGAAAAGAGCAGAAGGGAGGTATGATGGAGAAACGGACAACCTGTATGTCCCACAACTTACTGAGCCACTTTCAAATTTCTTGAAAGTTTGTTTGGCTCAAATACTGTAGTTCTCCTAGTGCTCCAATAGGGGAGCATACAGACTCGCATGCCTTTGACCAAGGGTAGACCTCCTCCAATTGGAAAGACCACTTGCTTTGACCAATCTCACAGCTTCTGGGATAGGGACCACACGTGCGTATAGGAGAGGAAGGGGACTTAACCTAGCCAACCCGGCTGAATAGAACCTTGCTATCAATGAGGTGACTGATGTCACATCCTGATGACCGTCACATATCATACCATCATTTCTTGAACCATCACTGTCACCCAAGATACCCCCCACTTCTCCAAAGCCAATCTTCCCTAGAAAGGGGCTTTTGTGCCAGGTTCTAGAGCGTCCTTCCTCATAAGCACTCTTTTCTGTGAATAAATTACCAATTCTTCAAGAAATGCCAAAATAAGACATTTTTCAGAATACTGCTCACCTCCCCTTCCCCAATACACATACATTCAAATATCTTCCATGGCTCCCCTTTCATACAGGGAAAGCACCACATTTTTGACATGCTTTTCCGTTTTATGGTTACCATCTTTTTGCCATATCTTGTATCTACAACTTGAATATGAGTCCCGTGCTTTTACACTGATTCAGTGGTTAATCAGTTCTTCCTATAGGTAAAGTACTATGCTTAATGCCGGTGATACTAAGATGACCAAGACAAAATTAATGTCCTTAGCAACACAGAGGCCAGTGGAGAAATAAATGAATAAACAAAGAGATACAAAGCAATGTTTCATAATAAAGGTTCTATGAGCTCAGGTGGAAAAAGAACCCACTCTTCCTGGGCAGGTTTTGGAAAAGCGAGGAGAACAGAGGTGAGGCTTCAAGAGCAAATGGGAGATCCCCAAGAAGGCAAACAGGAAAGAAGGAGAATATATCCTACTTCTCAAAACCTAAGAATTCCCAAATCATAGCTTGTTCCCTAAACATTCTATGTGCTCAAACTATCTTCTAGTCAGGGGCCAGCAATACGTATGTCTGAGTTTCAACAAAAACTTTGTGATCAAAAACCTGTGAAGGAAAAAGGAGTCAAAAAAATATATACAGTCAAATCATTTTTTCCCAAATCAACACATCTTTACTGAGCTTTGCTACATGAAATATAATTTAGTACTGTCTCTGCCTTTGAGGTCCAATGTTTGTTTAAATACAGTCTAGCTGAGGAGCTATATATATAAAAGCAAGGAAAGCTCAACAACAATAAGAGACATGACAGTTCAGTCTCAAAATAGGAAAAAAGATACAAGTAGCACGTGATCAAGTGCCAAATAGCCCATGATCAAGTACCAACATAAATGCAACTATAAGAACTTTTTTTTAAGAATGATCACTTTACATTGTGGGCCAGGGAGATTATAGGTGTATATAGAGAGGTAAAGAATATTTGTAAAGCAAAAGGCAGGAAAATACAGGATTATTTCAAGGATTAGTAAATCAGTCCATATGGCTGGAATAGAGAATTCACATGAGAATGGCATGAATAAAAAATAGGTAGGGACCATATTTGAGGATGCCATATGTACATACACAAAAAAACAGTAACCACTTGTTGAGCTCATATTGCCATACCGGTACCCATATGTCATATAAATTAATTCTCAGATAAGGACACAGGGGTCTTAAGGTTAAGTCATTTAATGTCAGTCTAGGGATACCTACATGCAAAAGACAGATGTGGCCCCTGACCTCTGGGGCTTAAAATCTAGTATCCACAGAGTAGGAAAGTGAATTAGCTGAATTCAAACTCTGGATTCCAAAGCCCAGGTTCATTATTCACCAATATTTCTCTGTTCCTGTTCAGCACCAAGATAGGTCAAATATTAGAAAACTCCACTCCTTCTTCACTTCTTATCCTTCGGTTGCTCTTTATGTAATATTGATGGCAGTGATTCTTGACCCGGCCTGCATCAGAATCACCTGTGGAGCTTTTTAAAAATGTGCACACATATACACACTATGGAATACTATGCAGCTGTAAAAAGGAATGAGATCATGACCTTTGCAGAGACATAGATGGAGCTGGAAGCTGTTATCCTCAGCAAACTAACACAGGAACACAAAACCAAACACTGAATGTTCTCGTTTGTAAGTAGGAGCTGTATGATGAGAACATAAGGACACATGAGGGGCAGCGGGGAGTGGGGAGGAAAAACACACACTGGGGCCTTTTCAGGGAGGCGGGGAGAGAGGGAGAGCATCAGAAAGAATAGCTAATGGGGGCTAGGCTTAATACCTAGGTGATGGGTGGATCGGTGCAGCAAACCACCATGGCACATGTTTACCTATGTAACAAACCTGCACACCCTGCCCATGTAACCCTGAACTTTAAAAAAAAAGTTGCAGAAAAAAATGTACATGCTCAGGACACAGCTCCAGGGACCTGAATTGGAGCCCAGGCATCTGTATTTTTTAAATATTCCACAGGAGATCCTGATGCAGAGCCAGAGTTAAGAACTTTATCAACACTCTACAGCATGTCCAAAACACGCCCCAGACTTCTTACCTAAGACCTAAACAAAACATGCACACTTCATTCTAGTCTTCTACAAGCAATCCAGATGAGTGATCTAATAATGACACTAATAATAATAACATTCATACATTTTATTGAGTGCCTACTCTGTCCCCAGGCACCGTGCTTAATGTTTTTTACACATATTTTCTGTTTTAATTCTCGCAAAATCCAAGGAGGAGAGAACTTTTAATATTCATATTTCCAAAGTCATAAAGCTAGATACAAGAGCTGGAATTCAAACTCAAGAGTACATTGATTCAAAATAAATGCTTTTCACAGCCACTTCACTACACTGCCATCCAAAACAAAGGATAACCATTAATTCTCTGAATATTTGAGTGCCACCTAATGCCAGGCATTGTGCCCTCAGTCACAAATAGCATAAACTAATACTCACAGACTTTAAAGTAATGGCATATTGACTTGAGCTCCAATAGATTAAATTTGTCATAGAGACTATACCAAGTAGCTGAAAATAGAATGAACAACAAGCTTTGTTACCCAGCAACTTAATAAGATAAAGATTTCACTATCAGAAAATTAGGTTTTCTGGAGAAGGAAAAAAGTACAAGCTATACTTGTGGAAACACTTAAATGAGACTTCTAGGAAACGGGCTTTGACATTGATTCCCATGGGTGTAGGCTCTCAAAATCTGAGTACCTCTCATCCTCGTTCATTTTAAAGAGCTAAAGGTTAACCATCAGACCACCTCATTATTAATTTCAAAACAGAAACCTTATCACTCATGATTGAAGACCACCTAATTAATTTTTGGTGTCAATATTTCTCAATACACTGCTATATAACACCCAAATATCCCCCCCAAATAATGAATGTTTTTAAAAGAGCAAATCACATGTTCCTTTCTTACGTATACATTTTAAGCCATGGTTATTAATGTTTTGAGGTCCATGAGTACCACTGAAAATCTGAAGAACCTTATGAAGCACCTCAGAAAAGTGCACATCAATTTATGCACATATTGTTAGATTAAGAATCTCTCATCTGAGGCACTATTTTATTTATTCCTTTTTCATTTAATTTTTAAAATGAGGGCTGACTCTTTCAGACACTGACAGTAGCAAGCCCCTTATCCCCATGGAGCTCATCTACAGTCTAGCAATCTTGTTTATGACTAGATTTTGCAATGGAGAATAAGTAGAAAGCCATATTATCAATTATCAGCAACATGTACACAATGAATGCCTAGCTGTACAGGGCATGGCTAATACCTGGACACCAATTGGAACATAGGGCTAAGCAGGAGATCAAGGGATTTTGAGCCCCAGGTGATGGGGGAAGAGCCCAGAGGGTGAGCAGGTTGTGATCCAGAAAATCTCGTAGTAGGTAGTAGAGACCAGGCAAAAGGGGTTTGGATTCATCGGCAGGTCTCTAGTTCCTAAGAAGACCTAGGTTGGACATTAAGACAAAGCACCAGTCCCAGAGGTATGAACCAGAAAACTAAAATAGCGATTGTGGAAGTGGGTTAAGTGGAAATCCAACTTTTTCTTAGAAAGCCCAAACTACTCACTGACAGTAGAGTACAGAAAGAATTTGGTTAAATGGAAACAAAGACGACTCTGTACTTGGAATAGGCACATGATTAGAACCAGACCTTTGATGGGCTAACAGGGTACTGAATCTGGTATCCACTGGCCTACTGATCCTCAGTTTCACCCAATTCCAGTGCCCTAAAGGTAGAGAACTGGTGCCAGGGACTATGGTGAAGTGCAAATCTACAGGTGAAGGTCAAATGCTTAAATTTGGCAGTGGAGATTATAAATCTACAGAAACTACAAGCCACGTAGATCATTACAAGGAGTAAACACATTGTGCAAGATATCGCTCATGATCCTAAAAACCTGGTATATGACTCTACCCAAACAAAAAAAAATGGAAAGCTAGAATAAAAGATTAGCTAAATACTTAAAATTTTTTATGTGCTGAATGTCAGATATTGTGATATTTGGAAATTAAACAATGGAAATTGTTGGAACACGAAGTTATCACTGTGTCACATCAGATGTTTGCAGTATAATGATCACTTTTCTGATTAAAGCAAATTCTTCACAATAGGTAATTCTATATACTGAATTGTTTTCTCATCCTTCTGTCTATAACAGAAATGCTGGGCTATATTCAGTTGATGCTGAGAGTGTGGGAAAGGATGGAAAAATAACCATGTTTTTAAAAAGTAATAAATAGTAAACAAATAACATGGCTGATGGTTCATCTAGGCTATTAGAAAAAACTCACAAAATATTTTTTCCTTCACATTTTCAGTTCCCATCATATATCAGTTCATAGCAGTTAAGTGAGTTACATGAGGAAATTAGTTATTTCTCCCATGGAAGGGCACTCTGAAATGGGGCATAGTCAAGCCAGCTAAACTTAAAAAGAGATACCCTCTTGCTGGAGTGCTGGAGATATTCTGTTTGCCTCTCCAGATCAACTCCCCAACCTTCTCCATCCTACTCTGTGCCCTAGAAGCTAAGCTATGGGGTCTTCAATGATGGGACGCCTTGCTCTTTGATTTCCATGATGTTTGGCCACCCACCAGACATGGGAGGGAGAGAGGAGAATGCTGTGGTGATATCTACACCTCTGAAAGATCATAGCAAACTGCAGACATCCACTGCTTAACACAGATGCTGTCAGGCTGCCCTCACCACACAACCACCTCTCTCTCCATGTTTTGGGAATCACTCCCTTCCCTTGCACTCTCACAGCCGGCTACTACCAGCTCAAAGGCTTGAAATTCTTTGGACTTCCCTACACCCTGCTCACCTGTGATGGTTAATATTGAGTGTCAATTTAAATGGATTGAAGGATGCAAAGTATTGTTCCTGGGTGTGTCTGTGAGGGTGTTGCCAAAGATGATTAACATTTGAGTCAGTGGGCTGGGAGAGAGAGACCCACCCTCAATCTGGTGGGCACCACCTAATCAGCTGTCAGCATGGCTAGAATAAAGCAGGCAGAAGAAGGTAGAAAGAGCAGACTTGCTGAGTCTTCCAGCCTTCATCTTCCACTCATGCTGGATGTTTCCTGCCCTCGAACATCAGTCTCCAATTTCTTCAGTTTTGGACTCTTGGACTTACACCAGTGATTTGCCAGGGGCTATCGAACCTTTAGCCACAGAATGAAGGCATTGTCGGCTTCCCTACTTTTGAGGTTTGGGGACTCAGTCTGGCTTCCTTGCTCCTCAGCTTGCAGATGGCCTATTGTGGGACTTCACTTGTGATCATGTGAGTTAATACTCCTTAATAAACTCCCTTTCATATATACATCTATCCTATTAGTTCTGTCCCTCTAAAGAACCCTGACTGATACACTGTCCTTCCTCTAATTGCCCTGTTTGAGTTTGTATCTGTTTCCTGCCAGGATCCTGACTGAATATTGTCATTCCAGAGCCACCCCTCCATAGGCAGGCTATGGGGGTAATGAGGAATGAGGTGACCTTGATGGCAATTCTGTTTGGGCTGGTGGAGGAAAGTTTTAGTCCTAAGAGTGCTGAGAAGGGAGTCTTTCATTTCTACTTGGCAAAGCACCCAAAGGACAGGGCCAGAGCTCCTCTTCCCTAACTCAGCTTGACAAGTTGGGAGTGTCTGGGTATTGTGAGGAACAAAAAGATAATCTCACCTAAACTACCACCAACTTTCTCTTGGTTTCCAGGGCAACTAAGAGAAAGTTCTAAAAGACTGGAGACGAAGGGTTTTGAAGCATGGCTTATCCCCATTTGGACTTCTTCTTAATGTTTTCAGAACATTTATCTTAATTTTATAATAAAATAAACTGAAACTGTACTTTTATTCATCAGATTTTCAAAGTAATATGATGTTCCTGTAGCATACTCAAAATCCCCAAACAATTTTAATATCTCTGCAGGACATTATAACCCCCTGGTATCTTCTCTTAAATTCAGTTTTTGTTTTTAATTTCCATTAAGTAGCCAGAATCAAAAATATATATAGAGAGAGTCATCTGCGGAGCTTTTTAAAAGCTCTTTACTGAGCTTTGCTACATGAACATGTACTCGTCACAGCAAATATCAGCCTCGTGACCAATCTTGTTTCCCTTGTACTCCCCCAAGCAATTTATGTTCAATTTTTATTGAAGATAGAAATCGTAGGAAAAAATTACCTTGAAAGGTAAATAGTTACCTACCCAGTAAGCATAAATACAAGAGATTTAACACTTTTAAAAACCTACTGATCTTATTAATGACACATTTGAGGAATTTGGAAAGGCCCAGCTAATGTCAGAAATATCCAGAAATGTCAGAAACAAGCATGGGGGTGAAACCAAGGATGCTCAAACCCCAGCTGGAATGAAGCATCAGGGCAATCACACTTGCATTTCCATGTGATAGAGGTCTTAATAAAGGCTTGTAGTGGTGTGAATAACACGGGGCAAGACTGTAAGACCAATGGGGTCGATGTTGAAGCAATGCTGGACTTCTGTTTCTGAAGAGAACTTTAGCAACACCAGGGTCAGCATTCCAATGATTTAAATCATAGCGAGAGAAATTTCATTAAATATTAAAAGAAGCACTGACAGTAAGACTGATGTATGATCATAATTCCACCAATATTGTTCTCCTATACTGTGTCAGGCACACATAACTCAAAATTACAGGCATTTCTACTTGGCCACAGGAGTAGACAACTTGCTCTCTTTCTGTCCCCACATAAGCTTATTTCTTTTTACCTTCTAGATGCAGGAAATAGAGAATTCTTCTCAACAGGAAAAGCTGCCTTTTGGAAGCAAGATTTCCTCTGTCTGACCAGAAGAATAGCCCCGCAAGATATCCAGGTACCTCGAAGGAGTCAAGTTGGGATCAGGAGCGGGCATCCCCTTGTCCTGACTCTTCACTGCCCTCCGCCCTCTGTCCATAGAAAACTGTAAGATTCCAGACACCAACTGGACCTTTGTTACTAGTAGAGGGGTCTCTCTGTCTCTCTCCTCCATCTATCTCTCTCTGTCTCTGTCTCTTCCCCCACCCCCCCATGCACATACAAAATCTTAAGGCCATCTTGTTCAATCTCTTTTCTTCTTTCTAAAAAGAGCCTTCAGACACAGCATCTGGTTGAAGTAAAATTCAGTCTTTCGGGGAGAAGGAAGTAAGCCCTTTATTGGATCTGCACATTGCAAGTTAAGGGTACCCTACTAAAAACAAAGTGAAAGTTTATTACCATCCTGTAGAACTTCAGGAGGAGGAAAAATAACTGAGCCATGGGAGGATCTGAAATTTTATAATTTTGACTGCTTGTTACTCTCTCTAGTGGAGTATGGATTTGGGCAGTAGACAGTTCTGGGGTCAAATCCTTGCCCTGACACCTGGTAGCTATGCCCTTGGGCAAGGTAACCTCTCTGAGCCTCAATTTTTTCATCTCTAACATGGTAATAACACCCACTACACAGAGTGGCTGTGAGTTATAATGAAATCGTATATGCTATTGCTTCGGCAAGGGTAAAATGCATACAACTGTCGGAGAGAGGTTGTAGCATTCTTGAGAATTTACATCCCAAATCTTTGTGTGCTATGGTTTATTATTCAAGCCTCAAACATTACTCTGCAAACAATTCAGGCTTACATTGGTTACAATCCCACTATGACTGTATACAGTGCCTATTTGGGTATAATTTTCTATTGAAAGCCACAGGAAAGTTAACTGTGTTAAGTTTTAGCATAAGCTGAGATTCTCATTCCTGATTTTCTTCCCTAATAAGCTTTTATATGTCAGAAGCTGTATGTGCTGGGGTTTTACATGCATGATCTTTACATCAAGTGTAAATATTTTTTAAAAAGATAGAACTCTAAACTCCAAGTATGTTATATGCTTTGCCACCATTTTCCATCCTTTATCAAGCAATCAAACTGGATTGAGAGAGGTACCTAAGTCCAAAGTCAAAGGGCATATCCCCTTCTCTTCTCACTTCTTTCCTGGGAGACAGCCCTACACACTAGGAGAGCCACCATGAAATTCTACACTCCCAGCAAATATAATCAGAATGTAACAGAAGTCAAGATGAGTAATAAGGCCATTGAAGACAGCTTTATTAAATACTGCACAAGGCACTGAGAGGGAATTAACATCTGGAATGGCCTTTTATTCTCTAATAAGCATAAGTATGTCATCTCCTCTGAAACAGGTAAGAAAGGAAGGGGAAAAAAACACCAAGAGATGTCTTAGACCAAGGTAATCAGATAATCTGCCTCAACTAAAATTCCACTGCATCATTATTGAAATAAGGCCCCCAAAAGAAGGGAGTAACATGATCAAATCAGAACACTCATCCAAACCATTCGGAATTTCTCCCTAGGATGAAGATCCTGCCAATTCCAAACCTCTTTTTCCATTCCATGAGTCATAAACCCAGTGGGATTCCTTCCACAAGGATAAATTTCCATGTTGCCTGAATATTGGGCCAAGTGTGTTTGGTTAGCAGATTATTCAGTCCTGAAACAAACAAACAAACAAACCAGGCAGCCTCCATAGGCCCCTGAATGAAATAACAGTCGTTTTTCCGAGATTCTAGCCCAAGTCACAGGACAATTTTCATTGCATTTTAGCATATAGTGCAAAATCATTGAAAACAAAATCAATTTTTGTTCCTGAGAGTCTTTAGTGAATTTTTCCCTGAAATTCACTTGTATACAGAACTTAAAGTTCATATCCACTACTAAGATACATGAGATCACATGCCAAGACTTTAGTAGCCAAGAATTTTTCTTGAATTAATATGGCTGATGGGAAACAAAACTTGGAAAATCTAAAATAAACTCATGAGTTATTAACAGTGACGTTATCCCATGCTTTGAGAGCTCAGAAATGCATCAGAGTGAGATTAAATGTGTCAGGGGGTTTCAGAGAGTTAGTGAGAGTACATACCATAGGCCCCAGCCTAAACCCTCCTCAATCTCCAAACAGACTCTTGCAACAGAGAAGGGAATATATGGATACCCAGCTTGTTCTAGGAAAGCGACAGATTATCCACAGCTAGTGCTACTCAAAGTGCACTCTGCAGATAGTCCTGGCCATGAACTGTTACCAGACCATGACAAATATAGAAATTGAGAGTAATCACTGAGAAATATTTATAGCAAGTTGACACTACTATAATATTTCAGTGCATAATTATGTTTTCTACTATTTCATTTTTGTTAATTTTGCCAGAGTTTTGGAAATGTAAAAACAGAAACTGGCTAGGTAAAGAACCAGATAGTTTGAGACATGCTGCCCTAGACCCTTGTTCATAGTTTTGGCTGCTCTTTGGGATCTCCTTGGAGCTTTAAAAAGTACTGATGCCTGGGTTTCAATCCCAGTAGTCTGTTTTAACTGGTATGGAATGCAAGCTGTGCCTTGGGATTTTTTTTCACTCCCAGATGTTTCTAATAAGCAGCAACTTGAGAACCACTTTTCTTATACTGGTAAGGGATAAGAGAAGGCATTCAGGGGCTAGTAAACTGGAAACACACACAAAAGTAATTCTTTATCTTCTGTTACTTTGAAAATTCTTTATCTTCTGTTACTTTGAAAATTTGAAAAATATTTTCTTCAGATTAAGTTATAATTCAGTGTTTCATTATAAACAAAGGTAAAATGGGCCAGGATACCATGATATCCTATAATACAAGGTCATGTGAGGTATAATTTTCAGTGTAAATGTTTTATTACAATATAACATACATACAGAAAAGTGCATAAACCTTATGTGTACAGCTCGATGACATTTTCATAAACGTATCAATGTAACCAACAGTCAGATCAAGAAACAGATAATGCACAATATTATTTTCCCCCATGTTGTGACATCTAAAGTAGCTTCTCACTGAGAGAAAATAAAAATAATGTACTCTGCCACTATGAATATGCCATTTATCTTAGTTTACAGTAAATGTAGTAAAAGTTGGAAGATACTGAGTAATAAAAACAGAAAGTGCAATGATTCTATCTGAAAGATGACAGATTGAATACAAACATCTGTATTTGCTCATTCAGGAAGTTTCACTAAAATAACGATGAATGTATTTTAAAGGCATAAATCCATAAAAACGGAAGAATCAGGAAAGAAGATAATTATAAAATTTTAGGAGCCAGAAAGTAGTAAATGACTTGTCAGGCCTGAGAAAACTGAAACCTAAATTGAGGGTAGAGAAAATGGAAATTAGTTTAATTTACCACGCAGAATTTCTCAAAGCCTGGAAATTGTGGCACCAGTTACTGCTATAAATAAGGCTAAAATCAGCAGTCTTGTGTAAGCCTGTTTAAGGAACATTATGGCTTCTTAATCCCCACCCTCATTCAGCATTTGACTATACCTCCCTTCACCCTGGCAAAGGGCAGAGGTTTATTCTCCGAAGATGCTCAAACAAAACTCTACAGAGACACCAGGCATGGTTGAAGACTGCGGTGCTATACCAAAATCATGGAAGAATTGAGTGAATCTGTATACGCTGCCCACTGAGGCTCCCAGGTTTCTTTCCTACTTGACTGTCAGAATGCTGGTGGTAAGCCAGGAGATTCAAAAAGCCTTCTATGAGCCAAGGGAGCAGATCTTAAGAAAACGATATTGAAGGTTCCCAAGGAAAAAGCCCAGCTGATTAACGGTAGAGTCATCATAGACAAGCTCTTTTGGGAGATGATTCTCCATGAGTCTTTCCTGCATTTCCACATATCATGTGCAGGCACTGACAGCTTTTTGTTCTGAACTATTGCTTCAAGAGCCTGGATAAGCAACAGATTTGAAGGGTAGAAATAAAGTTTCCCTCAAAAACAGAAGGCAGGTTTGTTTGCTAACATCTCTTTCTGGGGCAAACATTGGGTAGGTTTGTTTGTAGGCCGTTATAAATGATTGGCATTTTCTAAGCTCAGGATTCCTCGACTGTCACACAAACCTACTATACATGCTGAGGATCCACCTTGGTTACTTCATATTGTCCCCGTGGAACTTGGGGAGCAAGGGGAACCAACATAAACATGAAATTCATGCTGCCTGCTGGAGTGTGAGTAATAAAGTCCTTTGAATCTGACCCAAGAGTCTCATGTCTTTTGCCAGCATCTGTGAAACTGTAGCATGCTAACTTGATAATTTGAAAGTGGTATATAATGCCAGACCCTTCATAGTTCTTGACCACTTCAGCCATTCTCACAGATTATAAACAGTTTTTGAGTCCTTCACTCTAGAATATAAGCACATAAAAAAGAATCACAACATATCCAAGAATACTGACTAACAATTTTGTTGTTGTTGTTGCCCAGGCTGGAGTGCAGTGGCATGATCTCGAGCTCACTGCAACCTCCGCCTCCTGGGTTCAAGCGATCCTGCTGCCTCAGCCCCCATAGTAGCTGGGATTATAGGCATGCGCCACCATGCCCAGCTAGTTTTTGTATTTTTAGTAGAGATGGGGTTTCGCCATGTTGGCCAGGCTGGTCTCGTACTCTCGACCTCAGGTGATCCACCTGCCTCGGCCTCCCAAAGTGCTGGGATTATAGGCATGAGCCACCAAGCCCAGCCCACAAAAATTTTTTTTTAAATTTTAAAACAACTTGGAGGAAACAGACCATTCAGGGGAAGAAAACTTTGTAAAATATAGTATTAATATCCTTAAGGAGATAAGAGAAGATATTCTATCCATAAAACAAGAATAAAATGCTATATTTTTAAGAGAAATATTCAGAAAACAAAAGAGCTACTAAAACTTTAATAAAACTTGAAGTGAAAAACTTAATAGAAGAGTTTAAAAATAAAGTACAACATATAGACAAAGGGATAGAAAACAGGAGAGAAAAGGTTAGAACCTGTGTACTTCATTACAGCATCAGCCATTACATCAGAAACCATACCTCTCAAATTCATACTGCTTAAGCCAATATAAGCAGAGCTTTCTTTACTTTCTAACTGACTATCACATTCTAACTGACTGTCAAGCAAAAGAATACACACACACACCCCTGAGGAAACTTTGGAAACCAGTACGTCTTGGTAAAGGATACACTGGTTTGCAGTCTGGAGCCACAGATAAAGATGGAAGCAGTGCCTTTATCAAATAAAACTATCTCCCCAAACCTGCCCATTTGCCATAATTTAGATGCAAATATTGAAGATACCAGCCACTATGCTAATTTCCCCTCAGCAAACAACCAGATATCTCACAATATTTCTAACTCCTGACTCTCTGTATGTGTATATGAATGTCATTGAAAAATAAAATCTATTCTGTAAGCCTTTTAGGACACATGAAAAGTTGCAACGTCAAGCAAAACTGTACTTGGGGAGAAAAGTAGGTTGTGCTGCTTTGGAAATGAAAGTAGTTTTGCACATTAATATGACTTGCTGCCTTACACATCAGCATGTAGTGGCACCTGAAATACTGTCAGTAATCCTACAAGAAACCTATTCTACTGTCTTGAAAGTAAAAGTCAACTCCATTAGAGCCAGGGTCAAAATTATCACCTCCTCAAGAATTTTGTTTTTAATCAAGAAAATGTGGAGTTCTTCTTCACTACCTAGAAGCTGCTTTGCTTCTGGAAACCATGATTGAAATCTTTAACTGGCATTTGGGAAGACATTTGTATCACTTTTGAGAAAAAAAGGAAGCCCATTCATAGAACAATTCAGTAAGGAGAAACTGATTCATAGCTTTTCTTACTTTATGGATATAACATGATACTTTTTTTCATTTAAAGCTTCACAGTCACCATTATAATGCAGCTGGAAACTGCAAGTTCTTTTGGAAACACTGTTTCTCAGAAAACTAAGGATCCAGAGTGACGATGTGTCATAAAATGTCTTCTCTGTAGACCAACAATCCAAGGGTACCTAGGTATACTGCAGGATATGTTTGAAGGACAATTCTGCTTGGATGACCTTAACATTGAAACGGATTCATCATTCTTTTCTTGTAGACAAAGACTGCATGGATGGTTTTTGAGGCCTTGCCTCAAGGATGATCTCATTGACTTGAATACTAATGAAATAATATGACATTAATTCAACTTGTAGGATCAGGAAATCTGGCATTTCTTGAAACATGTCCACCCTCTTCCTGCAAAAAAGCTAGTAGATCTCTAATTTCATTTGCTATCTCATATCCTTGTGAGTCAACATTTTTAGAAGGTGTTAAGACTCCCAGCACATTGAAGAAAACTGGGTGTCATGCACATTGTCATGCCTAAGACCACTGCAAAATTTTAGCTTTTTATTAGTCCAACCACAAGAGCTTTCTCACTAAAATTTACCTTTAAATAAAACTAAAGTTCACTTATATTTTAACAAATTTAAATTATTTCCATCTTCCAGATATTACCATTAAATTTTGCATACATTATTATGAAATTTAAAAATAGATAAAACTCAGTGGAATTATTTTATAGCCTGTACTTGTGAAGTAAACTTCCAATGTAATAAACTGCATGAAAATGTTTGGTGTATATGTGCATTTGGGGGATAGGTGAGTAGTTCATAGATCAGATTTTCAAAGATTTCTGTATCTCCAACATGTTAAACATAGA
Organism: Homo sapiens; assembly: GCF_000001405.40. Lineage (NCBI taxonomy): Eukaryota > Metazoa > Chordata > Mammalia > Primates > Hominidae > Homo > Homo sapiens. Next base: position 57,851,459 of record NC_000014.9, read on the forward strand.
AATGCTAGAAACCACTGTTATACACTGTAAAACAGTCTCTAAACTAGTATGCAATTATGATGTCAAGTCAAACATCAATTTAATCCTTAGTCACCTTGAAAACTAGCAGTTAAATTTTCAAATGTAATCTGATCCAAGCCCTAAAATGTGTGCCAGGAAGTTCCTATAAAATTGAACTTTTCAAGTTTAATGCACTAAAAGCCTACCTGAGAGACATGACAAGTAAATGCAATCTGGTACTCTGGATTGGGTCTTAGAACAGAATGAGAACCTTAATTGAAAAACTGGTGAAATCCAAATAAAATCTAGAGTTTAATTAATTATAACGCACCAGTGTTGGTTTCTTCATTTCTGGCAAATGTACCATGCTAATGAAAAGTGTTAACTGAGTGAGGAAGCTGAGTGAGGGGTTACGGGAACTCTCTGTATTATCATTGCAACTTTTCTGAAAAATTTAAAAACATTCCAAAGAAAAATATTATCTTGGAAAAAAGAAGCCTATTTGATATTTTCAACAAGGCTTAATCACTCATCCAGCCAATATTTATGGAGTGCCCAAGCATTGTTCTTTGTGCTGGTCATACGGTGCTGAACGAAATAGATCCATCCCTACCTACTCTTAGGGACATAAGAATCTAATGGGCAGAAAAGCATTAAACAGTTACAAAAGTGAACATAAATTGCATTAGCCACTTGTGGTAAGTGCTATAAAGAAAAAGTACATGAGATGATAGAGGTGCAAAGCTGGAAAGGGCTCTCAGAGGTGGTGGCACTTAATATGAGACCTGAGGAATGTTGAGGGGCCAGACAGGTCACACCACCAGGAAGAGGGGAGAGCTTGTTCATCATCTTAGATGAATGAAAGAGCCTGGAACAGGAACCAGTAAAACCAAAACATAATAAGGTCATGAAAGTGTGGTGGCAGCTAAAGAATCAGACCTTGTAAGATCTTATAAGCTGCGTTCAGAGTTTTATAGTTTTCCAAAGAAATACAGGAGGCCACTAACGACTTTAACCAGAGGAATGGCATGATCCAGTGAATGCTTCTGAAAGGTGATCATGGTTCCTACACAGATGTGGACTAGAAAGGAACAAGACAAGCAGTTCCAGCTTCAAGCACTTGCAATTTTCAAAAAGTTCTTAACTTCTAAGCACCTTTGTTCTAAAAAGTCTGTGGGAATAATAATGTCACTTTAGATGCAGTACCGCTTCTTCAGACCCTGTCACCATAACTCCAGCAGGGAAGATGGTGCCTCAATAGCCTCCAACTCACTGGATTTGGATCTGTCCTCTAGAATGCCTATAACTGAACATGGGCTTCAACAAAAACACAAAATAGATACCAAAGGCACATGACTTGGAGTTTAGTAAGATATTAGCAGGAAAAACCTGAAGGCTCTAACGCTCTTAGGAATCTCTGCTTCACAAGGCATAAAGAATTCTTCTTATGTCTGGTTTTCAGTACCATGAAACCATTACTGACATCTCACTAGTGCCATCTTGGCATTAGCCTAGGTCTAAATATAGCAAACCTCAGACTGCAGGATAGTGTAATGTTCAATCTCTGTTTAAATATACCATGTTAAATGTCATCCTCAATTACTGTACATTGAATCGGAAAGACCTGTTGTATTGCCCTATCTGACCTAGAAAAAGAAATACGTTTTCCAAACTTGATGTAACCAGTGGCACTTCAATGAAGCTTAACAAGTAGTCTGCAGTGCTAGATGGGCACTCTTAAACAGAATTCTCAAGGACTTATACTCTAAATAGACACTTGGATTTTCTCAGTTTCTAGGATGATACAGTATCTATAAGTTCATTACATATTATCTAGATTCACTCTAAGGGCTCTCAGGGCCAGAAGAGAGAAAAGATGGAATCTTGATTGAAGCCTATAATTTGATATAAAAAATGCAATGTTCTGTGAACCAAATAGCTATTAAGTTAAGTGTCAAACCAATTGCCCTGTTTCTCTAAACTATCATCTCTTCCCTCATACAGTCAATAGGGTTACAGGAGAGGGCCTCTGGCAGCCATGATTGGGAAACTTGACCCTGCTCCAAACCGCCACCATCAATAGGGTCAAGAGTGTGCATGTGATATAAATTGGGCCAAAATGTCTCTTTCCCCAGGAATCTGGATTTAGAAGTAAGAGATTCTCGCTCAATCTGTCTGCTCTCTTGAATAGAGGACACGTAAACGCTGGAACTGCTGGCAGTGGCTATTTTCGACCATTTGGACAAGGAAATAGAGAAAGCCAGCCTGAAGCAAGAGACAAGAATGGGGAGCATGTGCCAGAGAAAAAGAGATGAAAGACAGAGCAAGAAGTCTTCCTGTTCTCCCCACAGCCCTCCAGGACCTGATTTCAGCCTATACCATCTTACCCCTCCCCTTCAAACCCATGAGAGACTCCCCGGTGTCTTTTCAATAGCTCCCATTTTGCTTCAGCTAGTTCAAGTGGAGTCTTGTGACTAGAAACCAAACAAACCATCACTAATACTCCACATCTTTCCATTTTACATAGTCTCAAATGGCATAGAACCAGCTTGCCAAATTCTTTAAGCCAAAATCCTTGAAAGGAGAATCCAATTCCAGCCTCTCAAAGCAGATAAATGAAAATCAGTGAAAAAATGCTTATCCTGAAATGTTAGGTGGGAAAAAAAGCAGGACAAAAAATTGTATTGTAACTACACTACAGTTTATATTTCTCAATAAATCAAGAAATGAAGTCCTGTATGCCTTAGGAAAACTGGAAAGGAATTAACCAAAATAACAGTACTTGTGTTAGGGTAACAAGATTATTTCCCTTCTTCTTTATATTTCTCTGTGTCTTGAAGTAGTTAAATGCTTTATAATTTTTAAAAAAAAATTATAACTCCAAAGACTATGTAGAAACATGTAAATACGTTTGTAACATAATGATATATTTTTAAAAAAAGAACATAAAATAGGCTGTCTGTTACATTTGTGGCTACATACATAGCTAAAAAAAGAACTGTCTTTTTAACACTCCATGTATGAAAGGAACAATGCTACTTCCAATGGACATTCCCGAATTAACCCTCAGCCTTCATTTCCTCCCCACCTGTTTGCCCTCACTATCCCATCTTCACCCCATCCTACCCAAGCTATCCATCTTCAGCTGAGATTCCACCTTTCCCTGCTACCTCTCTCCCAACTTCACCCTATTTTGGTGCCTGAGTACCTGCATGCATCTGCAGACATGTAGACCCATTCTGCCACTCACTGGCTGTCGATTTGCCTCATCTCTTTTAGTTCAGTCCATTTGGAATCACCTCATCACAGATGGCTTCCAGCCCATTTTAAATAAGCTATGCCAAGAGGCAATCCAGGTAGAACCGTCCCTTTCTGTTTTAGCACTAGACAAGCCAGAAATTGGTAAAGAGTAGAAAGTAACAACCAAAAATAAAAACCATTGTGAACTTGGACAATTTATACTTGTGTTTAAATTGCTGTAGCATAATTTTTAATAACAACAATTTAAAATACAATTATGGGTATGACCAAAAAATAAATGGTAAGCCATTTACTTACAAGCAAAAAGTGAGCATGGTTCTTTGAAGTCATAAAACTGATTCTATTCATTTCCTCATAATTATAACAGCTTCCATACATTGAACTGGATGTTGTTCCAGACACTCAATAAACATTATCTTACATAATCCTCTCAACTACCTGTGAGGCAACTATTATCATTCCCATTTTATAGGAACAAAACTGTTGATCTGAGAGGAAGTTAAAGAAACTATCATCAGAGTAAACAGGCAACCTACAGAATGGGAGAAAATTTTTGCAATCTATCCACCTGACAAAGGACTAATAACCAGAATCTACAAAGAACTTAAACAAATTTACAAGAAAAAAAAACAAACAAACCCATCAAAAAGTGGGCAAAGAATATGAACAGACACTTCTCAAAAGAAGACATTTATGCAGCCAAGAAACATATGAAAAAATGCTCACCATCACTGGTCATTAGAGAAATGCAAATCAAAACCACAATGAGATAGCATCTCACACCAGTTAGAATGGCGATCATTTAAAAGTCAGGAAACAACAGGTGCTGGAGAGGATCTGGAGAAATAGGAATGCTTTTACACTGTTAGTGGGAGTGTAAATTAGTTCAACCATTGTGGAAGACAGTGTGGCGATTCCTCAAGGATCTAGAACTAGAAATACCATTTGACCTAGGAATCCCATTATTGGGTATATACCCAAAAGATTATAAGTCATTCTACTATAAAGACTTACACACACGTGTATTTATTGTGGCACTATGCACATTAGCAAAGACTTGGAACCAACCCAAATGTCCATCAATGATAGACTGGTTTAAGAAAATGTGGCACATATAAACCATGGAATACTATGCAGCCATCAAAAAGGATGAGTTCATGTCCTTTTCAGGGACATGGATGAAGCTGGAAACTATCATTCTCAGCAAACTATCACAAGAACAGAAAAACAAACACCACATGTTCTCACTCATAAGTGAGAGTTGAACAATGAGAACACATGGACACAAGGCAGGGAACATCACACACTGTCGGGGGTTGCTGTGTTGCCCAGGCTGGAGTGCAATGGCATGGTCTTGGCTCACTGTAACCTCCGCCTCCCAGGTTCAAGTGATTCTCCTGTCTCTACCTCCCGAGTAGCTGGGATTACAGGCATGCACCACCATGCTCAGGGGGCATGTCAGGGGGTGGGGGAGCTAGCATTAGGAGAAATACCTAATGTAGGTAATGGGTTGATGGGTGCAGCAAACCACCATGGCACATGTATAGCTATGTAACAAAACTGCACATTCTGCACATGTACCCCAGAACTTAAAGTATGTTAAAAACATGGCTAGCAAGTAGCATAGCAGGAGTATAGACCTAGGTCTTTCTGTTGCCAAAGTTTGTGGTCTTTGCATTAGACCTTGTAGCCACAAACCAGGTCTTAGATAGGCTTTCAAAATAAGGTACATCTAAAATTTAATGTTAAATCCAAGTATTAGCTAGTGAAAGTAGTATTTTGCATTACAAATATCCAGTTTATATGTAAATTTATATTTTAAATGCAAAATACACATCAGAATAAACTCTGTAAAAACTACCACACTATCTACCATCAATAACATATACAACGATATTTAGTATTAACATAGACCTTATGTGTTCTAGTTTAAAACCATATTACAAAATACTTCTCAAAACCACATATTAATGGTACTTATTTGTTACTGTTTACAAAACACTTCCTCTCATACATAAAGAGGCACAAATCTTACTCTCAGGGTATAAACATAATATGAACAAGGATAGATATTTATTGCACTTATTTCACTAGTAATAGAGAATTTCATAACTTGTTCCAGTGAAAGTGCATAAGAGTTATACAGTATTAATATTGTACCAGGAAGATCAATACTAACAACTTCAAAAGAAGAAAGAGGAGAAACCACATTTTCTTTCTTATGATTCAGTAACTTTATTCTACTCTGTGTTTTTTAAAAATTGCCTTTTCCTTGGCCGGGCACGGTGGCTCACGCCTGTAATCCCAGCACTTTGGAAAGACGAGGCGGGTGGATCACCTGAGGTCAGGAGTTCGAGACCAGCCCGGCCAACATGGTGAAACCCCATCTCTACTAAAAAATACAAAAATTAGCTGGGCATGGTGGTGCATGCCTGTAATCCCAGCTACTCGGGAGGTGGAGACAGGAGAATCACTTGAACCTGGGAGGCGGAGGTTGCAGTGAGCCAAGATCATGCCATTGCACTCCAGCCTGGGCAACACACCAAGACTTCATCTCAAAAAAAAAAAGTTGCCTTTTCCCCCATTGAAGCACAGAAAATCTTAAGAAGGAAGTAAGGATGCACAAATGCAGAAGTTACAACCAGGCAGGTAAAATGATCATAAAACACCATTTAGTGTATTCTCATTCTTTAAAGTACATCTATTTGATTCATTCATTGCTGGTATTTTTTTTCTTTTTCTCTAATCACTACTACCATCATGTACTCTTTCTTTTTCTGTGTGAAAATAATTATCTCTCTAATTTCTTCAAATGGAACTAAATATTTCATTCGTTAGCACAATAAACTTTATTGAGCAACAAAATATACCACTTTGCCTAAAATAAAATAAATAAAGATAAATTCCCTGCTCTCCCCAAGCTCTATGGGTGAGATAGTTTTGTGCAAAGCAAAAAGCCCAAAATAGTGTGCTAAATGCTGGAGCAGAGGTGAATACACAGCATTACAGGAGCACAGAGGGAGGATTAGCCAGCCTGGGGCATTTGGGAAGCTTTACAGAGGACAGCACATTTAAACTGCACTTCTAAAGATAAATAGGAGCTTTCTGCAGGGTGATGAAGGAGACAGAGAGGGAGCACTGGGGCCAAAGTGCAGTAAAGCACTGAGAAGCAAAAGAGCATGGGCACAATAATGTCATTAAAACAATGAGCTGCCATCATCACTGGCCATCAGAGAAATGCAAATCAAAACCACAGTGAGATACCATCTCACACCAGTTAGAATGGCCATCATTAAAAAGTTGGGAAACAACAGGTGCTGGAGAGGATGTGGAGAAATAGGAACACTTTTGCACTGTTGGTGGGACTGTAAACTAGTTCAACCATTGTGGGAGACAGTGTGGTGATTCCTCAAGGATCTAGAACTAGAAATACCATTTGACCCAGCCATCCCATTACTGGGTATATACCCAAAGGATTATAAATCATGCTGCTATAAAGACACATGCACACGTATGTTTATTGTGGCACTATTCACAATAGCAAAGACTCGGAACCAACCCAAATGTCCATAAATGATAGACTGGATTAAGAAAATGTGGCACATATACACCATGGAATACTATGAAGCCATCAAAAAGGATGAGTTCATGTCCTTTGTAGGGACATGGATGAAGCTGGAAAGCATCATTCTCAGCAAACTATCGCAAGGACAAAAAACCAAACACTACATGTTCTCACTCGTAGGTGGGAATTGAACAATGAGAACACTTGGACACAGGAAGGGGAACATCACACACCAGGGCCTGTTGTGGGGTTGGGGGAGTGGGGAGGGATAGCATTAGGAGATATACCTAATGTAAATGACGAGTTAATGGGTGCAGCACACCAACACGGCGCATGTATACATATGTAACAAACCTGCACATTGTGCACATGTACCCTAGAACTTAAAGTATAATTTTAAAAAAAGGAGGAAAAAAAAGAATTACTATAAAAAAAAGAAAGAAAGAAAAGAACCAATGAGCTGCATGATGAGACTATGACCAGAGTGTGCGAAGATCATATGGGATATAAGATCTAAAAGGAAAGTTGGGCCAATGCAGTAGCTCACACCTGTAATCCCAGTGCTTTAGGAGGCTGAGGTGGGAGGTGTGGGAGGATCACTTGAAGGAGTTTGAGACCAGCCTGGGCAACATAGCAAAACCTGATCTCTAAAAAAAAAAAAAAAAAATTAATTAATTAGCTGAGTGTGATGATACGCACCTGTAGTCCTACTCAGGAGGCTGAGGTGGGAGGATGGCTTGGGCCCAGGAGTTTAAGGCTGCAGTAAACTATAATTGCACCACTGCACTACCAGCCTGGGTGACAGAGTAAGACCCTATCTCTTAAAAAGAAAGGGGGCTTAGGGGGAGGAAGAGAGAGAGAGGGAGGAAAACAGAGCAAGAGAAATAAAAGGAAAAGCTGGACTAAAAATTCAACAACTAGTGATTGGCGAAGTAGATTAAAGTGCTCGCATATATGGAAGACTATATGCATCCACTAAAATTTAAGTTATTACAAACAATATAGACCAACGAGATAAATGTTCAGTACAAAATTAAAGCCACTTGCGTGTGTCCATGGGCATAAAAAAGACTGAAAGGATATATACCAAAATGTTAACACTAATCATCTCTGGTAGTGGAATTATGAGTAATTTTGTTTTAATCTCCCTTTGCTCTCTGCCTTCCAGATTTTCTGCATTAAGCATGTATTACTTAGGCAATTAGAGGATTGTGGTGTAGGGGGGAGAAATGTGTGCTAAAATAGAACAATATAAGCTGGGTTCAGATTGTGGCATGCTAAGTAATTTGGACTTTATTCCACAGAAGTGAAAAATTACTTCAGGTATTTGATTAGGGGTGTGAGATGAACACATCTGCACTGTAGGGAAGTAAATATTTTTAAGGTGCGTATGCTGGATTGGAAGGACTTGAGGCTGGGCAAAAGATGCGATGGATAGAAGGCAGTGATCGCAGGACTGGAAAACACATATCTGGGGTAAAACGCACAGGATTCATTAACTGATTATAGGGCAAGGGGAAAGGGCAGAAGCTGAGGATAACTCAGAGTTTCTGGCTTGGACAATTGGTTTGATATAGACATTAGAAGCTGAAATGCATAATGAGAAGGAAAAGGCACATTTTAAGGACAGAGTGATGATTTTGGTTTTATGTGTGACATGACTGGAGGACATTCAGGTAGAATGTTCGAAGGAATTTTGAAATACAGGTGTGGGTTCAGAAAAAGTGGGCCTAGAATTACAGACACACCAAAGATGGTAATGCCATGGGATTAAATGAGCTCACTCAGGGAAGGCAGAAAGTGAGAGGACACAGCTGAAGCTAGAACTTTGGGGAATGCTAAGTCATAGCAGCCGTCCAAGCACCCAGAGAGCCAAGAGAGCCAGAAGCGGGTAGAGTTCTTTTTGAAATGGGGATGATACCAGAGCTGGTACCCAAGTAAAAGGGAAAATATTTACTACAAATTGCAGCTTCCAATAGACAACCATCATAGAACCTGATCACTAATGGAGTATAGAAAAAACAAAAGGCCAACAGGTACAAAGGCACAAAACAAAGAGAGGCAACTGTTTACCAAAGGTGGGTGAAGAGAGGCGAAGTAAATGCACTCCTTTACTGATACCTTTCCAGGGAAGGTGGGACTGTTTGGAAAGCTGTCAAAGCTGACCTACTGCATGGCTGTTCTAAAACAGTGATTTCAACTCTCTTTTTCACAGACAAGAAAATCCATGTCCACCAAGAGGTGTCCCAGGTCTCAGAGCCAGTTGCTGGCAGGTTTAAGGATATAATTAATTTCCAAACCACTAGGGTTTAATTCAACCATACATCAACACACTGTTTCCCTATACAAACACACAAAAAAGAATACTCACCCCAAAAATATCAATAATGGAATACAATAAAACATGAATGAATTTATCCTTTCATTTGACTTATGGAAATGAATTAAATTTCTTATAGCATACAAACCACCACCTCCTACCTTTCCAGCTAACTTCCACTAGTCTTTGATTCTACTGAGACCTCTAATTCATGGACCCTACCATCTGTTCCCTGTCCCTAATTATCTAGATTTCCTCTTCTCTGCTTACCAGGTTTAATTTCCATGATCAATCATTTTATTAATACAACTCTTTTGTATACAACTCCGTTGTCCCTATTTTTTAATACCCATTGGATAATCTGTAACTCTGGTTATATCCTTATCTCTACTTGTTCTATGCCTTTACTGTGTTAATGAATGAGCCAACCTACTGGCTGGTCTTACTTTAAATTTGTGACCAAAAACTTTAAACGGACCCTTAAGGCTGCCAGACAACCTGAGCGCACTTCCCCAGTCCATTCACTCTCCCTATTTGTTTTAACTATTCATACCTTCTCTATCCTCCAGCCTCTACCATGTCCTCCACCATCCTCACTCTCATTTGGTGATCTCTCTTTCTACTTGGAGAAGACTGCAGCAACCAGAAGAGAACCTCAACAGACTCCCACCATCTCAGTTATACACTTTCCCAAACGGGCCCCACACACCTTACCCTATATCCATGTTCCTATCTAAGGCAATGTCCCTTCTCTTGTGTACTAGTTTCCATACACTATCTCTCCAACTTCATTAATTTTTCTTTCTCTATTGAATCATTCTCATTTGCATGCAGACTTGCTCTTATTTCTCCAATCTTTAAAGAAAGAAAAACTTTCTTGAGCCTGCTTCCTCCATTTCTTCTGCTCCCCTTTGCACAAAAATCCTTGCAGAGTCATCTATACTCACAGTTTCCAATTCTTCCCTCTAATTCTCTCTTATACACATTCTAATCCATTTTATCTATCCTTATGTGCTCTTGTCAACATTCTTGTCAAGATCACCCATGACCTTTAATTGTCAAATTCAATCGGTCTTCTTTTTACTTGACCTTTCAATAGCATTGGACTCAGCTAAACTCTTCCCCTTCAAACTCTTTATTTACTGGCTTCCAGGGTAACACATGTTCCTGGTTTTCCTCCTATCTCCCTGGATGCTCCTTCTTGATCTCCTTTGATGGTTTTCTTCTTCTCCTGAACCTCTTAATGTCAGAATGTCTCAAAATTCAATTCTTCTGCCTCTTCTCTTCTCTATATGCATTCATTCCTTGGAGGTCTCATCCAGTCTTAGGCCTTAAATACCACCCAAGTACTGGCAAATCCTTAATTTATATCTCCAATCAGACATCTACTCTGAACTCTAAGCTTACTCTACATCTCCAATTACATTTAGTATCTCTAAAACGTTATCCTTATCCCCTGACAATCCACCCCCCACCCCTTTCCAAAGTTTCTCTACCTTGAAACCTTCCACACTTCAGCTGATGGCAACTCAAACTTAGTCAAACCAGAAAAGATGCAGTCATTTTTTACTCCTATCTTTCTTACAGATACCATATCCAATCTATCAGGGTACCCTATTGGCTCTAATTTCAAATATATGCAGACTCTGACCACCTTTCTCTTCTTCTAGTGCTACAACTCTGGTTCAAGCCACCATCATGTCTCACCTACGTTATCACAATAACATACTAATTAGGTGTTTTCACCCTGTCCCAGTACAGCAGTGAGACTGATCTTTGTGTAAGATAAGTCACATCACTCTTCTCCCAAAACTCTTCAAATGCTCATTTCATTCAGAATACAAGCCAAAGGATTGACAATGACCTCTAAGGCCCTCCTTTATCTGCACTCCTGGATCCTCAGTGACCTCATCTCCAACCACTTTCCCAATTGTTCACTCCACTTCAGCCATACAGGCCTCCCTGCTGTTTCTCCAGCATGCTAGTTGTACTCTACCTCAGATCTTTGCGCTAGCTATTCCCACTGCCCAGAATGTGTTCTTCTGGATGTCCATATGGCTAACTCCCTCATATCCTTCAGGTCTTTGCTGAATTGTTACTTCCTCAGTGAGGACTTCCCTGATGAGCCTATTTAAAATTGTGATAATTTCTACCCCCAGAATATTTTATCCTTTTTATCCTGTTGTAATTTTTCAAAAGGCACTTATCACCTTGAAACATACTAAATAATTTATGTACTTGTTTATTTCTTTATTGTCTTGTTTGCTCCCACTAGAACTTAAGTTCTTAAAAGGAAAATACTTTTGTCTGTTTTGCTCATTGGTGTACTCCTGACACATAGGAGGTGCTCAATTAACACTTGTTGAATGAATGAATCTATTCCCTACCTAAGTAACCACACTATGCATTAATCATCTTTTTTAAAAAAAATGTTTAAATAAATATAGAAACAGTGTCTCACTACATTGGTCAAGTTGGTCTTGAACTCCCGGCCTCAAGCAATCCTCCTGCCTTGGCCTCCCAAAGTGCTAGGATTACAGACATGAGCCACTGCACCCACCTTTAATCATCTTTGTATCCAGATTTCTTATTTATATTTACTCAATAACTGTTCATTAATTGAACAGGATAAATAAAACAAATGCCCTATTGCCCATTAAAGTACCTTCATTTATCTGAATTCTATCATGTTTCTTTTTTTGCATCAGCCTGACTACTAGAATTTTTTCTGAACAAGGTACAAGCAAACAGCAGGATGCATTAACAGAAGGCTTGATCTTCAGTGCATTTTCTTAGAGGTAAGTCCCCGTCTATCTCCAAAAAGGTAAATGGCATAGATATCTAGAGATTGTCCTTCATATGTGATCAGACAGGAAATGAGAAAGTCACCTTGCTTTCACATATTATATATTCATCACTGTAGCCTTTTCTTAAGTATATTTTTCCAGACTTCCCCTAAGCTGTTGCTCATTCCCTGTAACAGCCAAATCAATTGACCATATTGTACTGGTTTGCTTCAGTGTGTTTGTTTACTAGTTGAAGCCTGCATTAGGACAGGATTATTTCATGGTGCTCGGTTCCCTGGCCCTCCTCCAGCTTTCTCCTCTCTCAATCTCTCACTGTGCAAAATAGCAATCTTTCTCTACTTCCGAAAGCATGAGCATCCTGAGATTTATCTGACTATCACTTAATTCTCTCTTCTTGTGAGATTCTCTGCCTTCACTCTTTTAACTCTACGGTCTGAACTTAGGTAGGTAAGTGCCCATCACAAATAACCATGCCAAGTTAATCTTTATCCCTTTTGGCTACCAGTTATAGCCTTGGCCAGTGCTCTTCCCTTTTTTTGTCCTGTTATTGTGTTGCAAATGAAGCATGTGCAGCTATTTGAGCAAGTACAAAAATATAATATGAACATGTTCTTATCTAAAATGTCACTTTTTCAGTATTCTTTTTGGGTTGTTCATTGTTAGCCAAAGTTCCATTGTCATAAAAATTACAATAATAAACCACCCTGAGTCTTGTAATTTCACACACAGCTTCTACATTCTCTAAGCCACTAAAATCCCATGGTTCCTAATTAAAATATTCAAAGGTGAAAGTCAAGTAATTTCCACAAGATATATTAGTTCCTTTACTTATGTTTCCAGGGTTAAAAAAGAAATCCTTTGCCAATAAAAAAGGAGAAGTTTTTGAGTGTATAGTACTTCAAAGGGCATTCCACAGTGTGTTATTTTCTTTCCAGAAAATTCTAACACTATATAATTACTTTTGTATGGAAAATGAATAATTTAAGCCCCTAATGCTAAAAACAGCTAGACAGAAACCATCCAAATCAGATAGGCCTTTCCTGAAACCAGATGAAATATCGAACTAGAAAATATCTGTGTGAGAACAGCCCATGGAACAAAGCTCTTGAATTATTATTCAATAGAGAGGAAGCATGGTAGGGGAGAAAGTTACATGAAAAAATAGTGTTTTCTTGTCTTTGTGCCGGAATTTTTGTGGGTCCCACGCATCACAGAAACTGTAATGTTGATTGCACCCCAAATGTCATAGAAAAATACGTATCAGAAATGCATCTAGGAGCTTCCAAGCTTCTGACAACAATAACGGCAAAAACATCAATTAAGCTTCATCTGTTGCAACAGAAATGCATTGATAAAGAAAAAAGCGAAAGCCCACCTGCATAGAAACTAAACCGCAGCTACTCCTCCAATTCGAAGAAAAATGAGCTGCACTTCAGTCGCCAGTAGAACTAATCCCAGCAAATATAGCTAGTGGGTTTGTGTACTGGGGGAGGGGGACTGCGAGCAGAGCACACCTCATCGCCCTCCCACCAAAACTGGTCCAAAAACGTGAAAGCATCCACGCCGCATGACCTCGCTTAGCTGGAAGAAAGCGGTGACCGCGACGTGCGGCGGGGGCGGGTGGCCCTGTCGCCTCCCCTTCTCAGACCCCCCCCCCCCACGCCCCCAGTCTTTTGCACGGGTCTCTGGCTCCAAGCTCTGGGGCTCGGAGACCTGAGCAGGTTCTTTTCTCTTCCCAGGGTGAAGAACCTCCTAAAGATACTGTAACCGGAGTAACTCCCGCGCTGGCAGCGTCTCAACAGCCCGGAGTGAACGAGCTGACCCCACCAGCGCCGGGACCCACGTCTGGGTCGGCCGCCCCCGCCAGCCCCACCCCCGAGCCTCCCCAGCCTGCGTCCCCAGCGCCCCGCACGCAGTAGGGGCTTTCGGGGCATGTATCCCCTAGGGCTGACTTTCCGCTAAGTGAACAGCCATGTTAGCCTCCTCCGGGCGTAAATCCACCAGGGTGAGCCGGCCAACGGCGGTCAGGAGCGCTCACCAGGTCCCCTCCGCACCTCCCCCCAAGGCTACGACTGTTTCCAAACTCCTGGGCGCACCCAGCCGGGCCCCTTGCCCTCTCACGGTTCAGCACCGAGGACAGCGGACATACTTTTCTCCCCGGGGGGTCCCCGCCGCCAGGAAGGCGGTGTTGACAGCGTCCGCAGGGCTGCAGGTGTCCGTACCGCGCGCCCGCCCGTCCGCATCCCCGCGGCACCCCTGCGCGCCCACCTCCCTTCCCCGCCTCGCGCAGGGCAGCCGCGCGGCGTCTTACTTTTCTGGCTGGAGTAACCTGGATAATAGCCATAGTAGCCGGTGATCCGCAGGATCCGGTCCTCGATAGTGGCCACCCCGTTGGGGGCCGCCTTGACATCCATAGAGAGCGCGGGGCGACGGCCCCGAGTGCGGCGGGGCGGAGAGCGCAGCGCGGGGCCCGGGAGCTGGTGCAGGTGCCGGAGCCGCTGGTGCTGATCTTGCAGCTCCTGCTCCCGCGCCCGGGCTCTGACTCCACCGCCCGGCGCAGCACCGGCTCCGCATCACAGCGGCGGCGGCGGCGGCGGCGGCGGAGCGGCCCCCACTCGGGCCGGCCTCTCCGTCAGCCTGGCAGCTCTCCCGCGCGCCACCCGGAGCACTGCTGCCCGAATAGCGCCCCCTCACCTCCGACGCCCACCGTGGCCGGGGGCGGGTGTGGGCGCCCCACCTGGTCGCCAGCTTTCATCATTAACCCTTGCGCGATCCTTCCCGAAAACTAGACACCCCAACCCCACCTGATGAAAGGGATGTTTGGTCAGTGGGGCGCGAGAGGAGAAGGCGACGGTGGCCAGGGGCTCAGAGAAGGGTGTTGGGAGTGGGAGAAACCCAAGAGGGACTCATAGCTGTTAATGCGAGGCATTAACTCTGTCGCTCGGGGAGAAGACACTTCTGGGGCGCCCCGGGACTCGGTCCACGCTTGGCGTCTACACCACCTCTGGTCTGCTGATATGCAAGCATTCCCCCGCGTTAGTCAGTCCTTGCAACTTGTCTAGAAGACTGGGAATCTTTTTTTATGAAATGACAAGAAAATTAGTTCCCGGCAGGTGGTATATGGAGTGATTATCCAGGTTTTGCAGACGCAAAGACTGTAAGTGTTCAAGCGCTCAAGTCTGACTGTCCATACGGACCCTCCATCCTGCCACTGAAAAATGTCAAAGGCTTAGAAGATTCAGCTGCACACAGCACGTTTATTTTTCCAATTTCAAATGCTCTGAGGAGAAATGATTTTCTCCTTTATTGCCAAAAATATCAGGAGGGAAGTCCTTCAAACTGTAAATATCTGGACGAGTGAAAGTCTTAGCTACAGTCTAGAGCCTTTCCATTAGAGCAGAACATCCTTGAAGCTGTGTGTTCAGAGCGAACACCCTCCCCTCAGGTGTGGGACTCTTCTGCTTTAGCCAGAGACCCAATGGGTTAGGGTCAGTGAGCAGTGGAGACGATTCCTCTGTTCATAGTCTGCAGACACAGCTTCCTGCAAATAATAATAATAATAATAATAATAATAATAATAATAATAATAATTTTCAAAGTTTCATCTCAGAAATGAAAAGGTGGAGGTGGAGGGTTAGTGGAGGGGAGGGTCAGCTCATCAGCTTAGAGGCAATTTAGGTCCACCTTCCGTGCAGAGCTGGCTTAAGACATCCCTGCCAGGTTTCATATTACTAAAGCTTAGGGAGAAGAAAAAAAGAGAAACAAAAGTCGACTTCAATGCCCCTCTCAGAAACCTCCAGAGAACCTATCACACCATCCTGCCTCCAAGCATTTTCCACATTGTGTGTGGGCCCTTAAGAAGGAAGAAATATGCAAATTTTTTTTCTAAAAGGTAAATTAGGTTTAAGCATATGAAAACGCAATATTAAATTTTACAATATGTTTTGGGTTTTCATCCAAACACAAAGCTTAGCACGGGATCTTGAGAGTGGAGTCAATCTGAGATTATTGTGGCTGGAAGGAGAGTTCATAAAGAAACCAATTTCCTCCTACACCTGTTTTCTGGGCTAGGAAAGATGGAAGGGTGGAAAGAGCTAAAAGGTCAAAAGGAACTAAAAGGAAAAACCAACACTAGTGCAGTGATGGGGAGCTAGCCATATAAAGCAAAAATGAAAGCGTTATGCCTTTACACCCCCCCCCACGTGAAATAATATTCAGCACACTTTTGTTAGTTTTATTATTTCTGTGGCAAAATTATATCAAATGCATGTATTGCACATGGTAAAATGTGTTCATCACATATAATTTTAAATGTCACTTTTGTTTGAAGTTTCTATGAAAGATAAATTTTCCAATATTACATATATTATATATTTTGATAATAGCCATCATAATCCATAGCACATTAATATATATATCAGTAAGAGAGAAATTAGGAAACAATTCAAGCAAAAACCTTCTGATGTAACAGGAATATATATGTATACACATACATACACACACACATATGCAGACTTAAAAACAAGTGGTTTTTCCCATTGCTTATAACTTATCTTGCCATAATTAATGTACTTAAATTATAAATAACAATTACCGTGTAAGTCATTACCTTCTTCCTGCTTTTGCTTTATTTTCATAAATCTCCATAGAAGTAGATAAAAATGTATTTAACTGGATCTGATCATTCATATAAACAGTAAATTCAGCATAAATTTAAATACTACAATGTAAACATACCCGCAAGAGTCTATGTTTTCTTTTGAAAAAGTAAAAATTTTCAGACTGACCTGGAAATAAATTTTAAAATAGCAAAGCACTTACAAATCTCTCTATAATCATCTGTAATAGGATGACCAAAATAGTAAATGCCAGCAAGTGCTATAATCTAGGCCACACTTTTAATGGAAGGAACTGAAATCCTACAATTATAAATTGATAAACAGTCAAAGGTAAATTTCTGCTAGTCATGAACACTCTTGGCATATATGATAAAAGATGTTTTAATCTTTCAATAGTCATTTTAGACGTTATTAACAATTTACAGAAATTATTTTGAAGAAAGGATAATTTTTTTTTTTTTTTGAGACAAAGTCTCACTCTGTCACCCAGGCTGGAGTGCAATGGTGCAATCTCGGCTCACTGCAACCTCCGCCTCCCGGGTTCAAGTGATTCTCATGCCTCAGCCTCCGGAGTAATTAGGACTACAGGCACCCGACACCACGCCCAGCTAATTTTTTTGTATTTTTAGTAGAGATGGGGTTTCACCATGTTGGCCAGACTGGTCTCGAACTCCTGACCTCAGGTGATTCACCAAAGTGCTGGGACTACAGGCATGAGCCACCGTGCCCGGCGGAAGGAAGGATAACTTTTAAAGCATTTTTATGTTTGCATGTTTAGTCTACCAGTTTTCACAAACCCAAATATTCAAATTTACAAACTATGAGTTGCAATGTATGCCTCAAATCTATTCTGAAAGAATAAAGAAAAGACACAACTTAATAAATGAAGATTGAAGGTCATTATTTGATTCATAAAATAGTTTATCATGATAGCCCTTCACATAGCCAGTTTCTCTAGTAGTTGTAAATTATAATTCGATTTGTTATAAAACAAAATTTGTTTTTTGTGCGCTCTTCAGGAATTTTTTAATGCATCAAGCAGAGGGTATCTATCTGTGATCCCAGATGAGTTTTGATATATGAGCCATATGGATTTTGATCATCTGATCAAATCAGATTAGCTATTTATACTAATTGAGTATACAATTAGGTATTCACGTGTTGTGGTTTTTTTTTTTTTTAAAAAAAGCCAAATCATTTGTAAAGTAGTTCATGGGATGATCACTTACAGTCCTTGTGTCTGATGCTAGAATAGCTATACCAAGTAATAACATTAAAACTAAATATGATCACTGGGTATAAATTTTATTCAAAGATAAGCAGTCTGAAAATACCATATCAGTCTATACACTTTGGAAGGGTTAGTAAAATAAAATCCATGGAATCTAGTCTTCTGTACTTTAATTAGCAGAAAGGGATCAGAAAATCTGGGCTTTAGTCGTCTTTTTATGGCAGGAATAAGACACCTAATCTTTCTATTCACCTATTTGAAGTTACCACTGAAAGATGCTGAAAGAAGGGGAAATGATCTTTTTCCCCTCTGGGAAATTAGTATATTTTACCTATCTCCTTGGGCTAAAAGTAACTTGGCTGCTTGGAAAGCCAAGAATCTTTAAGCTTTTATAGTCAAGGGCCAATGTTACTTTGTACAAACACCAGCACTGTTTACAAAGAGTTGACCCCAAGAAATTTAAACAGTGTTAGTGTTTAAAAGCATCTGGCTTCTAGCCAACCAGGTGATAAGAAATGGCACCTGAGAAAGAAAAAGCATGCTCTTAATATTCCATTTTCAGGGAAGTTGTTTTGAGTATTTAACTGCCAAGTCATCAGCCACCCCATTTGGAATGCTGACACAGCCTTTCTGTTTCAATAGTAGGCAATGGCAGACATTGCTAATTTACCTTTCAGCTCAAAGGGGCTGGGTGTCTGTATGAGAAGACAGGGCAGAGTCCACTCTTCATTGGCCTCAGGTGCCAGGCTGCATCCCAGGACTAATTTTGAGGCTCAACTCTTTGGAAAGGCACTGAACCTCTTTGGAGAAAGTCTTAAGTAATTTCAACATATATATTCAAATTTTAGAATTTGTCTATGATCTGTGTGTGTGTGTGTGTGTGTGTGTGTGTGTGTCTGTGTCTCTCCCTGTGTCTCCCTCTCTCTCGGTCTGTTTTTCTGTCTTTGTCTCTCTGAGTCTGTGTGTGTCTGTCTATCTCTCTGTATGTTTCTCTCTGTCTCTGTCTTTCTCTTTCTCCTTCTCCCTACAGCATTATACTGTACTCGGCAGTACAGCACAGTGGTTTAAAGCACGGACTTTGGAGCAGACTGCCAGGAGTCATTTCTGACCTCATCATTTTCTAGCTGCGTGACCTTGGGTAAATCTTTTGAAATCTCTATGACTCAATTTTCTCATCTCTAAAATAGAAATATACACCTATATAGTGGAACTATCATGAGAAATAAATGAGTTTATACCCATAAAGATCTTATAACTGTGACTGGCATATAGTAAGCATCATATATATTAGCTATCAGTACTATTTTTATGCAGACATAGAACGCTTTGAGCTTCAGTTTCCTCCTCTGTAAAATGGGCTCATACTCTCTATTTCATAGTATTGCTGTGATGGTTAAGTGAGATCACATATTAAAATATTTTACGAAGGCCTGGCACATCGTGGGTACACAATAAATATTAATTTTCTTCTCCTAGCCCTGCCCCTGCTCTGTCCATTGTTTTTTACTGAAGTTGATTTACACTTTCACTCTCCATTCACACTCTTGGAGCTTCACTGTGGCAATTGCTTTTACAGGTCTCCTTTAATTCTTTCAACCATGGGTAATGATCACGTGAGGCAGACCTTGTGTGCCAATGGAATAAGTGGCTTCAGAAGTTCAGTGCTTTGCAGAAAGAGAAGCTGCTCAAGATCAGCAGCTCTTCTTGTCCTTTAAGGAAGCATGAGCACAGGAAGAGTTTACTTCATACTAGGAAAGGGACCGAGGCTGTTAATCCCCAGGTGTGGGAGGCACTCAGGTCCTGCTTGGTGAAGTGGAGCAGCCTCAGAGGGATCATAGTGTGATGCCCCATGGGAGGCAGGCCCATTAGCCATTAGGCTTCCCAGCTTCAGCAGATATTCTGGTGCCTCCCAGCTTGTCCAGAAGCAGCAGAGTCCCCAGCCCCAGAGGGATCACATGTGGGCTTGACTATTGCACATTTCAGCAGTGCCCAGTGGACTGAAGATCAGACCTCCTTGATGCTGAGCTAAGCCAAAGATCTCCCCTGACTGCATAACTCTGCAGCAGGGGAGCCCCAACAAGACTGAGATTGCATTTCCCACTATTTTTATGAGGAATAGGGACTCAGAGTAAGATTTACAGTAATTTAAAGCAAATAAAGATTTTTTTAAACCCTTTTGAACAGCTGTGTTGGTGGTTATACATTCAAACCTGCTACATATTCATTTTACAAATAAGCCTTTCTGTAATTTAAACGTCTAAAAATGCCATGCACACCACAGCCTCAAACCTGCTGCATATTACTTGTCACACAAGCTTTCTGTAACATTAACTGCTAAAAATGCCAACCCTGCTGTGGTAGTCATTGTTACTGTTTGCCAAATAGTCATGGTTCTCCCCCATTTTAGGCATACCACAGGACTGCACTTCCTGCCCCCTTGTGGTTGTAGTGGGGCTGTGTGACTAATTCTGGTTGTGAACAAAAAAGCAATTATCATCTCAGTCAGAGCTAATACTAGACACTCAAGGGTTTTCTCTTTTTCCCTCTGGCCCCATGACCATCAGCATTCAGGATGACTCTGATACATACAAAGTAAAGTTACTAAAAACTGTAATTGAAGAGTTTTAATTCCTTCCATAAATACTGCATTTAATTTTCAAGTTCTATTCTCTTCGTCCTTTGTTTTCCAAAGACATACTATGTATGTCTAAGATCACTAGTTCTTGAAGCAATTCATCAACAAATCATAGAGAAGACAAAACAAATTGTTGGAAAGAAACATTATGAGTGGCACAGAGAACCAGAGAGAACACAAAATTTGAAACTCGTTAGAATGCATCCATAAAACACAGACTCCAGAATACACGTTCAATACATCCACATCTTGAATGAGTACTATTGCCAAAAGCAATTTCAGAAATGACTTTGTCTTTAATTTCAAGAACTATTAATCTGCAGGAAATATATTCACAAGGTTTTATTTCATCATTATTTTCAGTATCTGTGATTCCCATCAGTAGAACTTGCTTTTTAAATGCCCTGAAATAATACAGAGGTACCAAAGTGGACATTCATCCTTTTTTTTTTTTAGTACCCAGCTGATGTGAGAGGAGGCTCCTGACAGAAAGAGCATACATTTCAAGAGAGAAGCTAAAAAGATCGCACCAAATAACTTTTATGCTCCAATTCATTTTCTTTTGTCTCACCTTTGCAGTGACCACCCTGTATGGATTGTCATTGATTCACCTAGACACAGCCTGACAGCACCTCACCTCATGCCAATGCTGGGCACCTCTAACCTCCTGCACCAGCATTTCCTTGTTGGTGCTGAGACATGAAAATGCATTTGCTTGGCTCAAGCACGTACAACCTGAAAGTGCAGGGGACAGATGTAACACTGGGCAAACCTGTGACAATGGGAAACAGGAGCTAGGGTATAAATTCTCCATTCCATTCTGAATGGACTTCCCTGAGAAGCTGTCACTTTTGCAGCCTCTTGCCCACAAGATCGTGCAACTAGTCAGACTGCTCAGTCTTCATGCTAAACTATGGTCAGCTCAGTCACATGCCCTCATATGTATACACCAGTACATAAAACCCTGCCTCTGCCTCAGGCTCTCTTTTCTGAAGAGCTCAGGTTAAGATGCCAATTTTCCCAGTCTCCTCACTTGGTCACTGGCACATACCCCTGCTCCACCAATCACAGCATCCATTCCAAATTTTGAATGGGAAGCCAAGTGGAGAAATCCTGGGCCATGTCTGCAATGGATATCAGCAGCTGTAACAGTAGTTGCAGCCACATTTTCCATTGTCCGTTTCAGTGATACGGGCTGTATAAACCTCAAGTTAAATATTTCCATTGTGGAAATTATGGGTTTGATTCTCCCCTGTAATCCATAAATGTATAACAGAACTTCGTATGTCCCCCTGGCTACCCCATAGCATTATCCCACGAAGGGTCAATTGCATTATAGTCTATCTTGCTGGCACCTCTCCAGTTGTGCTGTGAAAAAAACAAAGTCCTCTTCTGAACGCCAAGGGGGAAAAGAGCCTCAAGTAACATTTAAAGTCTCTACTAGTTCCATATTCCTATGCCACCCAGGTATTCATCATAGCATCACTGGTAATAATAAAATAATGTAATCAACTCAAATGTCCCAAAAATAGGAAAATGGTTTAGTAAATCACAATGTATCCATTGGGTAGAATACACTTTAGATATTAAAATTATGGCTATTGCTATGAAGACTACAAAGTGATGAGAAAAATCCTATGTTCTAATATTAAGTGGTGAAAAAAATCAGAATTCTAGATTGTATACGGATGTCTACTACAATTACATATTTTTTAATGCAGGGGGAAAATAGTTAAGATACTCAAAATTCAAAAAATGGTGATAAGAGGAGTGAAATTATAAGTAATCTTCCATTTTCCAAGTGTTCTGAAATATAATTTGCTAATATTAAAGTGAATACAAACACACACACACACACACATGACAAACCCTGAAACCCTTTCCCAGATCTTTATTCTCCAGCATGGCTTGTTTTATGTGCAATGTGCTGGAGTGTGCCGCCTGCCTGCACACCATCTTTTTAGCAATCGCAATTATCTCCTTTCCATGGAATGTGATGAAGCCTGACTAAAGGTCTCTAATTCTTCTGTCTTTCCATGTTCTCATAAATAATAAAACAGGGCTCCATGACAACAAGCACATAAAAAGTTTTGTAAAATCTCAAAGTAGCCCTAAAATGTTTACATTCTTAAGCTAATAAAGTGCTCTAAGTACAGTTATTTGGACATCAGTATTACTTGCTTCTATGCAGTGGAGCCAAGTGATAAGAACATCCATGCTTGGACAGTCCCTACAAATGCATCTTCATCTGACTACTACTACTCCTCCCTCAGCTGTTTCAAAAGGATTTTCTTCTCTGGGAAGGCTTCTCTGCTAACCCCATCCTCCTTCCTGGAGGAGCCAGGTATTTGCTCCATAATAGCTCTTTCCCTGCTGTGTAATCTTCTCGACAGTGCATACTTAAGTTCCTCAAAGGTGGTGACTGCATTTTGTTCACCAAGGTATGACCAGTGCTTCTCAGAGTACCTGTCACATACCAGGCAATCAAAACACATTAAAGGTTGAAGAAATCATTGTAACAAACAAAAGTTTTCATCAGAAGCCTAGGATCACTTTCTCAAAGTACGAGCAAGGCACAAACACTCAAGATAGGTTGACTTGTCTCAGGACCAGAAATGTAATAACTTGCCCAGTGCAAAGTTTACAAAGAAGGAAACTGAGGCTAGAGGGCTAAACAGATGGTTCAGAGGCCCCTCGATGAGTCTCTGGAAGCCCTTCTCACTCTCAGTGGATCATCTTTCCCCTGACCCTGTGCAATGCCATCTTCGGCTATGTGGCTTTCTAACTGCTCCTTATGTGCAATCAAATCAAATCTACTCATGTTGCCATCCCTCCCCACCACCTTTCCAAATCAGACCATATGCTTCTCTTCTTATCCTTCTTTCTGTCTTCCTCTGGCTGAGCCCTGGGCTTGGTAGACAGAAGGAATGCCCATCAAGGGTTCTGTTAAATTTAAATCCAAGACGATGTCTATTTTCCAAAGTTTGTGTGAGTTATGTTTCTGGTGTAATCAGTAACTGACTACTTATCCAATCTGTCAACTGTTACTCCTAATCTTTTGGAAGAGGCAGTGGAATAAATAAATAAATAAATAAATAAATAAATGATTTCATGGTGTCTTTAGATAAGAGTAAATGGATGGAATTATATATTTTTTCTTATTATGGAATTGACATTGTCAACATTCACTGCCATTCATAGCATGGGCTCAATTTGATAAATCTTTTGTGAATTATAATTAATTTAGAGATTTGAATCTCCTCTTTATGTGTAATCTCCTACTGAAATATTCAGGAGACTTGTTTACTTGTTTCTTCATTGGTTCAGGTAAAGAAATCATCAGCTGGGCATGCAAAGGTGATAAGCACATGCTATCTTCTTTCTTTTTCTCTAATTTCCTTCCTTTCTTCATCCTACTCTGCTCTGAAATTCACTAGGACTTACTACCACGGCAGTAACGTCAAAATAGTAGTGTTATTGTCTAGCTTTTACTGCATACCAAACAACTCCAAACCTTAGTGGCTTAAAATAACAACCATTTATTACTTCTCATGAACTATTAGTCACTTGCATGGTTCTACTAATCTGGCCAGGCTTGGTTGATCCTGGATGGGCTTGCTTATGCATTTGTGGTCAGCAGGTAGATCAGCTGGGGACTGAATAGGATAGGCTCTTTCACACGTCTAGTGGATGGGAGATTGGGATAACTGGGCCACATATCTCATGACCCAGCAGTTCAGTCCAGGCTTATTCATGACAGCAGCAAAATTCCAAGAGTAAGAGTTAAGAATGCAAAGCCTCTTGAGGCCTAGACTCAGAACTTGCTTCTTTCATATTCTATTGGCCAAAGTAAGTTGCAGGTTAACTCAGATTGATTAGGTGGAGAAATGGATTCTGCCTCGTGGTGAGATTGCTGCAAACAATTGTGGCCATTCTTGGATTCTGCTACATCCAACTAATGTAAATCAATGCCAATGTTGTTAAGCAGATTGATCAGAGACTTGATGAGAATGTCCTTTCTGCAGAATGTGTCTTTTGATAGAATTCCTGGGTTCTAGATTAGCAAAGCAATCTTCCAACCATGGGTTAACAGAAGCAATGTGGAAGTAACTTCATTAAGCAAAATCTGGCATTAAAAGGTTACCTGCAACAACGAGATTTGGTCTGAATAGAAACTGCAACCTTTTGCATGACATGTAATTCCAAACCTTTTGACTTCAAAATGGGGAGGAAGGAGTCAGACACCCACACATGCTGGGTCTGCATAATGTTGGTACAATCAGACATAGAACAAAGCAATGCAGTAAGTTTCACATAGCAGGGCTGTTCCCACAACCAAGATGAAAAGGGAAACCTGTAAAGTTACGGCATTCTAACTTACCCTTTGTGCTTACCCTTTGTGGGGGCATTTATCACACTACAGAGTGAAGATCTGATTGCCTTCCATCTCTGCTATATTTCTACTTTCTTAGGGACATGAATAAATCTTTTAAATTCATATTTCTTGTGTATAATACAAAACCTGGCTGCTGAAAAAAATGAGAGCGCGAGGGAGTTATTTCTGTGACTCAGAAAAAGACTAGCCCAATATAACCACATTTATATTTTTAGAATGTCTATTTGCAACCAAATACTCAAAGATTCTGCCATATAAAAATTACAGAATTACTAGGTGAAAATAAGTTACTTCTTATAAAAACAAAAACATCACTGTCGAGCTTAAGATTGAAGAAGTTGGTTGTGTTCAAGTTATAATCTTGAGAATGGATTGAGAAATGCATGTTTTTGCTTAATAAGTGAAGAAAAATTCTTAAATTTTCATAAATTTTCATCTAAAATCTCAATTTACAATTAAACACAGCAGCAACATTGGATATATACAAAGTATATGCACTTCAGATCAGGGACCCCTTATTCTTAACTAATCTAAAACCCAGGTTTAAAGACTAGTGGGCTACCTATCCTTCAGGGAAGTCTCTGTAAATGATTATTCCTAATGAGGAACTGGTAAATAGCAGCAAATCCTGTAGATAGTTTCCGATAGGTCTTTTTCTCTCCTTTTTCAGCTCAGCTACCCAAGGACAGGTGACCCATCTTTTTTTTTTCTTCTTTCCAACTTGTATTTTTGGTTCAGTGGGTACATGTGCAGGTTTGTTACGTGGGTAAACTGCGTGTCACACGGGTTCACGGTACAGATAATTGTGTTACCCAGGTCATGAGCCTAGTACCTGATAGGCAGTTTTTCAATCCTTTCCCTCCTCCCACCGTCCACTCTCAAGCAGGCTCCATTGTCTATTGTTCTCTTCTTTGTGTCCATGTATATTCAGTATTTAGCTCCCATTTGTAAGTAAGAACATGCAGCATTTGGTTTTATGTTCCTGTGTTAATTGACTTAGGGTAATAGCCTCCATCCATGTTGTTGCAAAAGACATAATCTTGTTCTTTTTGATGACTCTGTGGCATTCCATGATACATGTGTACCACATTTTTATTATCCAGTCGACCATTGATTGCCATCTAGGTTTATTCCATGTCTGCTATTGTGAATATTGTTGCAATGAACATACACAAGCATGTTCTTTATGATAGAACAACTTATATTCTCTTGGGTATATACCCAGTAATGGGATTGCTCAATCAAATGGTAGTTCTATTTTAAGTTCTTTGAGAAATTGCCAAACTGCTTTCAACAGTGGCTTAACTAATTTACATTCCCACCAGTAGTATATAAGTGTTCCATTTTCTCCACAACCTTGCCAGCATCTGTTATTTTTTGACTTTTTTTTTTTTTTTTTTTTTTTTTTTTTGAGATGGAGTCTTGCTCTGTTACCCAGGCTGGAGTGCAGTGGCAGATCTCAGCTCACTGCAACCTCTGCCTCCTGGGTTCAAGCTATTCTTCTCTCTCAGCCTCCCAAGTAGATGGGATTACAGGCTTATGCCACCATACCTGGCTAATTTTTGTATTTTTAGCAGAGATGGGGTTTCACCATGTTGGCCAGGCTGGTCTTGAACTCCTGACCTCAGGTGATCATCCTGACTCAGCCTCCCAAAGTGCTGGGATTACAGGCATGAGGCACCATGCCCAGCCATTTTTTGACTTTTTAATAACAATTCTGACTGATGTGAGATGGTATCTCGTTGTGGTTTTGGGTTTGCATTTTTCTAATGATTAGTGATATTGAGCATTTTTTCATATGCTTGTTGGCTGCATGTATGTCTTCTTTTGAGAAATGCCTGTTCATGTCCTTTGCCCATTTTTAATGGGGCTGTTTGCTTTTTGCTTGTTAAGTTCCTTATAGATTCTTGATATTAGACCTTTGTTGGATGCATAGTTTGCAAGTATTTTCTCCCATTCTGTAGGCTGGTATGACCCTTCTTTTAGCCTGGATTACCACACAACTTTCTATCTGATCTTTTCCTATTCTAATTTGTTTTTCTAACCATAGCCAACCTGCTTCCTCAATAACAAACTTCTGCTTAAACAACTGAATGGTTCAACAGGACTCTTAGCATGAATCCCACACCCCTAATGATTGACTGCAGACTTTGGTCCCAGTCTACATCTCCAACCTCAACTCTGTGACTACTCCCCTCATTCTAAATTCCTGAATGAACTCTTTTGAGATCTCTGAAAAAGCTATGGGCTTTCTCACCTCTGGATTTTTATACATGCTGTTCCCTCTATCTGGAACACTCTCTCCCTCAACTCTTTGCCCCCTGCCTTGTCTGGGACTTTTCCTTCACATCTCAACCAAGAAGCTGCTTCATCAAGAAAGTCCTTATTTGTCTGTTTCCCTCTCTAGACTGTAAATACAACAAGGACAACCGCATTTTTTTTTATTGTTGTTGTTCACTATTGTATTCCCAACATCTAGTATAGTGCCAGGCACAGAGTAGGCACTTCATAGATATTTCCAAAATTAGTTGATTAATTCATTAATACTGGTTATCAAAGACAAGTCCTTGGAGCCAAATGTTCTATGTCACTCCTTCAAGGAAGATCTATTTACCTTCTTTAAGAAACAACAAGTATAAAGGTATTGTTTTGATGTTGTCTTATGAACATTGACAAACCAGCACTTGGGCCCATATTGAAGGACATACCATCTCTGCCATCTCCATCCAGGCAGGGCCAAAATTTTCCTCAGAAAACAAGTCATGATCCACTTCTAAAGAGGAACATATGGGTAATTGCGGCCCCAATATTTTATGCCCTTAGAACATGATCAGAATTTTAGTGCAGGAAAAACTCTAAAGTAGGAACTGCCAAATCTTATATTCCAAGGAGTTTTGCAAGGTACTTGGCATTGCACTTTTCAAGAAAGTATTTTGAGTTTAAGGATCTTATACCATTATGCAACAGTAGGAAGTCAGAAAACATAGGTTCTATCCTGCCTTTGTCGCTAAATACACTGCTCTTGGGGGTCATAATAAGACTCATTCCTTACCCTCGAGCTGAACAACTTAATCCTTCTGCCCCAGGCCTGGCTCTTCCCAGGGTCTAAACCATCAAGCCTGAGCCCTAGGAGTCCCTCAACAAATGCCACAAATGCAATAGGGTTCCCTGCTCTTACCTCCACCTCAGTCTGAGGATGTAAACTTTGATCTGTCCAACCATACGCTTCAGCCAAGCTGACGAGCTACTCCTGGTTGTTTTTCATCTCATGACTTTGCTGCTCCTTTTGCCTGGAAGAGTCACATTACCCTGACCCCTTTCAACACCACCATATTTCCCTGCCAGGAGAATGTTTTTCAAGTCTCAATTCAAGCACATCCTCCATTAAAACCTTTAATGAGTTCCCTGCCAGCATGGGAATCACCTTCCTTTGTGTCCTGTTGTGTCTGTTACTTACTTCCCTCACAGTACCTGTGGTGCTGTGTTGCAAGGATTATTCACAGGTCTATCTTCCTACTGGACAGTAAGCCTTATAAAGCCAGGATTAAGTCTATTTTGCTTTATATCCCCATTATAAAACTCTATATTTAGCACAGAGTAAGTGGGGAAGGAAGGGAGGAAAGGAGGGAGGGAGAGAAGGAGTGAGGTGGGGAGGGATTAAAGAAGGAAGGAAGGACGGAAGAATGGAGGGAAGGAAGGAAGGAAGGAAAGAGAAGGGAAAGGAAAGGAAAGGAAAGGAGGGAGGAAGGAAGGAAGGAAGGAAGGAAGGAAGGAAGGAAGGAAGGAAGGAAGGAAGGAAGGAAGGAAGGAAGGAAGGACAGTAGATCTTTTGAAATATTTTCAGGGCTTCACAGTTTCTACAGTTTCCTCATTTTTAAAATGGGGATAAAAACACAACTTACTTCCTAGAACTATCATGAGGATAAAATGAGATGGTGTACTTAAAGCAATTTGCATTTGTTTGCATGTAGTAAGAACTCAGTAAATGTAAAATAGTATTATCATATGAAAACTGGATATGATATATGGGTGGAATAAGGACTGAGGGCTTCTCCTCAACTTAAGGGGCATATTCCAGTGGTCCCCTGGCTGTGTAAAGGAAGAATGTGCTACCTCAAGAAGGAGTAAAATCCCTATCACAGGAAAATTCCCATCCTCATCTGGAGAGTTACCTGGCAGTGCTTTTACCAGGAATTCTTGATACCAGATTGAAGTTAATATTTCTCTTGATTTGGAGGTACATTGATGACAAAGTACCCCATTATATTTTAAATCTAGACATTGATGTCTAGCACTTTTAAAACAAAGTTTCTCTGAAGATACAACATTTGGGCAATGACACTAATTTTTCTACATTAAATAAAACATCATTTAAAGTGTTGAAGTTTGTAGCTGTGCTCAGAATGTATCCAGGAGGACACTGGGCAGATTGTCTGGAGATCTCATTGAGTGGTATTACCTTGGTGTTTCTCTGTGCTTCAGATTTTGATTTTCAACTTTGCAGGTCTTGTATTTGTTGGTACACCAAGAGCAGAGCAGACTCCTCGAAGAGGAACTCACGTTAAACAAACTCACAATACATTGATGAATAAATTGGATTTCTAAAGGATTCGTTCATAAAGGGAGACATGGTTGACACAGAATGCACAAATTGGCACAGATTTACATAGGAAGTCAAAATATAATCAGAGATTTGTTTGTTTGCTAAACCTAGATTCAAAGCAAAGAAAATTGAATACTACAAAATTTAACAGAATTATTCTCATGATATCCCTGACACTGGGAACAAATGCCCTCTCTACTCTGATCTGTGTAGAGCCCATGCTGACTGCCTCCTCCACGTCAAACTCACACATTTTTCCCTTAAACATACTAATGTCATTGATTAGCTGTAGGGTCAGCTCAGTATACTTTCAGATTCTGACCCTAGAAACAATTTGTACTTAAGGTGCCTTTTGCACACCTCTGAACTTATCTATTATGAGTTTATTTTCTCTGGAACTTTCAGATCATAAGGGTGCCTCCTACTCCTTCTATAGATGCCTCCTTCCAGTACTTCCCTCTACCAGGATTTTGTTGTGAAACAAAAGTCAGAAGCAACATATATATTTTAAATAAGTGAAGTATTCCACATATGTACATAATAAGGGGCATGGTGTCAATATAGTTGAAATATCTGTTGTGCCTCTTATATGTAAATGATTAAGATAATCAACTTCTCTAAAATCTGGGCTCCATTTTTTAAAATGGGCATAATAACATTTATCAGAAAGGGTTTTTGTAATGATTAAATAAAGAAAACAAGCCCAATAGAGTGACTGTTAAACAAATATTATTTCCCTTCCCCTTAATAAAATTATGACATTTATTGCAGTAATAGGGTTGCAAATTTCACTTACACTGCAACACAGTCATGCAGAGGAACATGTTGGTTCTTTATTTTGTCTGACTAATCTGATCTCCTTCTTGAACCCCTACTATGTAGATTTGGGGTTTTTTTAAAGTCTATTTAACCCAATCTGGTTTAAAGCTTAATCAAATATATAACGTAAATAGTCCCTATAGGTCCTGTTCATGATTTAGGAGTAATTGCTCATCTTCCTTATTTCCACGCCTCTTTTCCAGTTTCTAAGACAGCATCTGGGCATATGTAAGAAGTTTAGCTTGCATAATTTGAGAGAGCAGAGATGCAGAGTTCTCTTGGCTCTTGCTGGGTCTCCAGGTGACCACGGCCTCCCATATGCCCTTCATCCAGACCTGGGCTAAGTAGTCCACCTGTAGCCCCTGCTGAGGAAATGGGAGTGGTACCCTCCCTCCCTCTCATCAGCCCACTGATGACTCTGAAGAGGACATGCTAGCTCCGATCTCAGCTTCCTCCTGGATCCATCCCCCTTCCCCCTGGAGAAACTACAGGAACTCCTGAGTCCCTTCCATTCCTAATTACACTGTGCCCCTACTTTGGTGTATTTGCACCTGAGATTGGGGCAGGGCAGCCACTCCAAGATCATTTTCAGAATCCAGGTGAAAATCAGGGAGAAGTCTCTCTGTCCCACCCACCTCCCACCACCTATCTGACACCTCTCCAGAGAGAAGAATCAACACACCTGTCCTAGCTTTGCACTCCTACTTCTGTCTCATTTCACTATGCCTTGAGATGGAAAACAGTGGGTTTTTCTTTTACTTCACTGACATTATATCTAGTTTTTATGAAACCCCAGGTTTCACAGCCAAGCTACTATAGGCAGAGAGGCCATCTTCCCTATACTCTGGGAAAATGCTACAATCTAGCATTATCAGGCCTAGACTTTGTTTTTCAAAGGGAAATCAATGGAATGAAACAAATTACCTCTCTCCACAAATCATAGCTTTCCAGCCCATTTTCTTGCTAAAGTGATGAAATTTACACCCTCTCCTGCCTTTGGGTAGTAAGCCTCATAGGTTTGAATCAGGTGAAAAGTTGCAATAAAACATGATTTTAAGAATGTGACAGATTAATTTTTTTTTGCCCAAATTCTTCACCTCTCCCTGTATCCATGACCTTTCCCATGTAATACTGCAGCTCAACCCATGAAAGGCTGGGTGTTCCTCCCCAACCCTTGACTTCGGGCTTGGCCCTGTGACTTGATTTTGCCAGTGGTATGATAAAAGCAGGAGCTTGTACAATTAGACATACCTTCTTGCACCTCTGCCCTTGGAAGAATAAGGGGAGAGAGGAGGAGGAGGAGGAGAGGAGGGGAGGGGAGAAGGAGGAGAAGGGGAGGGGAGGAGGAGGAGGACGAGGAGGAGGAGGAGAAACAGCAGCAGCGAGCCCACTTATTCAAGAAGAATGCGACATGGAACAGACCCAGACCAAAGCTTAAAGCAAAGCCTGGTATAGATGAGGCCAACCCCCCATGTGACTACAGATGTGTGAGAAATAAATGTTTGTAGTTGCATGCCTGTGAGATTTGTTTATTACACAATCTTATTGTGGCAAGAGCCAATAGATTCAAGATGGAAGTTAGACAACATCAGTTTAATATTTGCAAAACATTACTGTCACATGACTGCAGTCGTCAGGCGATGAAGAATCCCTGTGGTAGTTACTCTGCAATAGGCTTCTCACTCAAAAGCTCCATCACGCAAACGAAGTTAACATAGAGCACCACTCTCACCTTAGCATTTGCCCTCTACAAATGAAGTACTATCATCCTTTTAAGATTTTTATCTCTGGAATTGGGAAGGACTTAATTTAGTAAGGATGGATTGGCATTTAGAAATGAGAAAGAGAAAGAAACAAATCTTTAACTATATAATCAAATGTATAATTTAAGGAGATTTACTAATTTAGATATAAGTTTTAATAGGCTCTCTCTATTTTGACTGAATTCCCACCCTATGGAATTTTGGCTTAATTGTCCTTGGGTGGGGCCTCATCATCTTGAATCTTCTCTGATAATTCTAATGTACAGGCAGGGCTGAGATGGCAGAGATGAAAATCAGATTTGTATTAACTTGGTCCTTTCTTTCCTAGATCCTATTGAAGTGCTAATATAGTTTCACTTCAGCTATTCACCTTCTAATCTTTCTAGGTCCATCTATTTTTTAACAAATATTTCTTTCTAACGTTTTGTACAGTATTTGATTGTCCGTGTTATTTACAAGCTCCAATTTTAAACTTTAAAATGACAAATGCAAAGAGAAAGGAAACGTTTCCAGCTAACAGGTCAGGTGATAGAGACAATAAGAGCCGTGGATAAAAATAGCTTCCAAATTATAGCCCCAGGTTTTCTTATTATTTAAGCCATATTGTACTAAATTTTCTAAATTTAGCAGCCACTATAGCACTCCCTGGGCCTTTTGATAATATTGACAGATTCTGAATGCTTTTGTGTCAAAGCACTAACTATAACTCTTCTAGACACTTCTTGTTTTCAGAAATCCAATTAGACAAAACCGAAGGTGATTGGAGCATCTGTTCTTCCTCAACAGATTTTGGCTTTTCGTCATATAAGTAATCACCTTTAATTTAATTTAATCACCTCTAAATCAACCAGCAGAGTATATTTAGTTATACAATAAAAAATAAATAAATGTAATCCCACTCCCTCTGGTGGCACAATCTACAAATATCCACTGAGGGTGTAATTTGGTTAAAATATTCAAAATGGATTAGAGGACTCTTCCATATTTCGTTTCTTTTTCATTCAGGAGACACTGATACAAATCCATCTCTCCAAAGGGAATAGTTTATGAGTTTTGTTAAAATACATAACAAAAGAAGCAGCCACTTTTTTCAAAGCTTCTAATGTATTACACACCTCATGCCAATGTATACAGAGAGAAACTCTCTGAAGCAGGTCTAAGTATCCATTATTTATCTTTGCAAACCAGAAAGTAAGTTCTTAAAGTTTCAAGATTTTATACAGAGATGGTATTATGAATATATTATGTTGTTATTATAGATGTTATTATGACTATATTAGTATGATGCTATTATGACTATTATAAAACAAAAAATAATAACAACTGTGCCCTATGCCATTGACTCCCCAGTTTCATGGAAATAATTATGAAATGACTGATCAAGTTACAACAAAACACAGAAGGTATAAACTTCTGTGTTGGAGAGCTCTATGCTGTGATAAGGATATCATAAACAGTAGGCATATCAAATATTTTTCTAAAGATACAATCACACATAAAAACATGTTTTCTCAAAAACAGCTGATTAGATGTGCATATGGCTTTTTATTACTTTGCAACTTTTTTTTCCCATTAGAAGATATTTTATTTCTACAGTATACATAGGCATGGTGGCCTGTGGAGAGACCCAAAGAGGCTCCTGCCCCCAACACACTTTACAATTCCTTTCTCTTTGTATGAAAATCCATATTGTATAACAAAATGCATACTCTGGACCTAGTCTGCCCAGCTCATCTAATCACTAGCTGTGTCACCATGGGCAAGTTCAATTCACCCTACTGTACCTTTGAATGCAGGTAGTATGTTAGAGGAATGCAGGTAATGAAAGGGCTCACTCATGGAGCTGTTGCAAGGTATAAATAAGTTTTCCTATGGAAGAAGCTTAGAACAGTGTCTGGCACAGAATAAGTGCAGCGCAAGTGTTCAATATTATTGTTGATGTTTGACTGAATAACAGAACTATAATACGTGCAGTTTCAGCTTCAGTCATACTGGACTTTTCTCAGTTGTTTAAATAAAATATGTTTTCTCCAGCCTTAGGATCCTTTCACATACTTTCCCTCTTCCCTACACTGTCTAATACTGTGACCACTAGCCACATTTAGGGCTATTTAAAGGTACATGAATTAAAATTAAATGAAATTTAAAAGTCAATCCATTAGTTGCACTGGCCACATTTAAAGTGCTCAATCACCATATGTGGCTAGTGGCTATTGAGTTGGACAGAACCAACATAGAGCTTTTTTATCATCACAGAATGTTCTATCAGAAAGCGCTGGTGTAGACTGGTCTTCCTTTCATTTTAATTCCTATGCAGTCTTCATACTGCTGCTTAAATATCACTTCTTCAGTGAATCCTTCCCTGACCAAGTCAATGTTAGGTCCCTCTACAAATCTTCCCAGATCATGCTGGATATTTCCTTCAGAGATTTCTTACATTTATACATATGTTTAATGAAGTATTCCCACTAGGGTGTAAGGACTTTGAAAAAAAGGGATCATATACGCACATAGTAAACACCTAATAAATATTGCAGACTGAATGACTATAATAGGAAATTTATAAAATCACTTAATATTTTAATAGCTAATATATATCACATGCTTACTGTGTGCTGGGCACTATTCTGAACACCTTATGTGTTTTAAGCTATTTAAGTCTAACAACTCCATGAGGTATTAGGTGCTTGTATTCATTATCTATTGCTGCATAATAAGTTACCATAAGCATTGTAGCTTAAAACAACATGCATTATTATCTCACAGTTTCTGTGGGCTAGAGGTCTAGGTGTAGCTTATCTGAATCCTCTGTTTAGGTCTCACAGACTGTAATCAAGGTGTTGGGTAGGCTGTGTTCTCATTTGGAAGATCAACTGGAGAAGAATCTGCTTCCAAGCTCACTTAGGTTGTTGACAGAATTGATTTCCAGAAATAAAGTGGGCAATATCCTAAAAAAGATCTGTCTCTCTCCTAAACTTCAGTAGGAATTTTTAACAGTCAACATCTTAATGTAAGTCAGAGGTAGGGGATAAAATCATATCCCTATTCTTCTAAATAGCAGGAAAGGCATAGAAAGAAAGAGGAATTAATATATTTTTCCATCATTCTCCTTTCCTTTACCAAAACTGGTAAAGGAGTTCCCCTGAAGAATTTGACTCTTACCATCTTGAGGGAAGAAGATGTGATTTCAAAGTTCCCATTGGTTCTTTGTATAGCTAAAGGTAGAGGCCTCTGCAAAGGCCATGTCTTTTTACAGAGCTCTTTAGTAAGCTTTTGGCCGAAAAAAAAAAATGGGTCAATGAACTAGTCTGGAAAGGGAAAGGAGTTGTGTAAAGCTAAATTAACCAGGCATAAAAAATAAGGAGTACATTTGGATGCCACAAGTTCATCTAGGAAGTGTCGAGAAGGAAAGAGAAAGCATCCCTAACAAGGAAGGGAGCCTGAAAAACATCCCATGTGTTTAAGACACCTAAGAGTAGCACTATTATTAGTTTTCTGCTTTTCCATTTCCAATGTCACTCTGTTCCATGCTATGTTATACTTTCCCTCCACTTCCTAAAAACCATTGCTAAAGGTCTGTATGCACAGAGGCCTTCAGTTAAGAAATCTGTGGGGAATGCAGGAATAAAGCAGTGAAAGAAATCATCTTTTCCCTGAGGGACTAGCACTGTAGAGCAGGTTTACATGAAGGGAGGCCCACAGTTCTGTAGTCTTGAGCAAAAATCCGGGTAGTGCTAAGAGAGATGGTTAAGGGCAAGGTAGCAACCAAGTAGAACAACCATCCCTTTCTTCAAGTACAGTAGAGGAGGGTGAGGCTTGAAGGGAGGCAGGCAGACACTTGGGCTGCATTCAAGCTCCCTGGCTCAGAATGCTCTCCTCATGCCTTATCCTACAGAGGCACACCAGCTCAACTGTTCTACAGGTAATACAGACTGTTCTCTGCAACCATCCTACTGAACCCGATAAACGGGATGTTACTCCATTACCTTGGGAATTGTGCTGTCTGCTAAGACTAAAAACTGAGAAACAGAGCCCCCTCATTGCCCTCTGATGGAGCAACCTTCCTTTGAGTGACGAACGTGACCTGCAGAGGTGTCACTTTGAAGGATGAGCATTCTGTCACCTCAATGAGGAGTTACACAGGGATGAGAGAGCTGGAATTTTGGGTCCCTTTTCTCTCCTGCTGTCAAGGGAGCTGCTGCTCACAGAGTCCCAGCAATGGAATCCATCCAGGAAAGTGTCAGAGGCAAGGTAAGGATTAGCAGAGCTCCTGTCAGCCTGTGCACAGCCTCTTCTGGGCATTATTCTCAAGAGGGAGCCTCAACAGCGATACAAAGTCATGCCTAACTGTGAAGTTTGCAGTTTTCTGCTTATTGGGTGTCAGCTGACAGCAACACACACACACATGCACATGCACACGCACATGCACACCATTCTGCTCAAGATAATTTTTCTGCAGGAAACTACAGCAAGCATCTTCTTCATTGCCTCATGGACATGCTGATGGTGCAGATTTATTGGACCCAGGAGATGCAGTAGCCGCTGGCATCTCAGTTAAACTCTTTTAAAAGTCCCCCATGGAGTTCTTCATTGTAGAAGACCCACTCTGCTTCATTAACTCCACTGTAGACAGTATTATCACCTGTTTTTACACTTACTCAAGACAGAGTTTATACCAAGAAGAACCTCAGAGAAAGGAGATTTGGGTTATTGGAGTTCAGACCAACTACTAAGAAACATAAGCCACAGATCTTAATTATTTCCCCCTCAGGAAGCAAATATAAGTTTGCAGAGGTATTTCATAAAACCCACACACTTGTTTCAGCTAGCACTTGATATCCACATGTCTTCAACAGGGTAGTAAAGAGGACTTCCATCCTGAAATCCCCTTCCATGTTGGGAATATCGTAGTAGAAGATGCAGACTCTGGGACCAGAAAGACAGGTTTCATCCTTTACTATCTGAGAGTCATGGGTTCCTTTGCAAAAGGGTAATAACAATATGCTGCACTTCACACATTTGTTTTATGAATCAAATGAAACAATGAATGTCAAACAGCACAGTCTCATGCATAATAAATGCTCAATAACGACCAGTTGTTGCTATTACGTTATTATTATCATTATTACTATCATCATTTTAAGTGATATGATTTACCAAAAAGGGACATTGGGAAAACAGAGAGCCATGATACAGAAGTTAAACGATTTGTACTTTGTTTCAAATTGGAAAAAGAAAAACAAGAAAGTCACTTCATTTTTGTTTTGAACTTATTTTACTTTATTCATCAACTACTATATAGTGCTTACTATGTGCCAGTTGTGGCTCTAAACATAGAACTTATTGCATCAAAGATTAATTTTAAAGTATCACAAATTTAATAACATCCATATTATGACATATTGAAAATATACCAAATATAAATAATTTGGAGAATGTGTATGCTTTTCCATTACACATTCAAAGAATAATAACTCAGTATATGCCATGAGCCAGTCCTCATGCTAGTCACTGGGGTGACAATGTTCAACAAGACAGACAAGTTACCTGCCCCAAATTTATAATGTTGAGATTTTTGAAATAATCACTCTGGGTTTTTTTCTGCATTGAATGTCAAACTAGACCAAACTGAAGATAGTTTAACCATGTATTTAGCAACCAGTTTTAGAGCTGCCCTATATAAACGATTTGGCTTCCTGGGGCAGTTCATCTGTGATTCTCAGAAACTGTAGTTAATGTGGGTAACCAGGAAGGATCACTAACACTGCCATGCGGTGCAGCAGCAGGTCAGGCTCAGCTTCCTAAACCAGTGCCAGGATCAGCCACAGCAAAGTGACGGGGAAGCACGAGCCATCTTGGCTTATTCTAACTGGGGTGGACAGCAGAGACACTTGAAGTACTCCTTACAGCACAGCTCCAAGCCATGTGACCCAGCCGAACAGTGCCAAGGCACAGGGGAAGTTGGCCTGCAGCCATCACTACTGAGTAATTCATGTTCACCAAAAGCTCTGGTCAGACAAGGAGGCCCAGGGGCAGAACAGCTCATTGCCAGGCAGGCTCTATTGTCACTGCAAGTCATAGGACACCCTTAGGTTTATCCAGTGTAGAAGGGCCTCCTGGCCATAGTAGTGTCTCTTAAACTGTGCTGATGAGAACACACAGGTAGAACAAATACAAAAGACATATAATATAGATATAGGAATATATTAATGTATATATTGATGTAGTTACCCTAGTACACATTGTGTCATAAGTTTTTAAATATCTTTTATTAAAATGAATGCCTTTGTTATATGGACTACATCCTATTCTATGGCCATTACTACTATTCTTAGTCTGTTATTGCTGGGTCTATATTATGGGCTTCTTTGTTCATTCATTCATTCATCTGACAAATGTTCATCAAGCCACTACAAGTGCCAAGCTTCAGGGATGCAGTGGAGAGCAAAACAGATAAGTTTTTATCTGCCCTTGTAAAGTTTGTAGTCTAGTGTGCTGGCTGATCATTTGTATTACTGTTCAGCAAATATTCACTCCCTGCCTCCTCTCACTGTGGATGCGGTATCCTTCTCTACCCCCACTGATATTGGACTTCAATGTGCAACTCGCTTTGACAAAAAGAACATCAACAGATGAGATGTACGGAGGCCTTCACTGTGCTAGCTTCTTGCATTGCTGTCCTTCATGAGAACAACATGCTTTGGGTAGCCACTGGTCCAATACTGATGGGCAAACATGTGGAGTAGATATGGACCCACTCACATCCTGGAGACAAACAAGATCAGGTGACCAAAGGCCCAGCCAATGCCTGCCAAATCTAGCTGAAGTGTAGGTCAACCCGCAGACCCAAGAGGGTTGAAAATTAAAGCTTGTTGTAAGCTTCTGAGTTTGAGGATGGTTTTTTATACAACATAGTTTTTACAGTAACCCTCAAATACAGAAACCAACAAAGCAAGAAAATTTCCATCAAATTTGAATGTTTGATTTTCTATGAAAGACAAATTATATCCCAGTGGAGACATTTTGGAGAACGCTGAATTTCTTACCCTTTCTTTATGGATGTGAGCCCCTCTCCACTGCATGGAGCTTCCTCTATCAATATTCTTTTTTCCAATTACCAATAAAAGGGAATCTAGGCCTCTCTGAAACACACAAGCTCTTTTTCCCAATGTTCTCACCATTGTATGTCTAGCTTTTGTGGATTCATATTTTAAGCAAGCTGTGAGGAAAATTGAGAAGATTTAGAATAAAAATGACAAATATTATCAAAAGTTTTAGAAATGAGGCATAAAACTGAGGGAAAGGGGACTGCTGGACCCATAATTGAATGTCTGTAGATACTGTTGATTGATGTTAGAAGAAAAAAATGAAAGATTTGAATATAAAACATATTGGCAAACTCATTTTTTTCTGCACTAAGGAGCAAATAAAAATAAGCAAGTTCTTTATAGCAGGATAGTTTTAGGCTAGATGCAGGAGGAAGGAATATCAGTTGAAACAGCTTTCTAGGAAAGGCTTGCTGTCTCTTCTCCTAAAATTGTTTAAGGTAAGGAAAAGTAAGGGATATGAGAGCCTGAGCAGAG
Organism: Homo sapiens; assembly: GCF_000001405.40. Classification (NCBI taxonomy): domain Eukaryota; kingdom Metazoa; phylum Chordata; class Mammalia; order Primates; family Hominidae; genus Homo; species Homo sapiens. The sequence continues at coordinate 57,891,061 of NC_000014.9, forward strand.
TCAGAGGAATGGACCAAATCACTGATTTCTACTTCCAGATTATGGATTTCTTTGATGAGGTGAAAAATGCCATAGACTATATCTCCTGTTGGCTCCTGTAAGTATCAAAAAAAGATTTTTTAAAACTTACTGGATCTAATGGAAAAACTAAAGTTTCTTGTGCCTAAGATCTTTTAAAAAAATATATTCACTCATTCAGTGAAATTTCATTAAGCATCTACTCGGTGCCTGGCAGTGTTTTATGCAGTTACAACACTGCAGAACTAGACAAATCACCTGCCCTCATGGAGTTTACTTTATATTCACAAAAGTGAGGGCTCAGTGGTGTGTGCCTGTATCTCAGCTACTCAGGAGGCAAGATTGCTTGGGCCCAGGAGTTGGAGTCCAGATTAGGCAACATAGCAAGACCCCCAAATCTTATATATATATATATTTGGAAAAGCACTCTATCACAAATGTAGCTAACTCAGATTAGTAAGAATAATATAAGTACAGTAAATTTTAAATTTGACTGATTACTTAAGACTCTTTCTTGGGCCAGGCAAGGTGGCTGACTCCTGTAATCCCAGCACTTTGGGAGGCCAAGGCAGGCATATCACGAGATCAGGAGATCGAGAGCATCCTGGCCAATATGATGAAACCCCATCTGTACTAAAAATACAAAAATTAGTTGGGCATGGTGGCATGCACCTGTAGTCCCAGCTACTTGGGAGGCTGAGAAAAGAGAATCTCTTGAACCCAGCAGGTGGAGGTTGCAGTGAGCCAAGATCATGCCACTGCACTCCAGCCTGGTGACAGAGCAAGAATCCACCTCAAACAAACAAAAAAGATTCTTTCTTAAGAGTCTTTCTTAAGAGTCTTTCTGGGTCAGTAGTTCTCAGACTATTATAGAAAAGTTCTACAAATTTATTATTTCTCATACATATTGTTATAAAAGCAAATAATTCCCAGAGTTTTGAAAATAATTCCAAGAGCTTTGAAAAATAAGAATATGGGAATCATCTTTCAAAAATTCATGTGTTCATTTATTACTCAATTCCCTTATCAGATAAAGTTAGTTTTAGAGGTGTTTCTCACATCTTTGACTAAGTGCATTCTTTTATATCTCTTCACTTCTAGTCAATGAGGAATGGGATTAGGAAAATATGGCTTGAGCAGATCATTGCAATTTCACAATGCCATATTGCAGGGAGGATCTCAGATTAAATGTGTACACTGGACTTCTGATCTTGTGAAGAACACTGCCTAGATGCATTAGTCAGGTGACATGTTTAGTCTTAGAAGAAAGAGCCTCCTAAATATCCTTTCCACATTGTCTCCCAAAAGACTCCAGGAGTGACAATCTGACTGTTCAACTGGAATCAGCCTGCTGAGGGTGTAGCTACCTATCGACTAAGCCCATTAACACATTACAGCAGCTAAAAGATGTGCCTAAAATAATGCCACTCTTTCATCTGCAGCTCCCAGAACCACTTTGCAGAACAGAAACCTGCCTGGCAGATATTATAGGAACAATTCATTTAACGTTTACAAGACCTACAATGGTTATCAATACCAATCAATCTCTCAAGTGATAAATTAAGCATGGATTATACTTTTTTTTGTTTTGTATCTCAAAGACAAAATGACTTGGATTAGCACCTTAATATTAGAGGTAAAATCCACAATTGGTACTCTTTACAAAAGTCATGAAACCAGTCCTATTTATCCAGTGAAGACCATGCATAGAGCCCAGGATCTCTAGGTCATTTTCTTTCTCCACAAATAACCAACAAAAAAAAAGTTCTCTCTGTGCATTCTTCTAAGGTTTTAGCAGCCTGCAAACCTGTGGGGACAAATATGGCTTTCTAAAATTTGACTTGTAAAAAAAGAATCTGTGAGTAGCTCTTATTATAGGTTATGTTTAGTTTATATTACCCTATTTCCTGCTTAAAAGAAAGCAAAACACCCAAAGGCTAGAACTGGACATTTTTGAAGATAACAAAAATAGTTATGGCTCTAAATTTTTTTTATCAGTTGGGAATCCCAGCTTAGATCCCTGCCACCTGCTTATGGAAACTTTCTAGAAGCTCTATGGAAGGCCAACAGGGAGAAAAAAACTAAGGTTTGCTGCCTCTGCCAAGGCACCTTGGAAAAACATAGAAGCAGCAAATCCCCATATAGTGCCCCCTTTTGGCTAGCCCTCACTGTCTTCATGAAGCTATGGGTCGATATATTTATCTATGGAAAAATAACAATAGCTATCATACATTAAGCATGTACTATCTGTCAGGCATTACATACATTGTCTCTTTTTAACTTGACAATTGTTCTTTGAGGTATATTTGATTCCCATTTTTCATACCGTTATGTAAAGGTTTAGAGAGGCTAAGAATCTTCTCAAGGTCACATAAACAGTAACTGAAAAAGGCAGGATTCAAATCCAGTTCTGTCAGTCTCCAAAGCCCATGCTCTCTGCCATTACACCTCATTGCCTCCCGAGAAACCATTGTACTTATTTCAGAAGCTTAATCTGCTCTGTAAAATTAGTCAAGACAACATGTGGGCAACTCAGTTTAAGCTCTCTATGTCCAAGCACCTGCTTTGTAACTCATGTCCTGGACCACAGGACATTAACAGCCATACCAGCAACAGAGGGGCACCAAGCTTTAAAGTTTCAATCCCAACCAACTTGTTTTTCAGGTGCCCTGTTATTCTCCACTATTTAAAGAGTTATGTGGAGTTTTCAGTCTAACAGGACCCTTCTCTCCATGGCAACAAAACAAACTAACCCCTCAAAATACGTTCTGAGTATATTTCAGTTTAAGTATATCACAATTCAAACCCCATCCCAAACCAAACTAATTGCTGGGATTATTTTTACTTTTCATAGAAATTCAAAAGTATTTTGGTTTAATTTTAAATTCAGATAACTGAACACTACATCTTATACCTACAACCTGAAGTACAGTTAGATCACGTCCCTGCATTAATTTGCCAAAGTTACATTAGCCAATTCGTAGAAGATAGCAAATGGAGACAGACCACATGAAGTTCTTTATACAATTATACTCCTATTAAACAAGCTCAAATAAATATAAATTATAAAAACCCTATGTTTAGCATTAGTGTACAGGTTTACATAAGTATTATTCAAGGTACTATACAATGATATTATAGCAAGCACTATATGAAATTGAGTAAAAAGAGCCTTGAGACAATTCATGACTTTTGGAACTGATCATGTCATGTTCCAAGAAAATAGCTCAAAAGAAAGAATGAAGACAGTTGTACAAAATGTCCCTTTGCAGCACTATTTAAATGGCAAAAAAATGAAAACTCAAGTGCCCAGCAAGGGAAGAAATGGCTTCACAAGCTTTATGATAAGCTTGTAAACATGATAACCTTTGAAAGAGAGGCACTCAGCCTCTATTAGTACCTAGTCACAGTAAATAAAATTAAGTGAAAAACTGCATAACAATAAAAATAACAAAAAGCTATGTAATATATATGTCACTGTTCAACTTTGCACTGGCCTATTCTCTTTATGATAATTTATTGAGACATATATTTGTGTACTTTTCTATAAATATTTCAATAAACTTCTAAAATGTATTGCAGAATTTTTATAAAATTTGGAGGCAAAACTACTTATATTCATGGAATAATTAACCTTTCACTCATCAAAAACTAGTAACAAATAAAACCAATCAATAGTTTCAGCTTTTGGCATGGTTGCACTTGGTAAACTTAATGCAATCACAGAGTCTGTCTTCACAGGACCTGAAAAAAGTAATAAAAGGCTATTTGAGAGTTTCAGGGATAGACAAACTTACACAGCATCATCAGCTAAAGAAAAGTGTCTTATTATATAACTAAGGAGCTGGTGATTTGTCTTCTCTTCAACATCTATTTTCAGTATGTAGATAAGCCTCTTCTTACACATCACTGCCAGGTCAAACCAAAGAGTATGCATTGAGTGCCTAATTTGGGCAGTGTGCTGAACATAGGTGGAAGCTATAGAGCTGCAAATCTCAGAAAGGGAGGCTACCTGGGTACCCAAATAATGTCACTTGGCAGTACTGCCTTGGTGGGGCTAACAGCACTCAGGATCTCGTTCTCAGCATTTCAGAGCATAAACTCACTTCTGTCCAGGTACACAGAATTGGCCAGGTTCTCAAGGACAGACTCTTACTGGCCAAGCACTTGAAACACCAATCTGTGATCCCAGAAACTCCATGTATTATTATTTTAGTAATGATATTCTTGACTGACCTGCTTCTGCCTCCTGTTTAGGACCTTATTCCAGATATCCAGGTATCTTGGAAGACAGTCAGTAATTAGCTCTCTCAGTAAGTGATATGGTTTGGATTTGTGTCCCTGCCCAAATCTCATGCTAAATTGAAGGAGGGGCCTGGTCGGATGTGATCAGATCACAGGGGAAGATTTCCCCCTTGCTGTTCCCTTGATAGTGGATGAGTTCTCATGAGATCTGATGGTTTAAAAGCATGTGGCACTTACCCCTTCTCTCTCGCTCTCTCACTCTCTCTCTCTCTCTCTCTCTGTCTCTCTCTGTCTGTCTCTCTCCTGCTCTGCCATGGCAATACATGGTTGTTTTCGCTTCACCTTCTGCTATGATCGTAAGTTTCCTGAGGCCTCCCAGTCATGCTTTCTGTTAAGCCTGTGGAGCTATGAGTCAATTACACCTCTTTTATTCATAAATTACCCAGTCTTGGGTAGTTCTTTATAGCAATGTGAGAACAGACTAATACAGTAAGAATGGACTCAAAGCCAAAGAAGGGAATCCTAAGGCGGGTTTCATGTTCTTTGTGAGCCCCTATACCTGGCATTCTACTACTAATATACAACCAATCACACTGATGGAAGGTAGTAATTTATACAATTTTCTTCCTATGAACTTCCTATGTACTCTTAAAGAGCAGGAGCCATGCTTTAGATGCACAATAAATGTATGTCAAATTAAAATTGTTGAACTGGACGCTCTTTACCCCAAAATGCAGCGCAGACTGATCAGAACACTAGTGCTTGTCAGATCCACTGTGCACATCTCCTTTAGTAAGTAAATTCTTCTGGCTATGAAGTGGAGAAAAAATTGGAAGATAAGTGGAGATGCCAGTAGGCCAATTAAGGAGCTAATCAGTAATTTAGGCAAGAAACAATTGTGGGTGGATAAATAATTGTTATAAATTCCTTAATGGAAAACTACACAATAGTGAAAAAGAACAAACTATTGATCTATGCAACAACATGGGTGAATCTCATAGACATACTTTTATGAAGCCAGGTCCTAGAAACATACACTATGATTTCATTTATACTCATTTCAAGAACAAGCAAAACTAATTTATGGTGATAAGATCAAAATGCGTTTTCATTGGGAGGATATTAACTGAGATGGAGTATGAGGAAACCCTCTAGGATGCTAGAAACATTCCCTTCTTGATCTGGGCAGTGCCCATAAGGACGTATATGTGATGTATATGTATATGCACCTAAAATGTGGGCTCTTTATTGCATTGTGATCTTTTCTGTAAGCTCTTTATCTTATGTAAAAAAAAGTTTTGAAATATTGTTGGTGGGCTGGCCTAAGGTTGTGGCAGTAGAGACTAGCAGGAGTAAATAGATATTGAAGGGATATTTAAGAGATAAAGTCATTAAGAAAAAATGAGTTAATGCCTGTAAAGTGTTTAGCACAGTGCCAGGAATATAGTAAAACTCAACAAATGTTTGTTTATGATTATTGTTATTGCCTAAAGAGGTTGACAAGAGAATTAAATTACATAATGTATGTAAAACACTTCAATCCCAGCATGGGATTTGGGAAATTCTTCATTAATAGTAGCTTTAATTGTTTTCATTGATTAGGCCATAACTTTTTTCCACATTCATTCTGCCCTGTTAAACCCTGCTCTTCTTTCAGTTATCTGGAAGATAAACTATACTAAGGTACTTATGGAAAATTCATTTCATCCCCTACTGTGAGTTAAATGAATTTAACTAAATACACATACATAGTCACCTACATATTGGTCCCCAAGGGATTCTAAGGAATTTTTCTTGATAAACTTCACCAGAAGCACTGAGATACTAAGTTGACGTATGTACACTTTTACTCTCTTTCTGGTTGCTACTTTGTCACATCAGGACTGTTAGCACCATTTCTTGCAATAGTGTGTCAAGAGACTCCCTGATAGGGTTAAAGCTCCTTAGCATTGTGTGGGAAAGGACATCCTAGCACTATCTGCCAGGCCTGCAATTCTATTAAACTGTCAGCATGATAAATGACAAAGAGAAGGCATCAGGGAGAAAATCTACAGTAAAGCACTGTGGTCATAAAACAAGAAGAACCAAAAAAGGATTTAGGGCAAGTACACAAACCATCCTTTATGATAAAATTTTCCTTTGCAAGGAGAGAACAAAGCGACTGAACTATAAACTCCTGAGTCCAAGCAGAAGGCAGTGATACCGTCAGTCATCCCTCCACCCCAATGTGTGGCTCACAGATCAGTGATGCACGATCCAGCAGTCCCACCTCTACTTCCAACCAGGCCTCTTGGGGCTCAGTGAAAACACACTTAGTCCACGAAAGAGATGGTATTTTAAAAGGTGGTTACTCTGTGCATCCCTTTTGCTAATGAAGAAATAATTTCTCAAATGGAAAATAATTTGGTTACTGCTTTTGAACCACAAATTATCTCCAGAGAGCAGTTACCCAGAGCATCACTGCCTTGCTTCTAAATGTAGCCCCCACAAATGGTATCATCTATAAACAGAGCACAAAAATAGGCTTCTGAATATTTGGGTTTTGGAATGAGTTCCAGTGAGTCTCATTTAGAAGTTTCCAGGTATTTATACCAATATGAAAAATAATATTGACTCTGGATGCAAACAGATGACTACTGAAGTGCTAAGAAATTTAAATATCTTTGAATATATCTTCTTCAGGTAGCAATGAAACTGGTAGCAGCAAAATCATGAGTAATCTCCATGCCCTGTCATGTTTCCAGAAGCATCCCTAGTGAGTGATTGTTTTAAACAGAAACTCTGTAGCCACTCAAAAGTAACAACTTGTATTTATATAGTCAGGTTTTCCAGACACTTCAACCAAGACTAGCAAAACAAGATTAGTTTGCTAGACTAACAAGGTGGCAGAATAAAAATGAATTATCTAAATAACAAAATTAGGCATATCTGATTCATAAGATTGTTACATCTCTGCATTTTCTGTTTATATGCTATGGCACCACATCAGTGTGCTTGAAAGCTGCAGGTTAAAACACATGCATTCATGGCATACAATTAGGTTTAGGACATACAACGATTTTCTGTCTGAGTTTAAGAAAGGTGGTATTGGGGTGTTTTATTACCTTGGAAATAGAAAGTTAATAACTATGTTAACCAGGAGGGTATGTGGGTGCTTTGATCAGATCATTACTTGGACAAAAACTAGAAGAAAACAGAGATGCAGGAAGCAGACCCATGAAAACATCTTGTCTCTTCTAATATATAGGCATATGATGCAACTATTCATCCACTTCAAGTGAGGCAACAAGCACTTAAAATATTTGACAGTTGTTCCAGCTACTCAATTTGCATGTCAACATTTCTGTAATATTAAAGGACAGAGAAATGAGATCAGCAACTTCAGTAAGAGCCCTATTGCTTTTTAACAACTTATTCAATATGGAAATAAATATCCAGTTTTTTAATACATTTCCCGCATGTTGACTTAATGGTCTGGTTAATCTTTGTCATGTATTTTCTTAATAGGTTTTCTAGGAATATCTTTCGATATTTATGTAAATCAGAATTCATGGCTTAAAGCCAGTTTGGAAAGGGGTTGGAGTCTCCAGAAGAGCTGCAGGATCATGCCTCCAGAGTGAATTTTGCTCCTATCTTGCTCCTAGTTGCCATCAAAACACCTCTCTACTACTCCTAAGCTCTCAAAATTCCTAAGTCAGGCACTCACTGAGTCTGTGGTGCCCGTGGGGACACAGCACATGACAGGAGGAGAAGCAGTGCTGTGTGGTATGAGAAGCAACAGGCTTTGATCACAGCCCTCGCATTTGCTAACTCTGAGATTTTATGAAAATTATAATACTAGTTATCCTTTTCTCACTGTCTACCTGCCATTGCCACGTATTACACGAAGCACTTCATACTCATCATCTCATTTAATCCACTGAAAAATCTCCATTTCCTGCATTATTTCCCGTTTTTCACATAAGAAGTCTGAGGTTCAGAGAAGTTGGTAACTTGCCCCAGGTCCCAGAGAGGAAGCAACAGGTCTAATCTGAGTGTTAAACTGGCTCATAACCAGCAGTACTGCTCCAGGTGTGTTTCACCTTTGAAATTGCATAATAGCACCTTCTAGCATAGTTCAGTTCACAGAGAAGCTGTGAGGAACCAATAAGCACACAACATGTGAAACTCTTTGAGAACCATAAAGTGCTACACAAGTGTACAAGATATGTACAATTCCAAATCATTTAACTTCAGACGGATACAGAATATCCGTCTGAAACTGGATTAAGCGAAAAGAATGTCATTGGCTTGTGAAACTAGCAAACCCAAGGCTGAATGGAGCACAGCTGAACTCAAGGGCTCAGATAAAGCTGTTTGCTGAGGTTTCCTCTCCCTGTCTCTGGGCCCCACTTTTGCTTTGGTGGCATTCTTGGGTTTTTGTCCTGGGTGGTGGTGTGTCCAGAGTTGGTTCCTGCCGGTGGGTTCGTGGTCTCTCTGACTTCAAGAATGAAGCCGTGGACCTTTGCGGTGAGTGTTACAGCTCTTAAAGATGGCACGGACCCAAAGTGTGAGTGGTAGAAAGGTTTATTGTGAAGAGCGAAAGGACAAAGCTTCCACAGAGTGGAAGGGGACCCAAGTGGGTTACCACTGCTGGCTAGGGTGGCCAGCTTTTATTCCCTTATTTGTCCCCTCCCATGTTCCATTTTTGTCCGATTAGAGTGCCCTTTTTCCCAAGCCTCCCTGCGATTGGCTACTTTTAGGATCCTACTGATTGGTACATTTTACAGAGCACTGATTGGTGCATTTTACAGAGCACTGATTGGTGCGTTTTACAGAGCACTGTTTGGTGCATTTTACAATCCCATTGCTAGCTACAGAGACTTTCTCCAAGGCCCCACTGGGGACCCAGGAAGTCCAGCTGGCTTCACCTCTCAGTGGCAGAACTTTCAACCTCATCTCCAGGCAGGAAAAGAAGGACATTGTCCCACAGCTCCAGCAAACATCCGAGGATTCTTTCTGATTCTGTCACAGGCCCACCCCTGAACCAATCACTGGAGTCAGAGGGTGGAGTGATACACCAATTTGTTTAGGTCGGGGTCATGTGCTCACCTCTGGCCCCCACACTAAATCAGCTTCCCACACACAACCTGGACCTGGGGAGGTGGTTCCCCAAGGAAAGTGCCCCTCTCTTTCTAGAAGAGAGACTCCATATTGGGAAGCCACACAGAAAAACATTGGCTAAATATTTTAATAAAAACATTGAGCTTCACATTGGTTTAAAAGATAATGACAGAGAATGCCTAACAAGGCACAGGCAAAGATTTCCTGACAAAAATGCCAAAAGCAATTGCAACAAAAGCAAAAATTGACAAATAGGATCTAATTAAAGAGTTTCTGCACAGCTAAAGAAACTATCATCGGAGTGAACAGGAAACCTATAGAATAGGAGAAAATTTTTGCAGTCTATCCATCTGACAAAGGTCTAATATCCAGAATCTACAAGGAACTTAAACAAATTTACAAGAAAAAAAACCCATTAAAAAATGCACAAAGGACACGAACAGACACTTCTCAAAAGAAGACATACATGCAGCCAACAAACATATGAAAAAATGTTTAACATCACTGATCATTAAAGAAATGCAAATCAAAACCACCCACAATGACATACCATCTCACGCCAGTCAGAATGGCTGTTAAAAAATCAAAAAACAGCAGATGCTGGTGAGGTTGCAGAGAAAAAGGAGTGCTTTTACACCATTGGTGAGAGTTTAAATTAGTTCAAGCATTGTGGAAGACAGTGTGGCGATTCTTCAAAGACCTAGAGGCAGAAATACCATTTGTCCCAGCAATCCCATTACTGGGTATATATCCAAAGGATTAGAAATCATTCTGTTATAAAGATACATGCATGCATATGTTCATTGCAGCACTATTTACAATAGCAAAGATCTGGAATCAACCTAAATGCCCATCAATGATAAACTGGATAAAGAAAATGTGGTACATATACAACATAGAATACTATGCAGCCATAAAAAAGAATGAGATCCTGTCTTTTGCAGAGACATGGATGGAGCTGGAAGCCGTTATTGCCAGCAAACTAATGCAGGAACAGAAAACCAAACACCACATGTTCTCACTTATGAGTAGGAGCTGAATGAGGAGAACACATAGACACATTGGGGGAGAACAACACACGCTGGGGCCTGGGTAGTGTGGGTGGGGTAGGGGAAGGGAGAGCATCAGGAAGAATAGCTAATGGATGCTGGGCTTAATACCTGGATGATCTGTGCAGCAAACCACCATGGCACACATTTACCTATCTAACAAACCTGCACATCCTGCACATGTACCTCTGAACCTAAAAGTTGAAGAAAAATAAATAAAATGTTAAAAGAGAATGCCTAATAAATAATATTTGCGAATATATGTAGAGTGCTCCAATGTTAGAAAATGCTTCCACGTATGCTATATCATTTTATTCTCATTATACCCTTACCAAGTATAAATCATATTACAGATGAGCAAACTGTCTCAGCATAGTTAAGAGACTAACCCTAAGCCACCCAGCTGATAAGATGCAAAGCCAGAATTTCAGTGAAGGTCTTCTGACCTCCACTCAGTACTCAGTACTGTCTCTCATGAAACCTCTGAGAGACTGCTGTGAGTTTAATACTGTGGATTTTGATTAAATGTTCCCTGGAAGCAAATTTGCCTTAAAGAAGGCATCAGTAAGCACAAAAGTTCAGGTGCCAACACCTTTCTGTCCTTTACTTTGGGGAAATATTAAACTGTCCCTTTGAGTGTAGACATTCAAATCAAAACATGCCATCCAATACTTCTTTACTATACTGTACTCAGATATCTCTGGTGGCAATCTAAATTGTTTGTCCAGTCCTTTTGAGAAAGCAATTTGGTGATAATATCAAGGGTCATAAAAATGTTCATATCCTTTAACTTGAAATTCTACTCTGGCTGGGCGCGGTGGCTCACGCCTGTAATCCCAGCACTTTGGGAGGCCGAGGTGAGCAGATCACCTGACGTCAGGAGTTTGAGACCAGCCTGACCAACATGGAGAAACCCTGTCCCTACTAAAACTTCAAAATTAGCCAGATGTGGTAGCGCATGCCTGTAATCCCAGCTACTCGGGAGGCTGAGGCAGGAGAATTGATTGAACCTGGGAGGTGGAGGTTGTGGTGAGCCGAGATCACGCCATTGCACTCCAGCCTGGGCAACAAGAGCGAAACTCAGTCTCAAAAAAAAAAAAAAGAAGAAGAAGAAGAAGAAATTCTACTCCCAAGAACTTATCCTATGGGAACGATTCAAATAAATGAAGAAAAAAATCATGTGTATAAAAATATTCATAGCACCATTAACTGTAGCAATAAATGTTAGAATTAAAAGAGATGATATATGTAAAGTGCTTAACAGGATGCCTAGTAATCAATCAGCATAGACTGCTGTAATCCCCTACTTACTCTTGAATGCTAATGAGCCTTCACATTTTGTGCCATCTGCATGGAAAGCTCTTCCTCCCTGATACCTGCATCACTCCCTCTCTCCTTTCCTTCAAGTCTTCTTAAATGGGACCCCATCAGAGAGGCCTTCCCAAACCACCCTTTCTACACAACACATCTTTGCTGACGTTTTTCTACCTCCTCACCCTGCCTTATTATTTTAGTATATATTTCTACCTCATATGTTACATGTTTATTAGGTTTTTTTATTGTCTTTCTCTCCCCCAAAAGAAGGCAAGCTCCATGAGGGCAGAGACTTTGATTAGTTTGCTGCAATGTGTTGAGCATCTGGTACACTGCTGAGTAAATAATTTTTTCTGTCTTTATGCTTCATCTTCAACCCTTGGTTTTGTAGTAGGGAAGAGAGATCAGGTTCAACTCTCAACACAATAAGGAAAAGTGGGAATTTGTAGCCAAGGAACAGGGGAAAGGGGATCAACAGATGGAAAATTCTTAAGAGAAAACATCAGGAGTAAGAGAGGATTCTGGCTATCAGAATTCTTGCTAAAGGCAAGCCAGACCTCACCTGGGGAATATGTGGGAAGATTAGGAAACTGATCAGATTTTGGCTAAACTGACTTAGCAAGATTCTTGATAACATTGGACAATGTAAAGATAAACATGGAAGCTCAGAAGTCAGAACATAGTTTAGAAAGTTCAGAGGAGCCTAATTACAGTTTGATCAAGGGGAGAATCTTTGTCAATATCCATCTTCCCTTCCCAACTGCCTGCCCTGCAGACCTCAAGATCCATCATCAGATATGAAGAAGGCAGCCTTATAGAAACTGTTTAGCCCAATACATCATGAAAACCTAATTTAATCTAATTAATGTCTCATTTAAGTGTTAGTCCACTGTCATAAGACAAGATTTATTAACAAAAGTCTAAAGTGCAATAGCAAGAAATCTAGAAATCTCTGACAAGAAAAAATTATGTAAAAACATATTTACTCTGAATAAAATGAAAGCTTATCAGTGAGATTGGAGATCTATTCTAACAGGTCGTTTAAAACTCATTTCCACAGGCCTTCTTATGACCCAACAATAGATTTTCCTGAGCATATCTATCTCAAAAAATCTTTTGATTCTGTCACTTGACAAGAATTTCTTAAGTTCTATCTCTAAACAACTTAATTAACTGGCTTAGAGATTGAAGAATATTCTTGCAAAGAAAAGAAAAAAAGTGCTGCTTTTAGAGCTTGTTATTAGCTTGGGAAAGTGGAATCACTCAGTAACTGAACAAAGAATAACTATAAATATTTAGTAGTTTAATATTCTGATGCAACTCTGCATCAATTTGTCACACTGATAGATCCATTAACAATTTAAGCCTGGTCTGCACAAGCTCTGAATTATTCATTTCACCATAAAACTGTCAACATCTCTGGAAGGTGTATCTATTGGTGGTAAAGTTATACTAATGTGCATTTATGGTGGTAGAAGAAAAAACAACAACCAAAACAACCATAACCCTCTCTCCTGCTCGGTCTGTTGAGAAAGTTCTCAACTTCCTAATGAAAATTTGGACAGTTTTGTTATCCATAAAGGAAGCAAACGGTATTCTCAGATTTCTCTTGAGTTGATGTAATGGTCAGAGCAATTACATGGACTCCCATGTTCCACTCCAAGATTGGGATACTCACACAAATGCAAGACAGTGAATGAGCAAGAAGTTTAACACCAAAGCAAAGTCAAACTGATTTCAAATTTCTGTTAACTTTATCTATATCTGAAAAGAGTTAATGGGAGAAACATTGAAGTGGGCTTTGGATCTCTTTGCCTTTTTGTAGGTTGACACTATTAGGATTTTCTGTGTCAGGATCTAGGATAAATTTTTTTACATGTATCATCTTCAATCCACAGCCCCGCTAGGTGGATACCGTTATTCTCTCCCATTTTAAAGATGAGGCAAGTGAGGCTCAGAGTTAAAGCACTTATTCCAAAGTCACAAAACTAGGAAGTGATGGTGCAGATCCCAGCACCAACCCAGATGCTGGGATCTGCTCTGACTCTATCCCAAAAACCTATGCTTTTCATTACTTCTCCATGTAGCTTCAACTTTGCAAGGAGCAAATATAGAAAGACCACAAAGAAAAGGCTATTTTGTGTCTTTATGACATGACTTTTGTTTTATTCATCTCATGCTGCAGGACAAATCAACCCAAAACTTAGTGGTATGTAACAATAAGAATAATTTTATCTCATAATCTCATGTTATGTGGGTCAAAAATTTGGGCGTGTCTTTGGCTAGGTGGTTTTGGCTTGAGCCTCTCATGAGTTGCAGTTAGACATCCACTGGAAGTTTACCAATCTGAATTATTAACTGGGGCTGGAGGATCTGCTACGAAGGTGACTCACTCTGATGCCTGCCAAGTTGGTGCTGGCTGTCGGCAGCAGGCCTCAGTTTCTCTCCATGTGAGCCTCTCCACAGGGCTACTTGAATGTCCTCATATAATGGCTGGTTTTCCACATGGAATGAGCTGCCCATGACACCAAGGGTGAAGCTGCAATGTCTTATATGATCTAGCCTCAGAAGTCATGCAATGTTCTTCCACAGTATTTCTATCAGTCATAAAGGTCAACCCTGATTCAGTGTGAAGGAAACCATGCAAGGGTGTGAATACCAGGAGGTCAGGATCTGCAGGGGAATCTTGGAGGCTGGTTACCTCAATCCTGCTAGTCCTCTGGCACTTAGCAGATTACATTCTGCCTGTAACAGTGTTTGAGTTGCCTCTGTGGCCATGCAGAGTTAGAAAGTCAGGAACTTATTGCAAAACTACTGAACCTTAGAGTACTTTTAGCTGGTGGTGTGAATGCCAGCATCTGAAAGCAGGTGTGCTCAGACTCAGCTCCAGCAGATGAGGGAGGGTTTTCTAGCCTGTCTGGAGTGAGTGGCCACTGAAAACAATAGCAGTTAAAGAAAGATGCTTTTACAAGATGGAATCTTTAGAGAGAAAAGGAGGTCAACATGAAAAAGACAGTGGAGAGCAGATCAGAGAGGATGTGCCAGCTACAGGAGACAGGAGCATGATGAAAATGGAAGAACAGGGGAAAGGGTATGGGCAGAAGGGAAAGCAAGTTTAAAAGGGTTTGAAGCAAAGGCATCAAACTCCAAAAGACAGAGCCCTGACAATGAGTTGGTAAGAAGGAGGCTTGTACCCAGGGCATTCCGCACAGCATGAGGGCAGGAGATCAGAAAGAGGACACAGAAACGGAACCAGAACACACGTCTAGCACTGTAGGCATGAGGACAGTGTGCATCCCCCTGGTGACCAAAACTCAGCCTAAACCTTGACAGGGTATACTTTCAAAAAACTTTTTATCACAAAAGTAATACAATACATGTGCTGAAAATTCAGAGAGTGCAGAAATAATAAAAACAGAAGGTAGAAGTCCACCATACCCTAAAGATGACTGCCACTTACAATTTGGTATATGGCCTCTCAGGCCTTTTCTGAGACTGTGCAGCCACATAGAGAAATGTATAAGACTGGCCTGCATATATTGTACTGCACTTGCTCTTTTCACATAATAGCATAGCTTTCACATCTCTCTGTATCAGTCAGTAACTACAGAAATGCCCCATTCTTTTTTAAGTTTTTTGGTATTCTGTCTTATGATTGTTGCATGACTTATTTAACCAGTGCCCTAACAGGACATTTGAATTGTTTCTTATTATTTACCACTATAAATAATGCTTGAGGAAACATCTTTGTACAAATATCCTTACATATTTGTGGGAGAATTTCTACGGAAAAATTCCAAAAAGTGGGATTGCTGGATTAAAAAGTATGCATATTCAAATTTTCAATAAATGTTGCCTTACTGAAAAGTTGTATCAATTTGCATGCAGGTATCTTACATTGGATATCTATGGCTAACATCCGAGCAAACTCAACTATAAGCTTATTCATAATATTGTCAAATATTCCTAAGCTGTGTGTCATGATAAAAATTATATGTATTTGGAAAGGGTCATTACATTGCAGGGTAAAATACGTCCAATGATCAAAGCATCGTACTTATTCAAGTAATCATGTATGTGTTTCCACAGATTTGAGCTGTACACATTAAATGCTTCCCGGATACAACAGGATCCAGCCCAAAAGCCACAGTGTCTCTTTGACCTTCCCTTTGCTTTCCAATAACCAATATTCTTCAGGCATTTCTTCTATCAATAAAAAGTATCTGATAAACCATAATCACTTTAGTATGTATTGGTTGCATTTGTGACCCTTTATGGAATAATTTGCAAGATTTATTTATTTGATTTTAGATATGGGAATCTCTCTTGCTCTGTTGTCCAGGCTGAGGGGCAGTGGTGCAATCATAGCTCACTGCAGCCTCAAACTCCTGGACTCAAGTGATGATCATTAACATTTCTTTGGCAATACAGTATTTTTTAAAGTATGCACTTTTTAGGTATAATGCTATTGTACACTTTATAGACTACAGTTTAGTGTAAACATAACTTTCATATGCACTGGAAAAACAAAATCTGTGTGGCTCACTTCATTAAAATGTTGACTTTGTTGTGGTGGTCTGGAATCAAACCCACAATATATATTTCTGAAGTGTGCCTGTATCCACTTTGGGGCAGGGGAGAAGGAAACTATCCACTTCAGTTGCCAGGAAAACAGAAATCCTCTTCTTAGCAAATAGTGACTAAGGAAAACCCATCAAAGCATTACTTTATGTGAATTAAATTCCAAAAACATGGGTTAAAATGTGGTTCCCATCTTATATTAGCATTAACAATCCCTATACTCCTTATTTGAGGGGCATAGGTTAATTAATAAAAGAACTGTTTGGAAACAGTTCTTTTGTATACATCTTTGGACACTGTTAAGCCATTAGTGTTTGCTTGCCTATTCATTCAACACATATTTGCAGAACCTGTATGAATAAGGCACTGTTAGAACTACTGTGGGAACCATCCTAGGTGCTGAAAGAGATACATGCATAACCAGGATACTTTTAAAAATAATAATAAACCTTATTTTTTTTTATTTTACGTTCTGGGATAAATGTACAGAACGTGCAGGGTTGTTACATAAGTATATGTGTGCCATGGTGGTTTGCTGCACCTATTGACCCGTCCTCTAAGTTCCCTCCCCTCACCCCCACCTCCCAACAAGCCCTGGTGTGTGATGTTCCCCTCTCTGTGTTCATGTGTTCTCATTGTTCAACTTCCACTTGTAAGTGAGAAAATGAGGTGTTTGGTTTTCTGTTCCCATGTTAGTTTGCTGAGGATGATGGCTTCCAGCTTCATCCATGTCCCTGCAAAGGACATGATCTCATTCATTTTTATGGCTGCATAGTAGTCCATGGTTTATAAGTACCACATTTTCTTAATCCAGTCTATCATTGCTGGGCATTTGGGTTGATTCCATGACTTTTCTATTGTAAATAGTGCTGCAATAAACATATGTGTGCATGTGTCTTTAGAGTAGAATGATCTATATTCCTTTGGGTATATACCCAGCAATGGGATTGCTGAGTTAAATGATATTTCTCGTTCTAGATCCTTGAGGAATTGCCATACTGTCTTCCACAATGGTTGAACTAATTTACATTCCCACCAACAGTGTAAAAGCATTCCTATTTCTCCACAGCCTTGCCAGCATCTATTGTTTCTTGACTTTCTAATAATCACCATTCTGAAGAGATGGTATCTCGTTGTGGTTTTGATTTGCATTTCTCTAATGATCAATAATGTTGAGCTTTTTTTCATATGTTTGTTGGTGGCATAAGTGTCTTCTTTTGGTAAGTGCCTGTTCATATCCTTTGCCCACTTTTTGATGGGGTTGTGTTTTTCTTGTAAATTTGTTTCAGTTTCTTGTAAATTCTGGATATTAGCCATTTGGCAGATGGATAGATTGCAAAAATTTTCTCCCATTCTGTAGGTTGCCTGCTCACTCTAATGATAGTTTCCTTTGCTGTGCAGAAGCTCTTTAGTTTAATTAGATCCCATTTGTCAATTTTGGCTTTTGTTGCCATTGTTTTTGGCGTTTTAGTCATGAAGTCTTTGCCCATGCCTATGTCCTGAATGGTATTGCCTGGATTTTCTTCTAGGATTTTTATAGTTTTGGGTTTTACATGTGAGTCTTTAATCCATCCTGAGTTAATTTTTGTATAACGTGTAAGGAAGGGATCCAGTTTCAGTTCTCTGCAAATGGCTAGCCAGTTTTCTGAGCACCATTTATTGGATAGGAAATCTTTTCCCCATTGCTTGTTTTTGTCAGGTTTGTGGAAGATCAGATGATGGTAGATGTTTGGTGTTATTTCTGAGAATAAACCTTATTTTTAGAACAGTTTTGGGTATGCAGCAAATTTAGTGAAAATGACAGAGAATTCCTGCACACCATCTGTTTTTGCACATGGACAACCTCCCCCACTATCAGCACCCCACCCCATAGTGGTATATTTGTTATAATCAATGAACCTATGTTGACATATTTTTATACAAAATCCATAGTTTACATTACGGCTCACTTTTGGTGCTCTACATTCTATGGGATTTGATAAATATATAGTAACAAGTATCCCCATTTAGTATCATACTGAAATATGATACTAAACAGTTTCATAGCCCTAAAAATCCTCAATGCTCCACCAATTTACCCCTCCTCCCCTTCAACCCCTGG
The DNA here is from genome assembly GCF_000001405.40 of Homo sapiens. NCBI lineage: Eukaryota > Metazoa > Chordata > Mammalia > Primates > Hominidae > Homo > Homo sapiens. The sequence continues at coordinate 57,909,472 of NC_000014.9, forward strand.
CAACCATTGATCCTTTTCCTATCTCCACGGTGTTGCCTTTTCTTTTCTAAAATGTCATACAGTTGGAAATACACACACACACACACACACACACACACACACACAAACACACAGATCGGTTTCTTTTCATTATTAATATGCATCAAAGGTTCTTTCATGTCTTTCCATGGTTTGATAGCTCATATTTTTTACCACTGGATAATATTCCACTGTCTGAATGTAACACAGTTCATTTATCTCTTTGCCTACTGAGGGATATGTTGGTTGCTTCCAAGTTTTGGCAATTATGAATAAAGCTGCTATGAACATCTGTGTGCAGATTTTTATGTGGACATAAGTTTTCAATTATTTTGGGTAAACACCAAGAAGTGCAATTCCTAGATCATATGGTAAGAGTATTTTTAATTTTGTAAGAAACTGCCAAACTGTCTTCCAAAATGGCTTTACTATTTTCATTCCTGTCAGCAATGAATGAGAGTTCAGAATTTGGTGTTATCAGTGCTTTGGAATTTGGCTATTCTAATAGGTATGTTGTAGTATCTCACTGTTGTTTCAATTTACAATTCCCTAATGATATATGATCTTCAACATTTTTTCGTATATTTCCGTGCCATCTGTATGTCTTCTTTGGTGAGGTATCTGTTCAAGTCTTTTGCCTATTTTTTTTATCAGATTCTTCATTTTCTTATTACTGAGTTTTAAGAATCCTTTGTATATTTTGTATATCAGTCCTGTATCGGATGTGTCTTTTGCAATATTTTCTCTTAGAATTTGGCTTGTCTTCTCATTCTTTTAACATTGTATTTTGCAGAGAAGAAGTGTTTAATTTTAATGAAGCCTAGCTTATCAATTACTTCTTTCATGTATCATACCTATGGTGTTGTACCTAAAATATTATCATCATACCCAAGGTCACTTAGGCCTTATCCAATGTTGTCATCTGGGAGTTTTATATTTTTGCATTTTAGATTTAGTTCTATAATCTATTTTGAAGTAATTTTTATGAATGGTGTAAGATCTGTGTCTGGAGTCAATTTTTTGTGAATGGATGTCCTGTTGTTCTAGAATCTTTTGTTGCGAAGACTATCTTTGCTCCTTTGTCATAGATTAGTTGACTATATTTATGTGGTTCTACTTTTCAGATCTCTATTCTGCCCCCATTGAACTATTTGTCTAGTCTTTTGCCAAATACACACTGTTTTGATTACTATAGCTTTGTAGTAAGTCTTGAAGTTGGGTAATGTGAGTCCTCCAACTTTGTGCTTCTCCTTCAATATTTTATCAGATAATCAGGCTCTCTTGCCTCTTCATATAAGCTTTAGAATCATCAATATCTATAAAATAACTTGCTGGGATGTTTATTGGGATTGTGTTGAATCTAAAGTTGGACAAAAAGTGACATTATAACAATACTGAGTCATCCTATTCATGAACATGGAATATGTCTCCATTTATTTGGTTTTTCTTTGTTATCTTTTATCAGAGATTTGTGGTTGTCATCATGTAAACCTTGTATCTATTTACTAGACTTATACCTATGTATTTTATTTGGGGATGCTAATGTAAATTGTAATGTGTTTTAATTTTAAGTTCTACTTGTTCATTTGCTGGTATATAGAAAAGTGATTAAATTTTGTATGTTAACCTTGTATTCTGTAATTTTGCTATAATTGCTTATAAGTTCCAGGGGTTTGGGGTTTCATTATTTTGCTTTTTGCCAATTTTTTTGTTTTCTACATAGACAATAATGTAGAAAAAAGCTATAAACAAATTTTTTTTCCTTCCTAATCTATATATCCTTGATTTCCTTTACTTGCCTTATTGCATTAGCCAGAACTTCTAGTATGATATTGAAAAGCAGTGGTAAGCGGGGACATCTTCACCTTGTTCCTCATCTTAGTGAGAAAGATTCAAGTCTCTCCCCGTTACGTATGATGTTAGCTGTAGGCTTTTTGTAGATGTTCTTTATCAAGTTGAGGAAGTTTTTCTCTATTTTTACTTTGCTGAGAGTGTTTATCATGAATGGGTGTTGGATTTTGTCAACTGCTTTTCTGCATCTATTGATGAGATCATGTGATGTTTTTCTTTGTTAGCCTGTTGATGTAACAGATTACATTAATTGATATTCAAATATTGGACCATCCTTGCAAACCTGGGATAAATCCCACATCGTCATAGCGTATAATTCTTTTTATACATTGTTAGATTCAATTTGCTATTATTTTATTGAGAATTTTTGCATCTATGTTTATGAAAGATACATATAGTTTTCTTATAATGTCTTTGTCTGATTTTTGATATTAGGGTAATACTGGCTTCACAGAATGAGTTAGGAAGTATTTCCTCTGCTTCTATTTTCTGAAATAGATTGTAGATAATTGGCTTAATTTCTTTCTTAACTGTTTGGTAGAGTTTACTAGTGAACACATCTGGGCCTAATGCTTTCTATTTTGGAAGGTTATTAATTATTGATTAAATTTATTTAACAGGTATAGGCTTAATCAGATTGTTTATTTCCTGTTGTATGAATTTCAGCAAATTGTGTCTTTCAAGGAATTAGTTCATTTCATCTAGGTTGTCAAATAAAGTTGTTCATAATATTTCTTTATTATCCTTTTAATGTTTATGAGGTTGTAGCAATATTTTCTCTTTCATTTCTGTTATTAGTAATCTGCACATCTTTTTTCTTAGCCTGGCTAGAAGATTACTAATTTTATTGATCTTTTCAAAGAACCAGCTTTGGGTTAATTTTCTCTATTGATTTCCTATTTTCAGTATCACTAATTTCTGTTCTAATCTTTATTATTTCTTTTCTCCTGCTTACTTTGGATTTAATTTGCACACTTTTTCTAATTTGCTAAGGTAGAAACGTAGATTATTGACTTTTATATTTTTATTAATTTTTAATATAAGCAACTCAAAGCAACAAATTTCCCTTTAGAAACTACTTTTATGCCACAAATTTTGGTATATTGTGTTTTTATTTTATTGTACATTGTGCTTTTATTTAGCCCAAAATATTTTTAAATTTCTCTTGAGATTTTGCCTTTGACCCATGTGTCATTTAGAAGTATGATGTTTAACCTCTAAATATTTTGGGTTTTTCCAGCATCTTTCTGTTGGTGATTTCTAGTTTAATTCCATTATTGTCTGACAATAGACATTGCATGATTTCTATTCCCTTAAATTTGTTAAGCTGTGCTTTATGGCCCAGAATATGGCTTATCTTCATGAATATTCCATGTGAGCTTTAGAATAATGTGAAATCTGCTGTTTTTGGATGAATAGGCTATAGATGTCAATTATATCTACTTGACTGATGGTGCTGATGATTTCAAATCTATTCTTACTAATTTTCAGCCTGCTGGATCTGTCCATTTCTGATGAATATTAAAGTCTTTAACTATAACTATGGATTCACTTATTTCTCCCTGAAGTTCTATCGGTTTCTTTCCTCACATATTTTGATGCTCTGTTGTTAGACACATACACAATAAGGATTGTTATGTCTTTTTTGAGTATTGACCCATTTATCATTATGTAATGCCCCTCTTTATCCCTAATAACCTTCTTTGCTCTGATGTTTGTTCTGTGGAAAATTAATGTACCCACTACCACTTTCTTTTCATTACTGTTAGTATGATATATCTTTTTCAATCCCTTTCCTTTAACCTACTTTGTGTCTTTATATTTAAAGTGTGTTTCTTGAAGACAACATAAAGATGGGTCTTTTTTTTAATTCACTCTGATAAACTCTGTCTTTTAGTTGGTGTACTTAGATCACTGATGTTTAAGTTGATTATTGATATAGTTAGATTAACATCTACCATATTTGTTACTGTTTTCTCTTTCTTACCCTTGTTTTTTATTCTTACTTTTATCTTCTATACTTTTTCTGCCTTTTGTGGTTTCAATTAAGCATTTTATATTATTTTATTTCCGCCCCTTTCTTAGCACACCAATTATTTTTTTCAACGTTTTTTAGTGGTTGTCATAGAGTTTGCAATATACATTTACAACTAATCTAAGTCCACTTTCAAATAACACTATACTACTTTACAGGTTTAGTATTTGAGAAGAAGGTGTAATCTATCGCAGCATAATAACAAAATAACATTAATTCCTCCTGCCCTTCCTTTAATCATTGTTGTCATTCATTTCACTTATATTAATATATAAACATATACACACATAAGCATACATAATCGAGTACACTGCTATTTTAAACAAATTATCTGTTATATTAATTTGGAATTGTTTAAATGCTTCTGTTTTGCCCTCATGTATTCATTCTCCAATGTTTTTCCTTGCTTTATGTACATCTGAGTTTCTAATCTATACCATTTTCTGTCTCTCTGAAGAACTTCTTTTAACATTTCTTGCAAGGCAGGTCAACAGGCAATAAATTTCCTCATTTTTTGTTATCTGAGAAAGTGTTTATTTTTCCTTCACTTTTGAAGGATAATTTTACAAGGTACAGAAATCTAGGTTGTTGGATATTTTCTGAACACTTCAAATATTTCACTCCACTCTCTTCTTGCAAGTATGGCTCCTAAAGAGAAGTTGGATGTAGTTATCTTTGCTCCTATATAGATCAGATATTGTCTTAGTCTGTTTTATGCTGCTATGAGAGAATACCACCAGTGGGTAACTTAAGGAAAAAAATATTCTCACAATTCTGGAGACTGGGAAGTATAGCACCATCATCTGTCACAGGTCATCCCGTGGTGAAAGGTAAGAAGGTAGAAGCAGTCACACAGGACAGAGCAGAAAAGGGGGCCAAACTTGCTTTTATAAAAAACCCAGTCTCAGCCGGGCATGGTGGCTCACGCCTGTAATCCCAGCACTTTGGGAGGCTGAGGTGGCCAGATCACAAGGTCAGGAGATTGAGACCATTCTGGCTAACACAGTGAAACGCTGTCTCTACTAAAAATACAGAAAATAAGCCGGGCATGGTGGCGGGCGCCTGTAGTCTCAGCTACTCGGGAGGCTGAGGCAGGAGAATGGCGTGAACCCAGGAGACGGAGTTTGCAGTGAGCCGAGATCGCGCCACTGCACTCCAGCCTGGGCAGCATAGCGAGACTCCGCCTCATAAAAAGAAAAAAAAAAACCACAGTCTCTCAATAACTAACCCACTCCAGCAATAATGGCACTAATCCATTCAGGAAGGAATCTCTTTTTAAAGATCCTGCCCCTCAGCACTATTACAATGGCAATAAAACATTAAGTCTTAAAGCTAGAGAATAATCTCCTTTCACTCCATGTCCCACATCTTGGATATACTGGTTTAGGGGTTAGGCCCTCAAGGTCTCAAGTAGCCCTGCCCCTATGGCTTTACTGGGCTCAATCCAGCAGCTCTCATGGCTTGGAGTTGCACACTGGTGACCTTACAGTTCTAGGATCTCGGGGCAGCCCTACTCCCATGACTCCACTAGGCATTACCTTAGAAGGGACTCTCTGCAGCAACCCTGCCCCTGCAACAAGTCTCTGTCTGGGTCCCCAGGTGGTCTGTAGCATCCTTTGAAACCCAAGTGGAGGAAACCATGCCCCCACAGCTCTTGCATTCTTTAAGCCTGCAGACAAAACCACATAGATGCTGCCAAGGCTTACTGCTTGTACCTTCTGGAGCACTGGATTGAGTTAACACCTGAGGCCACTCGAACCATAGCTGGGGTGTCTGAGGAGCACTGCACCAGAAAGTGGGAAACAGAGTTCTGAAGCAGCCCTGAGCACAAAGCTACGCCCATCCTTTGAAACTATTCTGCCTTTTAGAGCTCTAGGCCTATGATAGAGGGGCACTCTCGAAGATCTTTCAAGTGTCTTCAGGGCGTTTCTCCCAACGTCCTGATGAAGAGCACCTGGCTACCTTCTATCTATGGTAATCTCTTTAACAAATGGTCACTTGGCCACACCCTTAATTTTCCCTCCTAAGCATACTCTTTTATGCTTTACATGGCAAGGCTTCAAATTTCCCAAATATTTCCATTCTGCTTCTCTTTTCATCATAAATTTCATTTAAAATCATCTATCTTCTTCACATCTCACTATATGTGGTTAAAAGTAGCCATGCAGCAGACTGAATGCTTTGCTACTTAGATGTGACTTCCACCCGATATACTATTTTATCATTCTTAAATTCTACCTTCCATAAAGCCCCTGGGCATGGACACATTTCAGCCACGGTCTTTGCCACATTATAACAAGGATGGCCTTTACTTGAGTGTTCAGTACCTTGTTCCTCATTTCCATGTAAGACCTCATCAGAATGGGCTTTAGTGTCCAGATTTCTACCAATATTTTGATCACAACCACTTGAGTAATTTCTAAGAAGATTCAGACTTTTTCCAGTTCTGGGGTCTTCTTCTGAACCCTACTAGAATCACCCTAAATGATCTGTTCATGGCAATACAGGCTTTTTTCTAGCCTGTTTCTCCAGATTCTTAGCCTCTACCCATCCCCAAGTTCCAACACCACTCCCACATTTTCAGATATTTGCTACAGCAACAACCCTGCTTCTTGTTATCAATTGTTTTAGTTCGTTTTCTGTTGCTATAATAGACTATCACAAATGGGTAATTTATAAAGAAAAGAAATTTATTTCTCACAGTTCTGGAGGTGAAGAAGTCCAAGAGCAGAGTACCAGCAGCGGGCAAGGGTCGTCCCATGGTGAAACAATGGAAGGGGGAAGCAGGGATGAAAGACAGGACAGAAAAGGGGGCTGAACTCATTTTTATAACAAACCCAGTTTCGAGATAACTAATCCACTCCTGCAATAATCCCATTAATCTATTGATGAGGGCAGCGCCATCACAACCTAATCAGCTCTTAAAGATCCCACCTCTCAACACCGTTATGATGGCAATTAAATTTCAAATGAGTTTTGGTGGGGATATTCAAACTATAGCAGTTCTTCTCCTCTGGCTTCAAGATATTTTTCTTTATCATTGATTTTCTGAAGTTTAAGTATGATATGCCCAAGTGTAGGATCTTTTTGGTATCTATCCTGCCTGGTGTTCTCTGAGCTTCCTGGATCTGTAGTTTGGCATCTGACATTAACTGGGGGGAAATTCTTAGTCATTATTGCTTCAAATAATTCTTCTGTTCCTTTCTCCCCTTCTTCTCCGCTGGTATTCCCATCATGCATATGTTACAACTTTTGTAGTTGTCCCATAGTCCTTAGATATTCTGTTTTGTATTTTACAGTCTTTATTTTTTCTTTAATTTTCAGTTTTGGAATTGGGTACTAGGCTCACTACCTGGGTGATGGGATAATTTGTATCCCAAACCTTAGCATCATGTAATATGCCCATGTAACAAACCTGCACATGTACCCCTGAAATCTAAAATAAAAGTTGAAATTATTTTAAAACCTTTTTTAAATTTTAGATGTTTCTATTGTCAATCCTCAAGCTCAGGAATTCTTTTCCAAACCATGTCCAGTCTACTAATAAGCCCATCAAAGTCATTCTTCATTTATGTTAGAGTTTTTGATCTCCATTATTACTTTTTTATTCTTCCTTAGAATTTATATCTCTCTGGTTTTGTTTTTGTTTGTTTGTTTGTTTTGGGGGGTTTTGTTTTGTTTTGTTTTGAGACGGAGTCTTGCTCTATTGCCCAGGCTCCCAGGCTCCCACGCTGGAGTGCAATGGTGCTCTCTCAGCTCACTGCAACCTCCACCTCCTTGGTTCAAGTGATTCTCCTGCCTCAGCCTCCCGAGTAGCTGGGATTACAGGTGCACACCACCACTCCCCACTAATTTTTGTATTTTTAGTAGAGATGGGGTTTCACCATGTTGGCCAGGCTGGTCTCGAACTCCTGACCTTGTGATCTGCCCACCTCGGCCTCCCAAAGTGCTGGGATTACAGGCGTGAGTCACCACACCCAGCCCTCTCTGCTTACATTTTTTTTATTTCTCCTTGCATGTTGTCTACCTTTTCAATAAACCTTTTAGCATATTAATCACAGTTTTTTTTAATTCCTTGTCTGATAATCCCAACATTTCTGCCATATCTGAGCCTAGCCCTGATTCTTGTTCAGTCTCTTCTTTTTTGCCTTCAATGTGACTTGTAAATTTTACTGAAAGGCAGACATGATGAACTGAGAAAAAAGAACAACAGTAAATCAGCCTTTAGTAATATAGTGGTAATGTGGGGGTGGGGTGGGGAAGCATTCTATAGTCCTGTGATTAGGTCTTTTTTTCATTTTCATTTTCATTTTTACTTCAATTTAAATTTTAGATACAGGGGGTACATGTACAGGTTTGTTACATAGGAATATTGCACGATGTTGAGGTTTGGGATATGGATCCCGTTACCAAGTTAGTGAGCATAGCACCAGATAGTTTTTCAATCCATTTCCACCCTCTATGACTAGGCCTTAATCTGTTAGTAAGCCTGTGGCCCTGCATTATGAACCTTACCAGTGCTTCTCAGTCCCCCACACACATCCCCTCCTCACCTTTAGCTGTGACAGGATGGCTAGAAGGGGCTGGAGTTAGGGACTTCTCTTCCCCTATGTGGAAGTCTGGAGCTGGATGTGGTTGGATGTTTTTCTTTCCCCAGCAAGATTAGGCTCAGCAGTTGAGGATCTGGTATAATAGTTTATCCTAAAGGCAGGCCTTGTTAAGAAGAACAGAATGCTCTGGCACATCCCAAAATGGTTGCTTTCCCTCTGCCTTTGCCAGAAGCATGAGAGGATTTTTCTCTGATACTTACTGTGAGAACCTGATCGAGCTCCTGGAGGCAAAACTCACAACAGTGTAGGGGCCTTTCTATGACTCGGTCTCCCTGGAGTTTTTAACTCTCAGACTTGGCCACCCTGAACCTCCAGCAATTCATGAATTACAGTTCAGTTTTCCTACCCCAGTACTGACTCCTCTGAAGATTCCTACTCTGGTAAGTTGTGACTCTCTGTATCTGCCTATCTTTCCAATTTGGGAGGCGGTGGTTTTCCCTGTGACCTCACTTCTCTGTCAGATCTAAGACAGAGATCTGTTGACTTTTAGTCTGTTTAGATTTTAACTAGTTAGGATGGAGTGGTGACTTCCAAGCTTCTTACATGTCAGACCAGAAATTTGAAGTTGACATGGTCTTATAAAAATTTATTTACCATCTCAAAGCCAAAAGGGCAAGAAACAAACAAATTCCTTGTCAAATTTGTAATTACCTAGAGAAAATTTGCAGAACGAGGAAGGGATGGTACAGCTGCAGGAAGTGAATTGGGACCTTGACCCACACCTGCTGCTGACTCTTCTATAGAACTTGCCAAAGTTCCAGAGGCGTGACTTAGGTGCTGTGGTAGAAATAAGACAGGATTGGGGTCCAGCCTATCCCAAGGACGGCTTTGGAAACTGCTTGCGGGGCTGGAGTGAGTCAATTAGGAGATGGTTAAGTAAGTTAACACCATAGTTTTCACCCACTTAAGATAGCATAGTGTGACAGAAACTGCTGGCTAACACCCCAAAAATTTATATTTCCCCTTCTGTAGTGTGCATTTGTTGCCAGGAGGTGACTGTTCAACCACAGACTTATTTCCTACTACTTCTTGCATGCAGGTGTGACCACGTAACTGGCTCTTACCAATGGAATGTTAGTAGAACTGATATGTTCCATTCCAGGATTTTCCATGGTTTGGATGCAGAAGACAGAGGAACCATGAGATGGAAGGAGCTCAAGAGTCTGAATTACCCTAAGTAAGACAACTCCCTGCTGAACAGTATTACACACATCAGACTGGTATATGGTGAAGAAATAAACTTTTACTATGTTAAGCCACTAAATGTTTGAGATTTATTTATTATAGCAGCCCTAACTAATACAGGATTACACTCATGGCCCAAGGGACAATAACCTACTCCTTATACTTTGCTATGAAGTAGAAAAGCATTTGGAAGTTTTCTAACTTGCGACACTTCAAAGGAAAAAGCAGTTAGGGAAAGGGTTTTAAGGAGTAGTTAACACATGCCAGGGCGAGTGTGAGTCTCAGAGTAAATTATCTACTCTTTGTTTTTCTGATTTCCCATCATACTTCACTTCTGCAGGCAGGGAGTTGTGGGAAAGCGGGGAAGAAAAAGCAGCTGTATTCTTCCACAGGCGAATCTGAGGACAGGGATTTTATATTCCAGGGGTGGACCAGTAACTAAGACCACCAGATCAAGGAGTTTTCAATTATATGATCTGGGGGTGGGGGAGCGTGGACAGAGTTCATTCCCAAGTAACTACAACACCAAGCCATGAAATAACAGACAGCCGGGATGTGCAGAGAAGGCCAATGGGAAGCCCAGGCAGAGACTTCACAGCACTTTGGAGGGTCATGGAAGGCTGAGGGAGAGGAGAGCTTTGGAAATTCTTTCTGAAGATGGAGAGCAATTTTGACAGAGGGCCAACTTTGATGTGGAAGAAGGCTCAGTGAGAAAGTGGTGATTCTTTTAGACGTGGTGATTCTTTTAGACATGGTCATTCTGTACCTCTATAAACCACTTTGCCACCTTTCAGATCCCTTTCACATGCCTTGCCTCCTCTCATGTTTGCTCATTACCATGAGCAGTAAACCTCCCTGTTCAATCTGCCACAAAACCTGTGAGATGGATAGAGACACAATATATGCACGTTGTTTCCTTATCTTCAGTTAAAAACTCACGTTTCTTTCTGTATGAAACGTGTATCTTCCAAAAGCCACTTAAATTTATTTAACCATGCTAGTTCAATTGAATTACAGTGCTGCCAGTGGGTTTACTCTGCGTTGCCTTTGGTTATAAATTCTTCTGACTTCCTAATTCCCAAGTCAGATATGAAACATTAATAAGAATATACATAAAAATCAGGCCAGTTGCAGTGGCTCAAGCTTGTAATCCCAGCACTTTGAGAAGTCAACGCAGGAGGATCACTTGAGCCCAGGAGTTGGAGACCAGCCTGAGCAACATGGTAAGACCTCATGTCTACAAAACTAAAAAATTAGCCAGGCATGGTGACATGCCCCTGTAGTCCTAGCTATTCAGGAGGCTAAGGCAGGAAGATTGCTTGAGCCCAGGAGCTCAAGGCTGCAATGAGCAATGATCACACGATTGCACTGCAGCCTGGGCAACAGAGTGAGAGCCTGTCTCAAAAAAGAAGAATATATATAAAAATCAGACCAATTACTTCACATGGGATTGGAAGCCTTTGGCGGACTCTGTCCAACTAATCCAGTCAACATTTCTCCCCCTAACTAATGAGCAGCCTTGGCTCTCAGGTCAAGAAAAGACAGGTGTAAAATTAACCAGTCTATAGAAATAAATATAGTAATGTATTCTAATTAGGTCTATAACCCCTAATGGGACACCTTCTAGCCCAATAAGCTTTAGTATTTGGAGGATCCCTTCCACATTGAGAGACTTGAGAAGAAAGAGCCATAGCTGAGGCCTCTAGGAACATTTTTACATCAAATGTATAGATTACATTTGTTATTTTAAAAATGGCTTTTTATAACAAATGAACAGTGATATTTTACATGAAACATACGTACACATCATTGAAAGGAAGAACAATTGAAGATGATTTCATGTTAATGTGTTCTCCTATTATTTTAGACACTCACCATCTTCAGAGCAAACTTTGTACTCTTTTCACATTTTTGTTACAATGTTTATTTCAGGAGATTGTTCATCTCACTGAACCAGAACACACATCCACTTGGTAAATGCTCAGATAGTGGTTAAGTTCACTAGCACCCATGGCAATGATAGCACGGAAACCAGACAAAATCCAGAGTTGAGCTGGCTATTGTCTATTAGAATCCAAGTCAATATTGTGTACCATGCAGAGGGATAAGAAGGCAGGAAAGGGCAGGGCAGGTGTAGTATCAAGACACTGGAAGTCATTCTCGTGACAGGCAACCAGGATCAGAAAAGGGCTAAACCTGGGCTTCATCCTCCTTCCACAACATGCTAGCTGTATTATCTTGGGCAGTTATTTTACCTTTTGAAACCTTGGCTTTTTCATCTCTAAAGCTGGAGTGATAATAGTACCTAAGGTCCTTAGACCAGTATATTAGTTTGCTATGGTTGCCATGGCAAGGAACCACAAATTGGTTGGCTTAAACAACAAAAATGGATTGTCGCCCAGTTCTGGAGGTTAGAAATCTGAAATCAAAGTGTCAGCAGGATTGGTTCCTTCTGAGAGCTGAGGGAAGCATCTGTTCAGGCCTTTCTCCTTGGCCTGCTGGCAGCCATCTTCTCCCTGTCTTCCCTTCATGTGGGTCTGTATCTCTGTTCAAATTTCCCTTTTTTATAAAAATTCCAGTCACACTGGATTACGGGCCCACTACTATTTTAGTATGACCTCGTCTGAACTAATTACATCTGCAATGACCCTATTTCCAGATTAGGTCACGTTCTGAGCTGCTGGAGGTTAAAATTTCAATGTTATTTCAACAATTTAGGTTGGGGAAGGCAAAATTCAACCCGCAACAACCACTTTGCAAAAAATGTTAACTGCTGATTTCTTATGATTACCCCAGTGTTTTGGGGTTGGAGTTTCAGGCCACAAGGACAGTTCTTGCTAGCTTGATGGCCAATGGAGGAGGGCTGTAGCCAAACTGCCATCTGTGTCAGGCTCTGCTGCTAGATGAGATCTTTGATTCTGAATCACACATGCCTGGTCAATGGATCCCACTGCAGGGTGCAACCCTCTGGGCCAGGTCACAGGGAGCTATAGGATGTTCAAAATTTTTTTAATTTTGTTTTCTGGGTCAGTGATTCTCAAACTTCAGTGGGCATACACCCAGAGAGGTTATTAAAAATGCAGGTGCCTGAAATAGAGCCCTGAAGTTTCTAATTCAGCAGAATCCATCTGAGATAGGGCCCAGGAATTCATATCACTACTTTCCCCTTCCACACCCAAAGAAGACACCATTAACCAATTATAGAACTCTGTTCAACCTAGTAATGACTACAGAATCCTTCTCAACACGGTACCCCATACAACTACTACTAATTGATGGTGAGATGAAATCAACTAGCCATTTCTGCCTAAGCCTTAGAGCAGGTCTGTGTTTCCTAGGGCAAAGGAGGAGTCACACAGTCTACACAAGACCCTTTATTACTGATGCCTGAAAGAAATGCTATAACTTTTGCACAGATTCAGGGTTCTCTCTGTCCTCCTCTTCCTCTGCTCTGTGTTCTGTTGGATAGATGACAGCACAGTGAAATGTAAAGTCAGACCAACTATATTAAGCACCTTAATCAAATCTCTGGAATGGACAATTTAGGCCTGGGCAACCGAGATCTTGACACTGGCTAGTTCTGTGACCTTGGGAAGTGTCTCTGGACTTTGATTTCTACATTTGTAAAATGTGGCATTAGGCTAGATGAGCTATCAGTTCCCTTCTTCCTCTAACATAGCTGATTCTGAGTGCTGGGATTAGTAAAAATCCAGGGAGATGAACTGTGTTGTCCAGCATTCTAAGAAAATAAAAGTTAAAGACCTCAATGAAGTAGATTTAATGGGAAAATTTGCGTTTGAGTGCCTACTAAGAGGCAAAAGCCTTATATGCTTTATGATATCTCACTTCATCCCTATGAGCTATGGTAGGTGCCGTTGTATCTATTTTTCAGGTGAGAGAACAGTGGCTTAGAAAGGTTGAATTAACTTGGCCAAGATGATGCATCTAATAAGAAAAGGCTCTAGAATTCAAGGTTTTTTTTAACCTCAAAGTCTATTTTTCATATAATCAGTTTCAAAATCCTTCAAACACTTTCTCAAAGTGTATTTAAGATTAGGAGCCTGTATGAGATTGATTCATATGAAATTACCAATATTCAGTCATTTTTGTCCTATGTAAATGGCAGTTTCAAAAGTTCAGCCTAATCATTCATTCACATGTGACCCTGTAGACTGACTATTCTTCAGTGGATTTACTTTGCTCACTGACATTCCTCCACGCACTCAGCCACCCAGGTGAACTGATCCTGGCTGGTCACTCAGTCCTGAAGTGTATCAAGCTTGGCAGGGCATTCAGGAATATCCCTAGCTCCTGGAAATACAGAATTCTATCCAACCAACAATGTACAAAATAGCTGAAGTCCCTGTCTCAACTTTCTTGAAATCTATGAAGGAAATCCAAGTATAAATCCCTAGCCAACCACACTACTTTCCCATTTCACATCAGCTCCAAAGCCTCCTTCTCAATGCTTTTATTTCCCTCTTCTCTCTCTCCTGTTCCCTAGTTCTCTGTTTTGTGGATTGACTTAGATCTTTAGAAAGGATCTTCCCTCTTTAGTTGGAGAAGAGGAGAAGAATTGAGCTACCCATCTGAGGATTCTCAATAGAAAGCTGGAAGAAAGTGGATGTTTTGGACATCACTATCTGTCTTAGTCCATTTTGTGTTGCTGTAAAGAAATACTTGAGGCTAGTGATATGGTTCGGCTGTGTCCCCACCCAAATCTTATCTAGAGTTGTAACTCCCACAATTCCCACGTGTAGTGGGAGGAACCCAGTGGCAGGCGATTGAGTTATGGGGGTGGGTCTTTCCTGTGCTGTTCTCATAATAGTGAATGAGTCTCACAAGATCTGATGGTTTTAAAAATGGGAGTTTCCCTGTACAGGCTCTCTCTTTGCCTGCTGCCATCCATGTAAGATGTGACTTGCTCCTCCTTGCCTTCAGCCATGATTGTGAGGCCTCACCAGCCATGTGGAACTGTAAGTCCATTAAACCTCTTTCTTTTGTAAATTGCCCAATCTCAGGTATGTCTTCATCAGCAGTGTGAGAATGAACCAATACAGCTGGGTAATTTATAAAGAAAAGAAGTTTGTTTGGCCCATGGGTCTGCAGACTGTATAAGAAGTATGACACCAGCATCCATCTGCTTGCCTTCTGGTGACAGCTTGTCTACTCATGGCTGAAGGCAAAGGGGAGCCCTGTGTACAGAGATAACATGCAAAAGAGAGAGAGAAAAGGGTGATGGGGGCATGCCAGGCTCATTCTCTTTACTTTCCTCTTTCTTTCTTTTTTTTTTTTTAAGACGGAGACTCGCTCTGTCACCCAGGCTGGGGTGCAATGGCGCTATCTCAGCTCACTGCAAGCTCCGCCTCCTGGGTTCACACCATTTTCCTGCCTCAGCCTCCTGAGTAGCTGGGACTAGAGGTGCCTGCCACCACACCCAGCTAATTTTTGTATTTTTAGTAGAGACAGGGTTTCACCGTGTTAGCCAGGATGGTCTTGATCTCCTGACCTTGAGATCTGCCCGCCTCAGCCTCCCAAAGTGCTGGGATTACAGGTGTTAGCCACCAAGCCCAGCCTACTTTTTTCTTTCTTTCTTCCTTCCTTCCTTTCTTTCTTTTTTTTCTCTTTCTTCCTTTTCTTTTTGAGATAGGGTCTCACTGGAGTGCAGTGGTGTGATAATAGCTCACTGCAGCCTCAAACTCCTGGACTCAAGCAAGTTATGTGCCACAATGCCTGTTATTTTTGTTTGTTTGTTTTTGTTTTTTTTAAGAGACAAGGTATCACTATGTTGCCCCGGCTGGTCTTGAACTTCTGGCCTCAAGCAATCCTCCTGTCTTGGCCTCCCAAATTGCTGGGATTACAGGCACAGCCATCATGCCTGGCCACGAGGCTCTTTTTAACAAGCTCTCGCAGGAACTAATAAAGTGAGAATTCACTCATCCCGCACCCTCCCACCCCAGAGAAGCCATCAGTCTATTAATGAGGGATTCACTCCCATAGGCCCCACTTCCATTAGGCCCCACCTCCTACACTGGGGATCAAATTTCAACATGAGATTTGAAGGG
The DNA here is from genome assembly GCF_000001405.40 of Homo sapiens. NCBI lineage: Eukaryota > Metazoa > Chordata > Mammalia > Primates > Hominidae > Homo > Homo sapiens. The sequence goes on from NC_000014.9 coordinate 57,925,236, forward strand.
CACAAATATCCGAACTATAGCACCATTTTTATAATGTCTGCCTTGTAATACAGACTTCAGGTTGGTTTGTTGTTTGTTTTTCACATACATTCTTCTCAGCCTATGTGGAGCCCCAAATAATGAAGAGTTTTTTTGAATAAGAACTTACTCCCAGTGGTATATTTTCTACATTTTGGGAGACTGGTTGACCTCAAAGACCGAGATTAGGCAAGAACAGATTCTCCTAAGAAATGGGAAGGAAAGAAGGAAGGAAGGAAGGAAGGGAGGGAGGGAGGGAGGGAGGGAGGGAGGGAGGGAGGGAGGGAGGGAGGAAGGAAGGAAGGAAGGATGACAGGCAGGAGAGTCCTGGAGTAAATAGAATAGAGAAACACTTAAGTAGAATGTTCTGAACTAAGCTTGAAGGAGCTTTTTTTTTTTTTAATAAAAATGGCAGAATAGCATTTATTCACATTTTTAACAGGTTAATTTGTGTCATACTACAAGTGTATAGACATACCTGAGTTGGCTTGTTATTATAACACTTACATCCAAATTTAAACAATACATAAAAAAACCCACTAGTTTAAATCTTACACAAGGTACACAATTTGTATTCACAAAGTGTTCACTCTTGTCACCACCATCTCTTCTTCCTCGTGTATCTCAGCCTCTATCATGTGCCACTTCCTGGGCATTTACTTAGCACTTGCCCCTTTACAGGGGCTTTTGTCTTTTCTTTTTAGAGACAGTATGGCATACACAGATCACTTTTGTGCCTGAATCACCATCTACGAGTTCTGTAAATGTGGGCACATTTTTTAGTATCTTTATGTATCAGTTCCCGTATGTGTAAAATGAGAGTGGTTCACACTACCTGGCAGAATGGTTGACAGTATTAAGTAAGTAAATGCTACAGAGGCCATGGCTATCCCACATCAGACACTCAAAACAGGCCAGCTACCATTTTTACAAATAAACCGTAAAGCCCTGGAGGCAGAGCCTCTGTCACTAACCTTTTTACACCCCTAGCACCTCTCCCAGTGTTCAGCACGTGCTCTACAAATGTTTGCTGTGGCAGGGCTCTGGCTGCCAAACATTAGGCTATTTCTATGGTTTTTTTAGAAAGTTTTGTTGCCTACTTTCACCGAGGAAATTTACAAGCAGATGTCACATGGAACTTCTTTTTTCCATCACTTACACAGTCACGCAAACACATTCACACAGACTTTTCCCACTTCCAACTGGTGCTAGTTGAAACTTATGCACATTTACTAAAGGGGGAAACAACCTTCTGAGGAGTAAGGCAGTGATAAAAAAGCAACCTGATACTAGAAAGCAAGTTGGGGGGGAATTTATATGTATATGTGCCACTGCTTTTCATGGTCTTGCACACTGTAAGTGAGGTATGAGAAAATCCCTAATAAACCTTACAATTAATATGATTTCCTTCTTTGGGGAAGATATCTTTACCATTCCTTTTATAAAAAGGAATATAACAATGAAGTAGGGTTGGGGGGGGGGGGTGGATATATATAGCCAAAGGCACAGTGATGCCTTAGAGAGGGGATGAAAAGTTGAATGACTCACACACCCTTGGCCGACTTGGAGAAGATATCACCAGTGTTTCCAAAAGATGTGCCCAATGTATGTCCTTCCCTCACCTGAAGTGGAGCCTGCGATTCCAAAGCTGCCCTCTGGTCTCCTTTTCTGTCCTGCTGAGTAGAGGAGATGCAACGCTGAAATAAGCCACAGACTTAGAAAATAAAAAGAAGCACAGCCAAGTGACCAGACTTAAGAATGAAGGCCACATTCCCCAAAGCCATTGTTCCAACCTTACTTAAAGGTGCAGCATATGTGACCTGCCTCAGAGATGGCCCCTGCAAGTGACACCCCACTGACACTACATGAAGGTTTGGCTGGGTCAGCCGTCCCTGTGGATCAAGGTTTGCCAATCTGCAAGCTGTCCTGTTTCTGATAAAAGGAACAAACTTCCTGGAAGTGGTAGCTATTAAAGCTTGATCATAACAATGCCTGCCTTAGGGGTAAGACTGTAGTTTTAGAAAGGGTGTCATATACACATTTCCTTGCGTCTCAAAAGATCTAGGTCATAACTAGAGGCTTCTCCTGGTGGTTCAAAGGGACTCAAGGTTTAGAGACACTTGATCTCATAGTCGCCACTCTAGAATTTTCTGACTGGTTACCTTTGTCTGGAAAACTTTTGCCCTCATTGTCTGAGTGACTAGGTGGTTTGAGTTTTTTTTTTTTAATTACTTTTCTTCTTCTTTTTTTTTTTTGAGACAGAGTCTCACTCTGTCACCCAGGCTGGAGTGCAGTGTCATGATCTCGGTTCACTGCAACCTCTACATCCAGGGTTCAAATAATTCTCCTGCCTCAGCCTCCCAAGTAGCTGGGATTACAGGCACCTGCCACCACATCCAGCTAATTTTTGTGTTTTTAGTAGAGACAGGGTTTCACCATGATGGCCAGGCTGGTCTCGAACTCCTGACCTCAAGTGATCCACCCACCTCAGCCTCCAAAAGTGCTGGGATTACAGGCATTAGCCATCACGCCTGGCCCCTGTCTTTTTATTCTCTAACTATTACAGAATCTTTCACAGAACAAAAGTCTTTAAATTTGATGAAGTCCAATTTATCAATTTTTTCCTACTATGCCTCATGTTTTTGATGTCAAGTTTCAGAACTCTTTGTCTGGATCTAGATCTCCAAGATTTTCTCCTACTTTTTTTCTGAACAATTTTTTAAGTTTTGGGTTTTACATTTAAATTTGTGATGAAAGGAAAGTTTTAGACAATAACTGTTCTACTCTGGTGTAACACCACAGAAGAAAAAAAAAAACCTGTGGACCCACCCTCACCCATACAAGCAAAGACTCATGGGAGAGCCTAGACTTTGATCCTTACCATGCTATAATGAGGCACTCAATCCCCCAGCCAGGGTGGTATCAGAGATGCCAAGTAGGGAGGTGGGACTTTAATCCTTGCCAGCCAGTAAAGAGCTTGCTTTCTTCTCCTCTCCTGACCTCTACCGTGTCAGTAGAGACAACGTGGAGAGCCTGTACTTCTATCCCTGCCAGGTACTAAGGAGGCACTCCTCTTTCTCCCTACTGCAGTGGTGTTGGAGGAGGCCTGTGGAAAGGCAGGACTTTCACAATCACGCAGTACTAACAAGGTCACCCTGACTGCACAGTCAGTGGGCACCACGTGGAGAGCCGGAACTCCCACACCCACCCAACAGTCATGAGGAACACTTTTTCCTCGGGCATTAACTGAGGCTGAGAGGGAAACCTGGGCCTCTACCTCTACTGGCAGTAATAAGGCTATGCCCTCCCTTCCCCTGGCAGTGTGGTGTGCGATAAAGCTAGTTAAAACAGAAAGGTTTCAGTAAGACTCAGAGTCCCATAATGTAATCCAAAAATGTCCAGGTTTCAATAGGAAATCACTTGTCAAGAACCAGGAAGATCTCAAACTGAGTGAAGAAAAGCAATCAAAATGTGCCAAAACCAAGATGACAGAGATGCTAGAATTACCTGACAAGAATTTTGAAGCAGCTATGATGATAATAATGCTTCATCAATTAAGAACATCTTGAAACACATGAAACAATAACAAACTTCCTCAAGAAGAAGAAGAACCAAATGGAAATTTTACAACTGAAAAATACAATAACCACAAAAGCTCCGTGGATGGTTTCAACAGAGGAAAAGAGGAAGCAGAGGAAATAATCAGTGAACTGGAAGATAGAACAACAGAAATGACCAAATCTGAACATTAGAGAGGAAACAGACTGTTAAAAAAATGAACAGATTCAAATTTTCCAGGGAAAAAGTATTGAAATGTAAGTAGTCTTGAGCTGTAAGAGATTGTGAACCCCTGCAAGGGTGGTGGGCCTGGACTGAAAGAGATATGGTAATCAGAGTTCTGCAAGAGTAGCTTCTATTTTCCATCTGCTATATTCTCCTCAATGGCTGGCCAAACAAATTGTTCTATTACCTTGGCCTCTCTTTGTCCAGTGGTCAAGGTGAAATAATAAATGAAAGATGAGTAAACTAAGCAAAAGAATATGAAAATATAATACCTTTCATCTTAAATACGGCATTTAAACATTAAAATGTTTCTTCTAAACATTTTAGAAGAAATGTTTGGGAAAACCCAAACATTTATTTGGGTTTTCCCAATAAGCTGGCTACCCTCTTACAGCACCTTAGAGCGGGAGAGAACTTGACAGGGTTAAGTTCACCAAGAAGCAAAGAACCATTAGTGTTCAGGAGATACTGACACTAAAACCTGTAGCTGTTGAGTAGTGTCCCTCACTTTTGTATCTAACCTTTACAAAATCCTCTCACACCTACCACTTCTTTAGTAAATGCAGACTTGATGGACCCAACTCTCACCAAACTTCCTTAACCACGGTCATTACCAGAACATCCAGAGTTTCTTGTAAGGTGAAAAACTGAATTATTGAAGACAGGAAAAGACATTGTATTATCTTCTTTCTCCAGAAGAAAGCCGCATGTTATAAAATGTCAGACAGCATGAAACAAAGATACACATCAAATGAATGAAAACTCCCCTCAGTCAGCATAGGGCTGAATAAGAGTGAATCTCCCAACACGCATCTAGACCCTGAGCTCTCACAGAAGCTTTGGGATGGGTGTCATCAACACCGACAGTCTGGGTGCTTTTTTTCCCTTCACAGAAACAAGAGTTCTTTTAGGAAGAACCCCTAGCAACCTACTTTTCTTAGACTTTTCAGAGAGAGCATGTTTCATAAAGGGATAGGGGAAGATTGGCCATATTTTTCACCTCTAAAAAAACTTCCTCTCCAAGATGGTGGTGTTAGCAAAACTCCCTGTGCAGAACATTCGCTTCTCAACTCTAATTATAGATCTGAAATTCAGGCAAAATGAAAACAAAGAGATTCTGGAGGAGCCACAAGAAAGTGTCACAAGTTAATTCAGTGTGATTTCCTTCCTTGCCTTCTTGTTCACAAGAGATCATTGAGCAAGAAGGAACTGCATCAGTTTCATACAGATTAACGTGGACAGACCCAGGCTAAGGAAAATTGTGAGGCAGAATTTATTCTTGGGGGATGCTTGGCATCTTCTGACTTCCTTGCATCCCTCTGGCAGCAACAACATTCCCTATTGCACAGTGTTCCATTAACCTCTTACCTCTCCCTGTGCCAGTTGCTCATTGTCTCTGACTCTGACCACCACCACGTGGAAACACCAGGCATCATCCAGATTTTTGATTCATCACTCACTTCTCTGCCCTATGAAAACTTCCTCATTGTCTCTCTCCCGCTCTAAGGTGCCGTAAGAGGGTAGCCAGCTTATTGGGAAAACCCAGATAAATGTTTGGGTTTTCCCAAACATTTCTTCTAAAATGTTTAGAACAAACATTTTAATGTTTAAGCTTCTAAGTTAAAACCTAGAAATAAGTCTGTATGTGTTGCCTCTCTCAGGGCATGTGTATATTAATAGACTGCAGGTGCATCATCTGCAGGAAACAAATTCCTGAGGATGGAATTTCAGATTTCAGAGGCAGGACAATGTGAGAAATATTTAGAGGTAGCTCTTGACTCATGCTTAAAAGGCAACCACCTAATCGTATAATTCCTCAAGACTAACACTGTGTGTCAAGACTTTGAAAAAGGAAGAGTAATAAACCCCAAATTGCACATCCTTCAGGAAAACCCTGAAGTGGCAATTAGGAAAAAAATAGGAAAAAAACTGGATGAGAAGTCAAGAAAATATTTGTGTGATGTTTCACTTTATGGGAAAATGAAGTATTAAAGTGTAGATAATATTAGAACTGAAAAAATCCCTTGAAATCAACTGTTTTCACCTCCCTCATTTTACAGAGGAAGACAATGAAGTCTAAAGACTCACTCAAGATTACACCATGAATCTGTGTCAGTACCAGATTTAGAATTCAGGTCTCTGTGACTCCCAGTCCAATGCCACTTCTAGTACACTTCATTAGTATCCAATTTCATGGATGGCCACTTGACACCTGTATCTGGTTAGATACCTAGAGGCTAGAAAAATAATTTTCCAGTGCCTTTATCCATACATCATACATCATCAACTTTGAATTTTGAATTGTTTACACTTCAATTCATCCCTTTCTATTTATAGAGTTAAAAGACAATCTCAAATCAATGTTGACAAAATTACCATCTGACAAAGACCAATCTAAAAGGAAAGACCCAGGGCTAGGTAGATTCTCTAAAATGCATGTGCAGATGTGATGGACACCTGGCTTGAGGATGTCAATTTGGAAACTATCCCATTAAAAATGAGAAACTATAGTGCAAATAATATGAAAATAAAATTAGTTCTTTCCACATAGCTGGGAGAAAAAAACAACCCACTGCATCAAACAGATTGATAACTCCCATCCTCCCCTTTGAACATTAGATCATGTCATCTTGCCTGGGAGAGCTCCAATTGCTGGAGATCTGTGGCTCCTCCAATCACTGGTTGCCAATTATCTCACAGCTGCTTCTCTTTCAAAGGAAACACCCAAAGCCCTGCTCTGTCCTTACATTAAATGAAGCACAAAGCACAATCCAATAGAGGGTCAAAAATGCCCTAAGGAAATAGTTCAAGCTTGGGATAACAAAGTCAGCATTAATATTCCCAGTCCCCCCATGTGGGCAAAACTCTTTAGATGAGATAGGAGAGCTGAACTATTGTCTGCAGTGTAGACTTAAAGCAATACAGGAATAGGATCAGCAAATCTACTTATTTACTCTTGACAATGGCCGGTGTCCTTGAAAGAAATCTCATTCATTCTCTGGTCCATCTCACTGCCTTGCTGACTTTGTTAGAAAATTCCTATATTTTATGGGGAATGTGTCCACCTTATAATACCTTCCCCCAGTTTCCCGTCATATAACTTGAAGACAAAAACTGTACCATCAGCTTGCTAGAGTTTAGTGAGGTTATTTGGAGTGGTTTTTGTTGTTATTTTAAGTAAAGCTTTCCACAGTTTTTATGATGAAAATATCTCAGTTTTGTTCTCTGATGGATTCTTCCATCTCTTTATCCCCTCTCAAAATATTGTAATTTCTGGATAAACCAACATAGACACCTGCTTCGAATCATAATCTATAGATAGTGTGACCAAATGTTCTAATTAGGCAACCTGATTTTTTCACAGTCATAGTTTTCACGTCTTTTCATATCCATGCATACAAATTTTTAGGTAGGATGACTATATGCTTTATCCAAACAAAGATACTTGTTAAGTGCCAGGAGGTGATATGAATCATTCACTGGGACAACAGACATAAACTGGAGGGGTTCTGGGTGAATTAGAAATTTGGGACCAGGTGTGGTGTCTCACACCTGTAATCCCAACACTTTGGGAGGCTGAGGCAGGTGGATCACTTGAGATCAGGAGTTCAAGACCAGCCAGGCCAACATGGTGAAATCCCATCTCTACTAAAAATACAAAAATTAGTTGAGCATGGTGGCAGGCTCCTGTAATCCCAGCTACTTGGGAGGCTGAGACAGGAAAATTGCTTGAATCCAGGGGGCAGAGGTTGCAGTGAGCCGAGGTCATACCACTGCACTCAAAAAAAAAATTTAGTCAAGCTATCTATAGATCTTGATTTGAAGCTGATCTCTCTGTGTGTATATTAGAGAGAAGCTTTGCTCTTCTGATGCAATACATATTCCTTCCTCTCTTTTCTCTGAAGATTTGAAAACTCCACTACCATGGGAAAATATCATTCCCCCATTTTCCTGCTGAAATCAACCTCGGAAGGTTAATAAGGGAAAGTTCTCTCCTATTTACTTTTTTTTTTTTTTTTTTAAGAGTCTTGCTCTGTTGCCCAAGCGCGACCTTGGCTCACTGTAGCCTCTGCCTCCCAGGTTCAACAAATTCTCCTGCCTCAGCCTCCCTAGTAGCTGGAATTATAGGCGTGTGACACCACACCTGGCTAATTTTTGTATTTTTTAGTAGAGATGGGGTTTCACCATATTGACCAGGCTGGTCTTGAGCTCCTGACCTCAGGTGATCTGCCCACCTCGGCCTTCCAAAGTGCTGGGATTACAGGCGTGAGCCACCACACCTGGCCTCTCCTATTTACTTTTAAGTACAGCAAGTTTGGTGTCTCATCCAAAGACTTCACAAACTGTTGGGTAGCTCGTGATTTACAACACAGTCCTCCTAAGCCCATACGCTATGTGATGACTAAAGCAAAGAGACCAAGTCACTACTTGGTCTCCTTGTTTAATCAGTGAGGGCCTCTGCCTCTTGGATACTGCTTCTTCTCTTATTGAAAATAAGAGGAAATAAGAGGACAAAGCTGATACCAGTCAGCTGAGTGGCTGAGTCAGCCAAGAAGGGGTTGGCAGAAGAATCCTTTCAGCTCTGGTGCCCTGCCATTTGTTTGTGAAAGGTCGCTGGCTGTCATCTCCTCATTGAAATCAATGCAGATGGTTTCACACAAATATTGACAAAATGAAATAGAACCAAATGGGAAGAAAAACCTTAAGGGATTTGAGGCATAAATAATCAATACTCTGTTAAAACCCTCCTTTTAAAATTGCATTAAGTGCAAAGAATAAAATGAATCAGGAAGAAACAGCACCAATTATCTTTCATTGAGTGCACCTGGAGCAAAAAAAAGTCTTGACACGAAAAAATATATATAATTAAAATACCTTAACAATTCGAGCAGGAAAGCTTTGTTTAAAGAAGGTGATATTTTGTCCTAGTTGCTAGGGGTTTGCCATCGGTCTTCATTTATATCAATTTTTATTTCTACAAATTCAAATCAAAGTCCAATTGCGTGAGTGACAAAAGGTCATGTCCTTTTTTCTGTCCATTTTTTAAAAAGTTTTAAAAGCAAAATATAAGGAGAGAAGCAGTTATTTTTAAAATTACTTCTTTTATAATACCCAACTAATCTTCACGGAAAATTCCAACATTTTTTGTTCTTATGGGAACAGTTGGTGATGTAGTGAAAAGAGCATGAGAGAGGTTCTGGTCCCTCTTTTGTCCCCCATTAACTAGGTTGTGGGGAGTGGGATGATGAGAATAGTGGAGAGTGGTTAATAAATTATGAAACATTAACCTCTCTGGGCTCAGCTTTCTCATCTGTAAAATAAGCAAGCATACTAGATGTCTTCGAGAATACCTCCGGAACATGAAGCTACACATTTCATAAAAAAGCAAGCAGTATGCATGTTATTTCTCACACATCAAAAGTCAGCCCATAGTCAGTAAAAGTCACCCTGTAGTTCATTGTCTCTGCATAGAGGGATTACTGGTTCTCTAAATTTGAAAGTTTAACCATCCAGGCTGACTTTTTTACAGCAAGTACATGGCAAGCAAGGCTTGGCCAGAAGTAAGTGGCCAGAAAGGCTGCATAGAGTCAGGCATTGTATGCACTTGCCTCCTGCTTGTACACAGCTATTAAATGGTTGTTGTCCCCTAATGAAGCCAGGTCCTCCATAAAGCCTCCCTCATGAGTAAACAACAAATAGCAGAGCTTTTTCTCTTAGCTGATGATATTTGTGATGTTAACTGAGAAACTGGGTGCAGAAAGTTTGAGCCTGATTATTAATCACCGATTTTTCTTCTCTGACTTCAAAGTAAGAAAAGACACAGAAGAATGAGGGAGGATCAGCATGTCAGCTTTATTACTGGTAAAGTAATGGAGAAGACAGCTTGGATCTGCAGCCACAAATGAGCTTTGAATACCTTTCCCTGTGCACTGAATTACCAACCCCAAACTTCAGAAACACAGTATTCCAGGTGAGCATACAGCAAGAAAGTGGCAGAAAGGGTGCATCTGAAAGAGAGAAGAAGCTGAGGCCCCAGATTCACACTCATTCCCTGATCTCACAACTTTGATAAGCCTCTCTTGGGGAGGAGTGAGTGAGGGTGGTAGAGGAAGAGAGAAGTTACCTTCCCATGATTTTTCCCTCTTGGAGTCAAATGTAAATTGACTTCTTGTAAATTCCCTGAGGATGTCTCTGTTTTGTTCACAGCTAAATCCCAAGTCTATAGATTTCAACAGATACCCACTAAAGAATGAATGAACAGAAACAGGAGAACTAGGGAATACAGTTTTCCCTAACAGTAAGAGGTTCTTTGAAATTATTTCTACAGCACAACTAGCTACCCATGGGTGTGTTGGTGCCTAAAAAGGGTAAGTAGTCAAGGCACCCAAGATACTCACAGGTCTTAGAGAGACTGTAGAGAGAAGCTCACTGGATTCCAAGGCATTAAAGTGGGTTCTTGTTCAGGATTAGGCAGAGGATGGCAAGTTACAAATCTTCTGAACTATAGTTTCATCATCTATAAAAATGGCCCCTTCTAATATTATTCTTTTTAGAGTCCAGATAACAAAGACTGAGAATAGGTGCTGGCAGAATAGCATATATTTCCTATCAGCTCTAAGGCCCAGATCCCCAAAAATTCAGATGTTGTTCTATTTGTTGTCATTGCCATTACTTTACCATACCCATATATCCTGTTTCTCCAGAGACATAAACCAACTGGACAAGTTCCTGTAAATTCACAATAATTGCTAATTTATTCCTATGTTACAAATGCTTTGCACTAGTTTGTGGAAGAAAAAAATTCCAATTTAAAATTAGGATCTTGTTTTTGAAAGTAATGGTATTAAAGTCAATTCTTAATATCAAAAATGAATTTGAAAGTAAGTTTGGATTAAATCAGCAGTATTTGTACTTGGAATAGACATTGGGAACTATGACAGCATCTTTGCAAAGATCTAAATATTATTAAATTTCAATTTTGTTCTTTACTGCTTCTCTGAATTACAGACACGCTGAATACAGACCTCAATTTAAGCCTTCTCATTTTTCTTTTTAAAATTTCATACAAAATAGATATTCTCCAAGGAATGCTCAGCATATGCATTTTACCTTCTCTCTTAGTAATTTCACATGCAAAAAGATGGACCATTTGCTAAGCTTGAAGAACATAATAATGAAACTACAAGTTAGAAGCAGGCATGGATCAGATGTATTTTACTTTCTAATGGCTGTTATAGCTATACAAAAAGGATAAGCCTACAGAGATGGTTTTTAAGGCTCATAGGGAATATAAACATATCGTGACAACCTCCAAGTCAATTTCTAAATAGGGTAGGAGCCATTCTGTGACTTTTGTGTCCCAGAAAATAACTCCCCTCAAAACATTCTGCAAAGACTGGCAGCGCCACTGGTTCAGATCTTCTTCCATTAAACTAGACCAGTGGTTCTCAACCAGATTTTGAGATTTTGAGTCTCTCTCCCCCCAGGGAACTTTTGACAATGTCTGAGACAGGTTTGGTTGTCGCAGCCAGGAGAGACATCTATGTGCTATTGGCATCTAGTGGGTAGAGGGAGGTAGGCTGCTAAACATCCTACAATGCAAAGGACAATCCCCTACAATAAAGAATTATCTATCCCAAAATGTCAATGCTTCCTTGGTTTGGAAAGTCTGCACTAGACTCAGTATTGGGAAGTCTTCTGGACTTGTGCTGTGGGATGACTAGGGGAGGAGTTGTAGGAGGGATAAGTATTCGGTTGAGCCTTAACAAAATGGGTAGGATTTGGGCCATGGAGGAGCATTCCAGGAGAGAATTTTAATGGACAAAAAGGGCTGTAAGCCAACACATGCATGGAATGTTGAGGGAAAAATGATCAAGCCAGCTTATCCAAAAGGAGAGTCCATATTGGTGTATGATGAAATACACAGCAGTAAAGCAAGATTTGGGAGAACTTTACACATGTTACATTTAAAAAATTGAGCTTTAGCCTTACATTTAGCAGCAGGAAATTAATAAATATTTTACCTGCTTTTTTTTTTTTTTCTTTTTGAGATAGAGTTTCACTCTTGTCACCCAGGCTGGAGTGCAATGGCGCTATCTCGGCTCACGGCAACCTCCGCTTCCCAGGTTCAAGCAATTCTCCTGCCTCAGTCTCCCGAGTAGCTGGGATTACAGGCATGCGCCACTACGCCCAGCTAATTTTTGTATTTTTACCAGAGACGGGGTTTCTCAATGTCGGTCAGGCTGGTCTCAAACTCCTGACCTCAGGTGATCCACCTGCCTCAGCCTCCCAAAGTGCCGGGATTACAGGCGCGAGCCACCGCACCTGGCCTTTACCCACTTTTGAAATGTAGCTGCCTTGATCTAGTCACAGTAGTCTCATTGTATATAGATTACTATAGAAAGTAAAATACAGACTACAGATGGAAAGTCAGGAGATAAAGAGGTCATAATAATAGGTTATCATAATAGAAATATAGGAGGCAAAATTACAATAATGATGGTCAGAAGGAAGGAAGGAAAGAAAAGAAAAGAAAAGAGAAAAGAAAAGAAAGAAAAGAAAAGAAAAGAAAAGAAAAGAAAAGAAAAGAAAAGAAAAGAAAAGAAAAGAAAAGAAAAAAGAAAAGAAAAAGATATCACAAAGGATAAAAGATCTGGCTATTTCTCAGAAAGTTTGCTGATGGTAAATGAAGGAACTTGGAGGTGGGAAGCTGGGACTCAAAGACCCAGGAACATACTGAAGGTGAACGTCTGGGCAGAAAGTGAGTCAAGGACCAGATTGATGATAAAGGCCAAAGAAGGGCACTGAATAAAAATTCAGAGTTATGCAGCATCAAGTCACATATTAACCAGGGGAACAGCAATAAGTTATTGTTTCCCCAACATCACATGCACATTTCTACTTCTGATCCTTTTCTCATGAGAATTCGCGCCTCTAATACTCTCCCCTCTGTCTCCACTCCCCAAGTAAGACCTATCTTTGAAGCCAGCTGAAAATGCGTCTTCCTTATCAATACTCTTTTTGTTATTGCACAGCAAGAATATAGAAGATTGCCCAATATTCAGTCTAGAATGGTTCAAAAAGATTTGAACCTAAGGAGACATGAATAATAGTTACAGTTTAGAGATATATCCTAGGACATAGGCAGACACAGGTCAGAAATCCAGTAGCCAAACAGCTCAACACCAAGAAAACCTAGACACCAAAGACAGGCAGCAAGGAGACTCTCAAGCAGACAGAGGAAAAAACAAAGGGGTAATATAAGAAGTAGTGTTCAGTCACAAAGGGGAAGAAAAATGTTAAGAGGAGTATGATCAACAGTCCAGTGTAATTGAGTGTCCTGGTTAAGAACGGGAGGTTCAGGGAGTCAGACAGACCAGGCTTGAATCCTGGCCCATTGTTTTCAGATCATCAGCACTTCGTTAACTTTCCTGGGTTGTTTGCTGAGCTATAAAATGGAGAGAACTATATCCACCTCACAGGATTAATGTCATTAAATATCACAGAATTATTGTCACATAAATGCAAAAGAAAAAATGTTAAGGTGTTTTTCTCTTTTGTCTTTGATTACATGGCATTTGTCTCAGTCCCCTGCTTCACAAACTTTAATGTTCACACTTAACACATGAAGATTTTGCTGAAATGCAGATTCTGATTCAGTAGGACTGGGTGGAGCCTGGGACTCTAAACTCCTGACAGGTTCTGTGGCTGCGGCTACTGCTATGTAAACCATGCTTTTAGCCGCAAGACCCTAGTGTGTCCAAGGCATTCGACTGATTGGGACATGCTACCGATTGGGGTTTGTGACAGAAGGGCTGCAAAAAAAGATTGAGATATATTCAGCTTCTGACATTCAAAACTAGGATTTTTGGAATAAGACTGTAGACATGTAAGCAGGTTCAGCAGCTAGACCCTAATGTTTAACGTAAATTATGTCCAGATTTGAAGAGGAAGGGGAAAGTCAATTTCTTTCCTCCCCTGGAGGATTTTGGGAAGAGGATATCAGAGGTAGCTGAGCAAAGTGGGGAAATGCATGCTTCAGTGCTGGTATCTTTCCCCCCGAGAGGGAGAGGTGCACCAGATAAGTAAGGGTAATACTGAGGAAAAGATTTTGCTTTCCCAAGCTGCCCTGGGTTTCTGTGTTGGTTTGGTAAGGTTCCACAATAGCTGAGATTCTGGCGTGGAAGGGATTCAGGGAGGATCTTCATAACAGTAGTGAAGGGCTCCAAAGCAAACATCCTGGGGCTGAGGCCAAATAAGGGTCACAGCTAGACCTCAAAGCAGTCCCTAGATCAGCTGTAGAGAAGTGAAGCTAAGTCAACCAAGGAGCATGACCACAGCCTGCCAGAGCAAAAGAGAAGAGCCACCAACTGTAGCCATCAATGTCAGCAGAGCAAGCAGCACCCCAGTGCACGAGGGGCATTGGCCTGGAGACCAGAAGAAGAAAGGACATCACCACTAAGGACCATGGGTCTTCCATGTTGCCCTAAGATCATGTAAAGCCACCCTCTCCCTGCATATCCCTAAACAACATTTTAGAAAAGAAATCTCAGAGCGAGGAAGGGTAGAAGGCTATCTGAGAAGCTGAGCATTTCTATCCAATAGCGACTCAATACTATCTATGGGAGCCATTTAATTAATGGAGTTGGAATAATGTGGAATTGAATTGGACAGTTAAATCATTTTCCCCAATGGGCTGGGAGTTGGGTAGAAGGCCAGAAGTCTTACAGACAAAATAAAGATATTACATTTTTCTCTAAACATCCAAGTTATAGAGTAAGTTACATTTGCAACCACAATATATATAAATATTTTTTTACATTCGCACTGCAAATATAAAGTGCTTAGCAATGTGCTTCCTGTATAGAAAGTGATGGGTAAATGGTAGCTGGGTTAAACAGGTTAAGTAAGGACTAAGAGAAGGCCACTGGATTCTGCAGTTAGGAAGATATCATTCCCTTTTTGGAGAACAGTTTCAGTAGAATGATGGGGATGGAAACTAGCTACAGAATGTGTTCAGCCTAAGTGTGAAAGCCATTATACTCCAACATCCTCCAGTGCTCAGCAAGGCTCTCATTTTCTGTAGAGTTAGGAAAGGGTGTGAATAGAATAGAAGATGAAGTCTACAGACACCCCAGGGTCAGGGCTCAGTATTGTCATCCATTGAATTGAAGTATCCCTTAAGGGAGTTTAAATTCTATTTTTGGAAATTGACTCCAAAGCAATTCTCTTGATGAGAATGGGTTTTTTGCTAAGTGTGAGATGGTAGATAAATACAAAAAAAAGTATGCATTCCAAAGCTGTAGCCATGAATTTTTCATTTAAAAACAATCCTAAAAAATAGTTCATTCTGTACACCCTAAAATTGTTTTTTTTTAAGTTGAAGCTTTCATCACCTCACAGTCTAGATGGGACCCTTGATTTTCTCAAAGCACTTTTGCCTCTCTTATCTTAGATAAAATTAGCTGTTCACTAATGCTACCAGGCATAGAGGTCCCCTAATGACCAGTGTATGGTTATGCTGCTGCTCTCTGAGCAGCACAAATCATTCATTCAGCAGTGGAGTAGTCACTTTTTGAGATACTATGAGATAAGGCGGCAGCCTAATTTTGCCATCATTCAATTTTACCTGTACGCACAGCCCACCTGGTTGCCCAGGTGTCTCATCCAACTCCTCCTCTTCTTCCATCACAAGCAATGCTCCCAGAACTGCCCTTGCATCTGTTCTCCCCCACTACTCCTCTTCTCCTCCTCCTCCTTCTTCTCCCCCTATCAAAATGTGCTAGTTCTATGTTCCATGATCTCAGGCCCCACTCCCTCCCAGGTTCAAAGGCAGTAATGCTTTCAGATGACCTGACATCATCACTCATAGGTATCTTAGTTGCCTTGTAAAAATACTTAGTGTCACGTGAAAAGATGCTCAACATCATTAGTCATTAGGGAAAACGAATCCACTCATACCTATTAGGATGGCTGTAATCCAAAATGTGGAAAATAACAAGAAAAATTAGTGTTGGCAAGAATGTGGAGAACTTGGAACCCTTGTACATTACTGGTGGGGATGTATAATAATGCAATCTCTGTGGAAAATAGTTGGTTCCTGAAAAAGTTACACATAGAATTATCACATGACTCACAATTTACTCTTAGATACACACACAAAAGAATTGAAAACAGGAACTCAAACAAATACCTGTACACAAATATTCACAGAAGTATTATTCACAATAGCCAAAGATGGAAAAATCCAAATGTCCATTAATGGATAAATGGCTAAATTATGGCATGTAAATATAATAGGATATTATTCAACAATAAAAAGGAATGAAGTACTGATACATGCTGTAACAATATGGATGAACCTTGAAAACATTGTCCTAAGTCAAAGAAGCCAGATGCAAAAGTCACATAGTGTAGGATTCCATTTATATGAAATTTTGAGAATAGGTAAATACATAGATGCAGAAAATAGATTAGAGGTTGTTTAGGGCTGAGGGAAGGAAAGGATGGAGAGTAAATGCTTAATGGGCATGGGGTTTTATTTTGGGATAATAAAAATATTTTGGAACAAAGTAGAGGTAGTAGTTGTTCAATATCATGTATGTACTAAATGCCACTGAATTGTTCACTTTAAAGTGATTAATTTTATGTTAGGCTAATTTCAGCTCAATTTAAAAAAAAAAGCTTATGACCATTAAAAAGTAACCAAAAGTGAGAATACATGACCTATAAACATTTTGAGAGCAGGAGTTGTAACTCATGAAATTTTTATTCCCTATAGAGACTAGCAAAATGCCTGATATACAGGTACTTAACAAATACCTGTAGAATGAATGAATGGGTGAATGAGTCTCCAGTACTGTTTAAGGCATTTTGTGGCTGGCAGACACAAGGCAGCTGCCAGGTCTGCATCTTATCAAGTGATGACTTCACCTAGGAGTGGCAAAGCATCTGTGGGCTGCAAAGTCTTTTCCTTTGTCCCATTACTTTGAGATTTAGTAAGGTGTCTGTGCCATTCTTTTTCTCCACTTAAAATTGCACATTTTGCAATCCTGGTTAGAGAGATGCCACTGACTGAAATATTCTGCCTCAAGAGTGAATAACGTCAGAACCTCATTATTGACATTTTCCTTGCCGCAAAGCTTTCATCTTCTTACAGAGAATGTTCCAGCTTAATGTTGAGCCCCTTAAAATACAGGGTTGTAACTTATTGCAAGGGAGAAATAACTCTGTTGTAGACCAGGTGAATAAATCATTCAAACAAAAAAACACAGGTGAAATTCCTAAAATAAGTTGACTCTTATACCTAGGCCCTGATTCTAGGCTGAATTCATTTTGTAACCCATCCAGTATCTCAAGTTCTAAAATCTCTTTCATAACATTCTTGCTTTCTTTATTGCCCATCCTAACTGTAGGTGAGATAACTTCAGATGACTTTTTTTGAGTTTTAAATATTTTATAATAATTGTGAGCATCTTCCCCAAGCCAAATATGGAATGAAGACTGGATTCTGTGGAGTTTTTGTCTTTTGTTTCAGTGACGTAGCATTTTCGGAATTTCAATACAAGTTTATCAATACCAACTAATACAACTGTTGCCCAAAGCCCAATATGCTATGGAGGGAGAGTTTTAACAGGAAATATACTTAAAACTTAACTGTAACAGTATTCTTGGAAGCCACGACTTATACTGCCTAAAAGATCTTTGTCTTTCATAATATGATGTCCAGATCTACCCTGGTGATTGCTCTCACAATGAAAATGTAGGTAGGGTTTTGTCATTTACCAAGCAATTTCATATATCTTTTCTAATCTGACCTTTCCAACTGCCAGTGAGACGGTTGGGGTAATTAGTGTTATCTCTATTTTTAAAATTCAGAAACTGAGATTTAAAAGCTTTAGGGATTGGTTCAAGGTCACATACTTAGTAAAAGCACAGACTAGGCTTGAATCTAGTTTTTTTAAAAGCCAGAACTCCAGCCTCTCATTCTTACACCAATGCTTCCAATCTCTTTGTTCCTCATAACACTATGTGAGCCCCATTCCCTAGAAACATCAGGAAACCACCAAAATAACTGGAGAGTTTTGCTGAAGAGATCTGGGCCGTATTACTGTATTGCTTTTTCCCTTGCAGGGAGAGTTACTATGACCTCAGTTCCTGGTGCAGCCCCCAGTGGTTTTTGCACAGAATTGGCAAGATTAAAGACACCATGGGACACAGCTAAGTTTCTCTTTCAAGTTATCCACCTGTTGTCTATACAGCTGCTGTTTACTGACGGCTCAGCAAAGAGCAGTGGGATTCTTATCCTATTTTTATGGTGATTTCTAACTTCTTGCTATTCCCTGGTCTAATTTCTATTAAGTACATTTCTCCCATGCACAAATGTCTACGCTTTCCAAAAAGAGAGAAACTTTATATCATTTGTTGTGATATCTGTGATTTTTCTAGTTCATATATTTCCTTTCTCTCATATAGTTAATAGTCTCACCGCATGGTGCCTTAGCAAAGTACAACGCACACGCCAGTGAGTTTTCTGCTCTTGGTTACTGCCGAGTGTCATGATGTAACGGGACTCTTCACCAATCTGCGACTTCCCACCGCCTCCACACAACCCAGAGGTAGACTTCCCCAGCCCCGATGTCTGCACGGATCATGGATGGGCCCAGCTGAACTTCTTCTGTAATACTATTCGATTCAGTTAACCGCCAGTGCTGGTTCTAATTCTAAATCTTGAGAAAGTGCCAAGTTTGGTGAAGAAAATATCCCCAGTGGTCCCTCCTCGCAGGAAGTCACTCTGCATCATCTCTGTACTTTCTTCTTTCTTGGACTTCCTTCCCTGCTGGGAGTGAATTGGCAGGGCTGAAGACTGAACAGTTTCATTAACACCTGCTTTGTTTCTGCTTTTCTGGACCACGCCAATGGGAGAGATGACAGGCAGCTATTGCACCTCTCTGGGTCCAGCCAGTGGCCTCAGTGCATTCTCTTTTATTCACAACTCAACCCCCTCCCCAAATGAACCCAGTCATTGTCCTCCACACGAGCTCCACACCAATTTCTGTCACATTCTTGTGATTGCAGGAAAAGTCAACACTGTTCAGCCTCCCTTTCTGATTTTTCCGAAGTCATTCCAGTATCGTCAAGTACCAGGCTGACCAAAAGAGGGTCTTCTATTCCTACTTATCCAATTCATTTTATTTTCACCAAGAAAACAAACACAAATATTCCCTGATATCTATAATGACAAACAAATCCTCTTATAAGTGACCTTTCGCATACAAATGTGTTAACCCGATAACTCCTCCTACATTGAAAACAATAGCTTTTTCTCCTGAATAGTCCTATCAAGCACTCCCTCACCTGATGAATATGCTTTTACAGAGTTCTTGTTTCCTAACAAAAAAGAGCATTTACCGCTTTCCCACCCTCACTGTTTACATTTCCCTCATCCCTCTCCTCTATATCAGGGCTGCCTGTCTTCCCATCTCATATTTATTATTAACTCCTCAAAATTGTGCTTTGTGAGACCTTCAGGTATGAAAGTTGTCAAAATCAAAATGAAGTCCCTGTGAGAAAGAAAGAAGAAAAGAAAATAAAGAAAAAAGAAAAGAGGCAGGAAGGGAGGGAGAGAGAGAAAGAAAGAAAAAGAAAAGAAAGAAAGAAAAGAAAGAAAGAAAGAAAGAAAGAAAGAAAGAAAGAAAGAAAGAAAGAAAGAAAGAAGAAAGGAAGAAAGAAAAGAAAAGAAAAAAGAAAAGAAGAAAGAAAAAAGAAAAGAAAACCTGACAGAGCCAGGAAGGCCATGAGGAGACAAGTTCTCCCACATAAATGCCTGATAATCACAAAAGGCTGCAAAAACCAGTCTTGCACAAAGGCTGTACAACCTTACACACACAAAAAATACTCCTGTAAGGACATCTGCCCAGCATCTGCCTGCCCAACCTTGGGCTGGTGTCGCTCTTGTTATTGACAAAGATAAGTATCTCAAAATAATTATGTAATCGTCCTCATTTTTCCTTTAAAAACCTTGGTCTTCCTTTGCATCCAAGAATATGTACATAGTTTACTATGGCATGCATATTCCCATTGCAAAGCCCTATTCCCAAATAAATACCATTTTCTTTTAAAGAGCCTCTCTGTTTGTTATTTAGGTTGACACATGACATACTACCCTGTTAAGGTGGCTGTTTGCTGAAAGCCATGCATCCACAAACAGACAATGGATTTGTGAATTACCAAAGAGGCCAGAGCCCAGATCCCAGAACCCTGAAAGCTACTATTTCTGACTTGAGCTAAGCAGAAAAAGAAGCTGCTGCCTAAGCGGAAATGAATTCCCCCTGCAATACAAAAGAATGATTAAGAGGCAGCTGCTATTATCATTGCTCTTTACCAGGTAAGAGCAATGATAATGTGTGTGTGTGTGTGTGTGTGTGTGTGTGTGTGTGTGTGTGTGTGTGTGTGTATCACATTTTCTTTATCCACTCATTGTTTGATGGGCATTTAGGCTGGTTCCATATTTTTGCAGTTGCAAATTGTGCTGCCCTATAAACATGCATGTGCAAGTGTCCTTTTCATGTAATGACTTCTTTTCCCCTGGGTAGATACCCAGTAGTGGGATTGCTGGATCAAATGGTAGTTCTACTTTTAGTTCTTTAAGGAATCTTCACACTGTTTTCCACAGTGGTTTTACTAGTTTACATTCCCATCAACAGTGTAAAAGTGTTCTCTTTTCACCACCTGCATGCCAACATCTATTATTTTTTTATTTTTTGATTATGACCATTCTTGCAAGAGTAAGGTGGAATCGCATTGTGGTTTTCATTTGCATTTACCTGATGATTAGTGATGTTGAGTATTTTTTCATATGTCTGTTGGCCATTTGTATATTTTCTCTTGAGAATTGTCTATTCATGTCCTTTCCCTACTTTTTGATGGGATTATTTGTTTTCTTTCTCGATGATTTGTTTGAGTGCCTTGTAGACTCTGGATATTAGTCCTTTGTTGGACGCATAGTTTGCAAATAATTTCTCCCATTCTGTGGGTTCTCTGTTTACTCTTATGCTTATTTCTCTTTCTGTACAGAAGCTTTTTAGTTTAATAAGGTTCCATCTATTTATTTTTGCTTTTGTTGCATTTGCTTTTGGTTTCTTGGTCTTGAAATATTTGCCTAAGCCAATGTCTAAAAGAGTTTTTTCCAATGTTATCTTCTAGAATTTTCATGGTTTCAGGTCTTAGATGTATGCCTTTGATCCATCTTGAGTTGATTTTTACACAAGGTGAGAGATGGGGATCCAGTTTCATTCTTCTACATGTGGCTGGCCAATTATCCCAGCACTTTTTGTTAATTGGGTGTCCTTTCTCCACTTTATGTTTTTGTTTGCTTTGTCGAAGATCAGTTGGCTGTAAGTATTTGTCTTTGTTTTGTTTTGTTTTCTTTTCTTTTTTTTTTTTTTTTTTTTTTTGAGACCGAGTCTCACTCTGTCACCCAGGTTGGAGTGCAGTGGCACGATCTCCACTCACTGCAACCTCTGCCTCTCAGGCTCAAATTATTCTCCTGGCTCAGCCTCCCAAGTAGCTGGGATTACAGGCATGTGCCACCATGCCTGGCTAATTTTTTGTATTTTTAGTAGAGATAGGGTTTCACCATGTTGGCCAGGCTGGTCTCCAACTCCTGGCCTCAAGTGATCTACCTGCCTTGGCCTCTCACAGTGCTGGGATTACAGGCATGAGCCACCACGTTGGCCATATTTGGCTTTATTTCTGGGTTCTCTGTTCAATCCCATTTGTCTATATGCCTATTTTTATACCAGTACCAGGCTGTTTTGCTAACTATAGCCTTGTAGTATAGTTTGAAGTTGGATAATGTGATGTGTCCAGATTTGGGTTTGTTTTTGTTTTTGTTTTTTGCTTAGCCTTGCTTTGGCTATGTGGGCTCCTTTTTGGTTCCATGTGAATTTTAGAGTTGTTTTTTTCTAGTTCTGTGAAGAATGATATTGGTATTTTGTTCAGAATTGCACTGAATCTATAGATTGCTTTTGACAGTATAGTTATTTTCACGATATTGATTCTACCTATCTGTAAGCATGGGATATGTTTCCATTTGTTTGTATCATTTATGATTTCTTTCAGCAGTGTTTTGTAGTTTTCCTTGTAGAGATCTTTCATCTCCTTGGTTAGGTATATTCGTAAGTTTTTTGTTGGTGCTGGTGGTGGGTTTTTTGTTTTTTTTTTTTTGGTTTGTTTGTTTGTTTGTTGGGAGCTGTTGTAAAAGGGATTGAGTTCCTGATTTGATTCTCAGGTTGGTCACTGTTAGTGTATAGCAGTGCTACTGATTTGTGTATATTGATTTTGTGTCCTGAAACTTTACTGAATTCATTTATCAGATATAGGAGCTTTTTGGATGAGTCTTTGGGGTCTTCTAGGTAAACAACCATATCATCAGTGAACAGCAACAGTTTGACTTCCTTTTTACCAATTTGGATGCCCTTTCTTTCTCTTGTCTGATTACTCTGGCTAGGACTTCTAGTACTATGTTACACTGAAGTGGCAAAAGTGGGCATCTTTGACTTGTTCCAGTTCTTGGGGGAATGCCTTCAACATTTCCTCATTCGGTGTTATGTTGGCTGTGGATTTGTCATAGATGGCTTTTATTACCTTGATATATGTCCCATCTACACCAATTTTGCTGAGGGTTTTTAATCATAAAGGGATGTTGGATTTTATCAAATGCTTTTCCTGCTTCTATTGAGATGATCATATGATTTTTGTTTTTAGCTCTGTTTATGTGGTATTTCACATTTATTGACTTTCATATGTTAAGCTATCCTGCATCCCTGGTATAAAACCCACTTGATCATGATGTATTATCTTTTTGATATGCTGTTGGATTTGGTTAGCTAGTATTTTGTTGAGAACTTTTGCATCTATGTTCATCAGAGGTATTGGTCTATAGTTTTCTTTTTTTGTATATCCTTCCCTGATTTTGGCATTAGGGCGATACTGGCTTTATGGAATGATTTGAGATGATTTAAGAAGGATTCCTTCTTTCTTTATCTTTTGGAATAGTTTCAGCAGGATTGGCGTAAATTCTTCTTTGAATGTCTGATAAAATTCAACTGTGAATCCATCTGGTCCTGGACTTTTTTCTGTTGGCAATTTTTTTATTACTGTTTCAATCTTGCTACTTATTGGTCTGTCCCGTGTTTCTATTTCTTCCTGATTTAATCTAGAAGGATTGTATATTTCCAGGAATTTTTCCATCTCTTCTAGATTTTTTAGTTTATGTGTGTAAAGTTATTCATAGTAGCCTTGAATAATCTTTTGTATTTCTGTGGTATCAGCTGTAATATCTCCTGTTTCATTTCTAATTGAGCTTATTTGGATCATCTCTCTTCTTTCCTTGGTTAATCTCACTAACGGTCTATCAATTTTGTTTATCTTTCCAAATAACCAGATTTTTGTTTTATTTATCTTTTGTATTGTATTTTTTGTTTCAATTTTATTTAGTTCTGCTCTAATCTTTGTTATTTCTTTTCTTCTGCTGATTTTGGGTTTGATTTGTTCTTGTTTATCTAGTTCCTTGAGGTGTGACCTTAGATTGTCTATTTTTGCTCTGTCAGACTTTTTGATGTAGGCCTTTAATGCTATAAACTTTCCTCTTAGAACCACTTTTGCTGTATCCGAGAGGTTTTGATAAGTTGTGACACTATTATCATTCGGTTCAAATAATGTTTTAATTTCCATGTTGATTTCATTGTTGACCCAAATATCATTCAAGAGCAAATTATTTAATTTCCATGTATTTGTATAGTTTTAAAAGTCCCTTTTGAAGTTAATTTCTAGTTTTATTACACTGTGGTCTGAGAGAATACTCGATATGATTTCAATTTTCTTAAATTTTTTGAGACTTGTTTTGTGGCCTATCATATGGTCTATCTTGGAGAATGTTCTATGTGCTGATGAAAAGAATGTATATTCTGAAGTTACAGATGTTCTGTAAACATGTTAAGTCCATTTTTTCCAGGGTATAGTTTATATCCATTGTTTCTTTGTTGACTTTCTGTCTTGATTATCTGTCTAGTGCTGTCAATGAGATATTGAAATCCCCTACTATTATTGTGTTACCATCTATCTCATTTCTTAGGTTTAGTAGTCATTGTTTTATGAATTTAGTAGCTTCAGTGTTAGGTGCATATATATTCAGGATTGTAACATTTTCCTGTTGGACTAATCCTTTTGTCTTTATATAATGTTCCTCTTTGTCTTTATTTACTGTTGTTGCTTTAAAGTCTGTTTTGTCTGACATAAGAATAGCTAATCCTGCTCACTTTTGGTGGCTGTTTGCATGGAATATCTCTCTCCACCCCTTTACCTTAAGTTTATGGGAGTTCATATTCATTAGGTGAGTCTGTTGAAGACAGCAGATACTTGGTTGGTGAATTTTTATCCATTCTGCCATTCTGTATCTTTCAAGTGAAGCATTTAAGCCATTTGCAATGTCAATATTGAGATGTGAGGTACTGTTCTATTCATCATGCTAGTTGTTGCCTAAATACCATGTTTTTTTCATTGTGTTATTGTTTTATAGGTTCTGTGAGATTTAAGCTTTAAGAAGGTTCTATTTTGGTGTACTCTGAGGTTTTCTTTGAGATTTGGAACTTCTTTTAGCATTTCTTGTAGTGCTAGTTCTCTAGTGGTGAATTCTCTTAGCATTTGTTTGTCTGAAAAAAACTTTTATCTCTCCTTCATTTATGAAACTTAGTTTTGCTGAATACAAAATTCTAGGCTGACAATTATTTTGTTTAAGGAGGCTACAAATAGGACTCCAATCCCTTCTGGCTTAAAAGGTTTCTGCTGAGAAACCAGCTGTTAGTCTGATAGGTTTTCCTTTATAGGTTGTCTGATGCTTTTGTTTCACAGGTCTTAAGATTCTTTCCTTTGTCTTGACTTTACATATCCTGATGACTATGTGCCTAGGTGATGATCTTCTTGCAATGAATTTCCCAACAGTTCTTTGAGCTTCTTGTATTTTAACATCTAGCTCTCCAGCAAGGCCAGGGAAGTTCTCCTCAATTATTCCCTCAAATATGTTTTTCAAACTTTTAGATTTCTCGTCTTCCTCAGGAACACCAATTATTCTTATGCTTGGTCATTTAACATAATCCCAAATTTCTTGGAAGCTTTGTTCAATTTTTTTTATTCTTTTTTTTTCTCTTTGTCTGATTGGGTTAATTTGAAAGCCTTGTCTTCAAGCTCTGAAGTTCTTTCTTCTACTTGTTCTAGTCTCTACTGAAAGTTTCCACTGCATTTTGTATTTCTTTACGTGTGTCTTTCATTTCCAGAAGCTGTGATTGTATTTTATTTATGATATCTATTTCTCTAGAGAATTTTAAGTCCATATCCTGTATTTTTTTTAATTTCTTGAAGTTAGTTTCTACCTTTCTCTGGTATCTCCTTGAGTAGCTTAATAATCAACCTTCTGAAATTTTTCTCTGGCAATTCAGATTTCTTCTTGGCTTGGAGCCATTTCTGGGGAGCTAGGGTGATTGTTGGGGATGTTATAGGACTCTGTTTTGTCATATTACCAAAATTACTTTTCCAGCCCATTGTCATTTGCATAGACTCTTTGTTTCTTTTCTTTCTTTCTTTTTTTTTTTTGAGACAGAGTCTTACTGTGTTGCCCAGCTGGAGTGCAGTGGCACAATCTCAGCTCATTTTCACCTCTCCCACCCAGGTTAAAGCAATTCTCCTCCCTCAGCCTCCTGAATAGCTGGGACTACAGGTGCCTGCCACCACGCCAGGCTAATTTGTAGTTTTAGTAGAGATGGGGTTTCGCCATCTTGCCAAGGCTGGTCTTGAACTCCTGACCTCATGATCCACCCACCTTGGCCTACCAAAGTCCTGGGATTACAGGCACGAGCCACCACGCCCGGCCTGGATAGACTGTTTCTTAAAATTGTTCTTGAATTTGGGGTGGCTGGCAAGATGGCCAATTGGGAACACCTCTAGTCTGCAGCTCCCAGAGAGATCAACCCAGAAGGAGGGTGATTTCTGCATTTCCAACTGAGGCACCTGGCTCATCTCATTGGGACTGGTTAGACAATGGGTATAGCCCATGTAAGGCAAGCCAAAGCAGAGTGGGGCAAGCAAGAGATCAGGGACCTCCCTCCCCTAGCCAAGGGAAGCCATGAGGGACTGTGCTGTGAGGAATGGTTCATTACAGCCCAGATACTACACTTTTCCCATGGTCTTCACAACCTGCAGACCAGGAGATTCCCTTGGGTGCCTACACCACCAGGGCCCTACGTTTCAAGCACAAAACTGGGTGGCTGTTTGGGCAGACACCGAGCTAGCTGGAGTTTTTTTTCATACCCCAGTGGTGCCTGAAATGCCAGCGAGACAGAACCATTCAATCCCCTGGAAAAGGGGGCTGAAGCCAGGGAGCCAAGTGGTCTAGCTGAGTGGATCCAAGCCCCACAGAGCCCAGCAAGCTAAGATCCACTGGCTTGAAATTCTCGCTACCAGCACAATAGCCTGGAGTCGACCTGGTACATTTGAGCTTGGTGTGGGGAGGGGCATCTTCCATTACTGAGGCTTGAATAGGCGGTTTTCCCCTCACAGTGTAAACAAAGCCTCAGGGAAGTTCAGACTGGGCAGAGCCCACCACAGCTCAACAAAGCTGCTATAGCCAAACTGCCTCTCTAGATTTCTCCTTTCTCGGCAGGGCATCTCTAAAAGAAAGGCAGCAGCCCCACTCAGGGGCCTATAGATAAAACTCCCATCTCCCTGGGACAGAGCACCAGAGGGAAGAGGCGGCTATGGGCACAGCTTCAGCAGACTTAGATGTTTCTGCCTGCCAGCTCTGAAGAGAGCAGCAGATCTCCCAGCACAGCACTCATGCTCTGCTAAGGGACAGACTGCCTCCTCAAGTGTGTCCCTGATCCTCGTGCCTCCTGATTGGGAAACACCTCCCAGCAGGGGTCGACAGATACCTCATACAGGAGAGCTATGACTGTTATCTGATGGGTGCCCCTCTGGGATGAAGCTTCCAAAGGAAGGAACAGGCAGCAATCTTTGCTGTTTTGCAGCCTTCGCTGGTGATACCCAGGCAGACAGGGTCTGGAGTGGACCTCCAGCAAACTCGAGCAGACCTGCAGCAGAGGGGCCTGGCTGTTAGGAGGAAAACTAACAAACAGGAAGGAATAGCATCAACATCAACAAAAAGGATGTCCACACAAAAACCCCATCTGAAGGTCACCAGCATCAAAGACCAAAGGTAGATAAATCCACGAAGATGGAAAAAAACAGCACAAAAAGGCTGAAAATTCCAAAAACCAGAATGCCTCTTCTCCTCCAAAGGATCACAACTTCTCACCAGCAAGGAAACAAAACTGGATGGAGAATGAGTTTGACTAATTGGCAGAAGTAGGCTTCAGAAGATGGGTAATAACAAACTCCTCTGAGCTAAAGGAGCATGTTCTAACCCATGCAAGGAAGCTAAGAACCTTGAAAAAAGGTTAGAGGAATTGCTAACTAGAATAACCAGTTTAAAGAAGAACATAAATGACCTGACGGAGCTGAAAAACACAGCACAAAAACTTCATGAAGTACACACAAATATCAATAGCTGAATCAAGCAAGCAGAAGAAAGGATATCAGAGATTGAAGATCAACTTAATGAAATAAAGCATGAAGACAAGATTAGAGAAAAAAGAATGAAAAGGAATGAACAAAACTTCCAAGAAATATGGGACTATGTGAAAAGACCAAATCAACGTTTGATTAGTGCACCTAAAAGTGATGGGGAGAATGGAACCAAATTGGAAAATACTCTTTAGGATATTATCCAGGAGAATTTCCCCAAGCTAGCAAGATAAGCCAACATTCAAATCCAGGAAATACAGAGAACACCACAGAGATACTCCTCGAGAAGAGCAACCCAAAGACACATGATCATCAGATTCACCAAGGTTGAAATGAAGGAAAAAATGTTAAGGGGAGCCAGAGAGAAAGATCAGGCTACCCAGAAAGGGAAGCTCATCAGACTAATAGTGGATCTCTCTGCAGAAACCTTACGAACCAGAAGAGAGTGGGAACAAATATTCAACATTCTTAAAGAAAGTAATTTTCAACCCAGAATATCCAGACAACTAAGCTTCATAAGCGAAGGAAAACTAAAATCCTTTACAGACAAGCAAATGCTAAGAGATTTTACCACCACCAGGCCTGACTTACAAGAGCTCCTGAAAGAAGCACTAAATATGGAAAGGAAAAACCAGTACCAGCCACTGCAAAAATATACCAAATTGTAAAGACCATCAACCCAATGAAGAAACTGCATCAACTAATGGGCAAAATAACCAGCTAGCACCATAATGACAGGATCAAATTCACACATAACAATACTGACCTTAAATGTAAACAGTCTAAATGCCTTAATTAAAAGACACAGACTGGCAAATTGGATAGTCAAGACCCGTCAGTGTGCTGTATCCAGGAGAACCATCTCATGTGAAAAGACACACATGGGCTCAAAATAAAGGGATGGAAGAATATTTATGAAGCAAATGGAAACCAAAAAAACCAGGGATTGCAATCCTAGTCTCTGATAAAACAGACTTTAAACAAACAAAGATCCAAAAAGACAAAAAGGACATTACATAATTGTAAAGGTATCAATGCAACAAGAAGACCTAACTGTCCTAAATATATATGCACCCAATACAGGAGCACCCAGATTCATAAAGCAAGTTCTTAGAGACCTACAAAGACACTTAGACTCCCACACAATAATAGTGGGAGACTTTAACACCCCACTGTCAATATTAGACAGATCAATGAGACAGAAAATTAACAAGGACATTCAGGACTTGAATGCAACTCTGGACAAAGCGGACCTAATAGACATCTACAGAACTCTCCATCCCAAATCAACAGAATGTACTTTCTTTTCAGAACCACACTGCACTTATTCTAAAATTGACCACATAATTGGAAGGAAATCACTCCTCAGCAAATGCAAAGGAACAGAAAGCATAACAAACAGTCTCTCAGACCACAGTGCAATCAAACTAGAACTCAGGATTAGGAAACTCACTCAAAACCACACAACTACATGGAAACTGAACAACCTGCTCCTGAATGACTACTGGGTAAATAACAAAATTAAAGCAGAAATAAATAAGTTCTTTGAACCAATGAGAACAAAGACACAACATACCAGAATCACTGGGACACAGCCAAAGCAGTGTTTAAGGGAAATTTATAGCACTAAATGCCCACAGGAGAAAGCAGGAAAGATCAAAAACTGACACTAACATCACAATTAAAAGAACTAGAGAAGCAAGAGCAAACAAATTCAAAAGCTAGCAGAAGACAAGAAATAACTAAAATCAGAGTAGAACTGAAGGGGATAGAGACACATAAAACCCTTCAAAAAATCAATGAATCCAGGAGCTGCGTTTTTGAAAAGATTAACAAAATAGATAGACCGCCAGCCAGACTAATAAAGAAGAAAAGAGAGAAGAATCAAATAGACACAGTAAAAAAATGATAAAGGAGATATCACCACTGATCCCACACTAATACAAACTACCATCAGAGAATACTATAAACACCTCCATGCAAATAAACTAGAAAATCTAAAAGAAATGGATAAATTCCTGGACATATATACCCTCCCAAGACTAAACCAGGATGAAGTCGAATCTCTGAATAGACCAATAGTAAGTTCTGAAATTGAGGCAGTAATTAATAGCTTAACAACCAAAAAAAAAGCCCAGGACCAGACAGATTCACAGCCGAATTCTACCAGAGGTACAAAGAGGAACTGGTACCATTCCTTTTGAAACTATTCCAGACAATAGAAAAAGAGGCACTCTTCCCTAACACATTTTATGAGGCCAGCATCATCCTGATTAAAAAAAAAAAAAAAAAAAAACCTGGCAAAGACACAGCAAAAAAAGAAAATTTCAGGCCAATATCCCTGATGAACAGCAACACGAAAATCCTCAGTAAAATACTGGCAAACCGAATTCAGCAGCACATCAAAAAGCTTATCCACCACGATCAAGCTGGCTTCATCCCTGGTATGCAAGGCTGGTACAACATACGGAAATCAACAAACATAATCCATCACATAAACAGGACCAATGACAAAAATCACATGATCATCTCAGTAGATGCAGAAAAGGTCTTCAATAAAATTCAACACCCCTTCATGCTAAAAACTCTCAATAAACTAGGTATTGATAGAACATATCTCAAAATAATAACAGCTATTTATGACAAACCCACAGCCAGTATCATACTGAATGGGCAAAAGCTGGAAGCATTCCCTCTGAAAACAAGTACAAGACAAGTATGCCCTCTCTCACCACTCTACTCACATAGTATTGGAATTTATCACCAGGGCAAGCAGGCAAGAGAAAGAAATAAAGGTATTCAAATAGGAAGAGAGGAAGTCAAATTGTCTCTGTTTGCAGATTACATGATTGTATATTTAGAAAACCCCATCAACTCAGCCGAAAATCTCCTTAAGCTGATAAGCAACTTCAGCAAAGTCTCAGGATACAAAATCAATGTGCAAAAATCACAAGCATTCCTATACATCAATAATAAACAAACAGAGAGCCAAATCATGAGTGAACTCCCATTCACAATTGCTACAAAGAGAATAAAATACCTAGGAATACAACTTACAACGGATGTGAAGGACCTCTTCAAGAAGAACTACAAACCACTGCTCAATGAAATAAGAGAGGACACAAACAAATGGCAAAACATTTTGTGCTCTTGGATAGGAAGAATCAATATCATAAAAATGGCCATAGTGCCCAAAGTAATTTATAGATTCAATGCTATACTCATCAAGCTACCATTGACTTTCTTCATAGAATTATAAAAAACTACTTTAAATTTTCTATGGAACCAAAAAAGAGCCTGTATAGCCAAGAAAATCCTAAGAAAAAAGAATAAAGCTGGAGGCATCACACTACCTGACTTCAAACTATACTATAAGGCTACAATAAACAAAACAGCATGGTACTGGTACCAAAAAAGATATATAGACCAATGGAACAGAACAGAGGCCTCAGAAATAATGCCACACATCTTCAACCATCTGATCTTTGACAAACCTAACAAAACAAGAAATGGGGAAAGCATTCCCTATTTAATAAATGGTGTTGGGAAAACCGGCTAGCCATATGCAGAAAACTGAAACTAGACCCCTTCCTTACACCTTATACAAAAAATTAGCTCAAGATGGATTAAAGACTTAAACGTAAGACCTAAAACCATTAAAACCCAGAAGAAAACCTAGGCAATACCATTCAGGACATAGGCATGGGCAAAGACTTCATGTCTAAAATACCAAAAGCAATGGCAACAAAAGCCAAAATTGACAAATGGGATCTAATTAAACTAAAGAGCTTCTGCACAGCAAAAGA
The DNA here is from genome assembly GCF_000001405.40 of Homo sapiens. Classification (NCBI taxonomy): domain Eukaryota; kingdom Metazoa; phylum Chordata; class Mammalia; order Primates; family Hominidae; genus Homo; species Homo sapiens. The sequence continues at coordinate 57,956,480 of NC_000014.9, forward strand.
AACTATCATCAGAGTGAACAGGCAACCTACAGAACGGGAGAAAATTTCTGCAATCTATCCATCTGACAAAGGGCTAATATCCAGAATCTACAAGGAACTTAAACAAATTTACAAGAAAAAAACAAACAACCCCATGAAAAAGTGGGCAAAGGATAATAACAGACACTTCTCAAAAGAAGACATTTATGTGGCCAACAAACATATGAAAAAAAAGCTCACCATCACTGGTCATTAGAGAAAAACAAATCAAAATCACAATGAGATACCATCTCATGCCAGTTAGAATAGCGATCATTAAAAGTCAGGAAACAACAGATGCTGGAGAGGATGTGGAGAAATAGGAGCACTTTTACATGTTTGGTGGGAATGTAAATTAGTTCAACCATTGCGGAAGATAGTGTGGCAATCCTCAAGGATCTAGAACCAGAAATACCATTTGACCCAGCAATCCCATCACTGGGTATATACCCAAAGGATTATAAATCATTCTACTATAAAGACACATGCACATGTATGATTATTGCAGCACTGTTCACAATAGCTAAGACTTGGAACTAACCCAAACGTTCATCAATGATATATTGGATAAAGAAAACGTGGCACATATATACCATGGAATACTATGCCGCCATAAAAAGGATGAGTTCATGTCCTTTGCAGGAACATGGATAAAGCTGGAAACCATCATTCTCAGCAAACTAACACAAGAACAGAAAACCAAACACCACATGTTCTCACTCATAAGTGGGAGTTGAACAATGAGAACACATGGACATAGGGAGGGGAATATCACACACCGGGGACTGTCAGGGGGTAGGGGCTAGGGGAGGGATAGCATTAGGAGAAATACCTAACGTAGGTGACAGGTTGATGCATGCAGCAAGCCACTATGGCACGTGTATAACTAGGTAACAAAACTGCACGTTCTGCACACGTACCCCAGAACTTAAAGTACAAAAAAAAAACTGCAATGAATGGATTCCATATATACAAATTTTGCAAATTCACCTACTAGTGAAAATTTAATTGTAATCTCAAAATCAATACTCACGGCACTTTCTCAGTCATTTGTAGACATGTAAGGAGCAGTGGAAATTTTCAATTGCCCAACATGAACATTCCCAGCTAAGATCAAACAAGATGACACACTCAGCCCTCTTGCTTCAGCAATCATGCAGAGACAACCAGAGGATAGAGGCAGAGAAGGAGGCAGCAAAGGGTAGTGCAAGAAGCTCCGGCTCTAGGGTCAGTTAGATGTGGCTTGAATACCAATTCTGGCACCCATTAGCAGTGCAACCTGAGGCAAGTCACTCACTTCTGAACTTTGTCTTCTCTTCATAAAATAAAGAAATAGAATCTATCTGAATGAGTTATTTTTAGGATTTAGGATTATAATCTATGTAATACACACACACACACTTACGTATATATTTCCCCTAGGAACAATGATTCATTATTCACGAATTCAGTGTTTGCTGTGACTTTATAGAAAATAACTGCTGCAAGTAATGAGAATTGACTATACTATGCAGTCCTAAAAAAGAATGAAGTATACAGTATAACATATTAATTAGATGAAATTTTTTTTTTTTTTGAGATGGAGTCTTGCTCTGTCGCCCAGGCTGCAGTGCAGTGGCGCGAAATCTCAGCTCACCGCAAGCTCTGCCTCCCAGGTTCACGCCGTTCTCCTGCCTCAGCCTCCCCAGCAGCTGGGACTACAGGCGCCCGCCACCACGCCCGGCTAATTATTTTGTATTTTTAGTAGAGACGGGGTTTCACCATGTTAGCTGGGATGGTCTCAATCTCCTGACCTCGTGATCTGCCCGCCTCAGCCTCCCAAAGTGCTGAGATTACATGCGTGAGCCACTGCGCCAGGCAATTAGATGAATGTTGAAAACATTATGCTCAGTGAAAGGAGCCAGTCACAAAAGGTATGCATGGTTTCATTTATATGAAATGTCTAGAATAGCCAAATCCTCAGAGATGCAAAGTAGATTAGTGGTTGCTAGGGTCTGGGGTAGAGGGGAATGGGGGTGTGGCTGCTAGTGGATACAGAGTTTCTTTCTAGGGGTTGAAAGTGTTCTAGAATTAGGTGGTGGTGATGGTTGAATACTTCGTGTGTATACCAAAAACCACTGAGCTCTATACTTTAAAAGGGTGAGTGTTATGATATGTGAATTATATCTCAACTAAAAAAATGGTATTCCACTACAAACCTTTTTAGGAATGCCTAAAATTTTAAAAACTGGCAATACCAAGCGCTGAGTAGGATGTGGAAGACTTAGAACTCTCATACATTGATGATAGGAATGTCCCACTCAATGTTCGCATGCCACTTCATCAGGGTGCACAAGGCCACTCTACTCACAGCAGGTCCTGCCTAGAAGGTCTAACTCCCCGTAGAGAGAGGGTTACAAAAGTTAGACATCGTCAGAATCCCTTCCAAATGCTCTGGAGGAGAGTGGCATGGTGCCAGTTTTAGAACATTCAAAGGAAAAACAAAGCCAGAGGTGCAGCCATGCAGACTGGGTCCATGTGGCAGGGACAGGAACAAGAATGGGCACCAAAATAGGAAGGACAAGGAGAGAGGGAAGGGGCAGGAGAAGGATGGCTATCATCTATTGACCACTTACTGCATGCTGGGCCCTGACCTAGGCACTGTGTGAACAATACTTTCATATTTTGTATGGTATATGTACTGCTGGTTGCAATGCCAGATTCTTTCAAAGGTATAAAAAAGCAGGTTTTTTAACTTTAAGAATAATAAAATTTTTGTCACCTTCTATTATGGCTTCTCACTTATGGTAGTAATGTAAAGTTTCCTTTTTAAAATATTTTTAAAACTTTAAGTCACCTTGAGGAAAATCTCAAATGAAAGCAAAAATTATAAAGGCAGTACATGTGTATCTGAAATGTAGGAAATCCAGCATTATCTCTTCTGATACTTGAAGTAACACAGCCTGAGGAAGATGGATTTAGCCCCGGGTTACAGAAAAGGAAATTGAGGTTCTACCCATACACTCATACAGTCAGAAATTAACATCAGGCCTGTCTGACTCTAAAATGCATGGCTGAATTCAGCAGACCCTACTGTCCAAGAGCTCCCTAGCCATGACAAATGTGACCACTTTCGCAGCCGAAAGCCATGAGCAGCACTGTAGGTTGAAGATTCAACACCCCGAGACCTGTGACCTTAGACAAGTGATTTATCTTCCATTGAGCCCCATTTTCTTTATCTGAAAACGAGGATGGTAACAATACCTACCTCATATATTTGTAGTGAGGATTTGTTAAGAGCTTAGTAAAATGCCTGGCACAGACAAAGAACCCCGTAAATGTCAGTTACAATTGCTATGGTTACTGATATTAATAAGACTCTTCCAGGCTTTTAGACTGAGGCTATGGACAATCCTGGTCAGGCAGCATTGAAAAATGAACTGGGCCGAGACTCCACCTTGGAAGAGGGCACCAGGACTCCTGCTGGGAATGGCTGGGACAAGCAGGTTTTGACCAGGAGTGCTTGTGATACTACCCAGAGACAGGGCTCTGGAGCCAGTCTGCCTGAGGGGGACAAGTTACTGAACTTCTCCATGCCTCAGTCTCCTAGTCAGCAAAATGGGAGTAATGAGAATAGTTACCTTCTAGGATAACATGGTAAGGGTTATGTGTGAGCCACTTTTACCAGATTCTCTTTTCTCTCTGAGGAAGCTGGTGATTGCAGTAATATCTGCTCAGAAGATCCTGGCAGTGAACCAAGACCTCAGTGCCCACAGATGCCCTTGGTGCCTATTGTGAACACTGCCCCAAGAAGGACCAGTGGCCTGGGAGCTCACTCAGACGTCACATGACAAAGGGCTCTGCCTCTGGCCATCACATCCATCGGGAAACTTCTAATGTCCCTTCTGTTCCCCTCCCCCTTCCAGGGGACCCACCTTTCTGAAAAACATTTAACCCCAAGCATTTCTTAATTTCTCCAAGTGTCTTTCTTTTCCTATTATTCTGCTGACCTCTACCTGGACAAGGAGAGAGGAAAGGGGTAGGAGAAGGATGATACTTAAGAATGCTCAATTATGAGAAGCAATGAACACAAACATAATCAATAGGCCTTGGATTGTGCTGCCAGCAACCTTAAACAGGAAGTTAGAAAAGGATCAAAGACTCTGGCAGGGGAAGTAACTTTATTTATGTTGATGTTGATCCCTAGAGGTAACTAAGAGATTTATTCTCTTCTAAATTTCATGAGCAGTTTCCTGGTAGGTAGGCAGAAAATCCACAGCATAAGAAATCAAGGAGCCATTAGAGTGAGGACAGAGGCCAGTGGAAGAAGTTAGGCTGACTACCAAGGAGGTGGCCCAGGTCCCTCTGCAGCTCCTGGTGTGTGCTGTTTCCCCTCAGCACTTGCATCCACCTCACCTTGAACAAGTGTGTAAATCTGACCTGGGGCCCCTGGGGAAATACTGCCAGCCTTTCTGCAAGACCCTGAACACATGTGAAGAGTGAGGTTTCCCAACCAGCTATCAGAGGGGCCGGAGCACACGTGTGGTGCTGGCAATGGACCCCCAACTCAGGCTCTGGCTCGTCAAGAAGATACGTGGGGCAAGTGAGTCAGCTGCTTCAGCCTCCCATGCTGCGACGGAGAGACGTGATTTTCAGGCTGCTGTCACTTGAGCTGGACCCAAGGACTCATGGTTACTCAGCCGTGCGCACCCGTCTGGCTTCCTCGTACCCCACAAAAATCTGCACTGGGACCAAATACCATCTCTTGAAAAATTATTTTTAATAATTCATTGGCTTACTGGGAGGTGTAGAATCCCAGCAGGACACTGAGGATATCAGAGGAGGAAAGGGAAAATTTTTGGCAGGCTGCATTGCAGAGCTGAGGACAGAGCAGCGCCACAGAGTAAACACGTCCTGAGGAGAGAGGAGAGTCCTGAAGTTAACTGTGATTCTATGAAACCACAGGGCAAGTCACACTCCTTAGGTCTTTTCCTCCCTGCATCCATGCTTGTCCCTGTTATAGTCTACCATCCTCATGTCAGCCTTGGCTATCACTTTAAACATTAAAACTGAATGTGATTGGGTCCCTTAATTGCTTAAAGCCTTTCAGTGCTCTTGGGTTAAAGTGCAAGACTCTTAAGATGCCTATAATTCCTGGCGGGATGGCTGCCCTACCTCCCCGGCTTCTTCTCCTGACATGCTTCTCTTGCCCATGACTTTATGTCCAGCCGCACTGGAGGCCCATCCCCTGGATCTTTGCCCACACTGCTCCCTCCATCTGGAATGCTTCAGCCTATTTGCCCAGTTAATTCCTTTTCATTCCTCAAGCCTCAGCCCTCCCTGCCTCAACTGACGACTTTAAGCCCTCTTATTATATGTCCTCATGGGCCCCTGTGGGTTTTCTCCCTAGCTCTTATTGTACTTACTTATCAGTGTGAGTATCTGTTTTACAAATGCCTCCCTCTCCTCCTGAGAGACTGAATTACCCAACACCTGGAGCAGGGTACATGCCCAGTAAATATTTTTGAAGGAATAACTAAATAAGGGGATGAATGGATCGGCCAATAATAAATGATTTTACAGGACTTGCTTAAGGTTGTGCAGCTGGAATCTCAACTCAGTCCTGCTTAAGCCAAAACTTATGCTCTAGATAACTGTATTTTTACTTGCAGTTTAAAAACTTCTTTGAATCTATGATTTTATCCTTGCATTTCAAAATTCTCCAAAAAGAAGAAACATTACAACTATACAGTGAGAAGAAAAGTACTGAATGGACCAAGAGTCCAGGATTAAAGAGATTAGAGTTCTGGGTGGTCTGTTGGAAAGGCAGTGAAAAACAAGAACCAAGTAGACAGAACTCCAGGAGGATGTGGCCTGACCCTGACTAGCTGCTCCCGGGATCTAAGCTCAGATCAGTCCCTGTGAGCAGCCCTGGCAGCTCCCATTAAGCCAGCAGTGGCTGCGGCGCAGATTCTCGGCCCTGCCTCAACCTAAATTAGGAAAAGGAGCCCCTTCCTCAAGGCATTCCTGCCCCCTGCTGAAAGTCATCTAATCCTACAGGACATCTCAAGGCCTATGTGTGGGGCTCCCCAGAGCTGTGCAAAGCACAACCTGCACGATCATAAGCAGCAACCCAGAGGGATGAAAGGTCCATTAAATAAGGTCATGATTGAAACCGTGAGAAACTTGGGAATCGCTTGGCCGTGCTTCTTTGCATAAAGAAAACTTCCCTGCTGGTTTGTCTCCCAGGAGAAATTTTGTAAAATTTTGTAAAGGAGAATTTTGTCTCCTCCCACAGCTTCTGGCCATGCTCCTCCCTGCTCTCCCTCCCTGCTGCTGCAACTTCTAGCAGCACACTGCGCAAAACCTCAGGCTCGTTCATTCTTTTGTTCCTTAAACATTTAATGCACGTCAATCCTGCAACAGGCTGTGTGCCGGAGGTTGGGGGAACAGAAATGAACAAAGCAGAGTCTTTTTCTCCACTAAATAGGGGGGAAAAAAGAAAAAAAATACTGCTCTGCAGTACTGCCTTGGCTGCTAGAAGCTACCAGGGTAACCCAGGTTGCAAGTGTCAAAAATGAGAACAGGAGGGAGTTGCTCAAAGGTCACTCCTTCATCTAGACCCTCTCTCTTGAGTGACAGACATTCTATGGGAGTTCTGACCTCTTCTCAGGTTAAAATTCAGGATGAATTCCTAGCCTTGTTTGCTTTCAGCCACATGGATTTTTCCAACCCTTCTATGGGAATGGTGGCTGCTGGACAAGGGAGCCAGTCCAGCCTCCAGCAGGTCAGGTGCTTGCTTCTTCTCATGCTCTCATGATGTGGCTTGCTGTCCTCTGAAGCTGATTAACTGGGGCAAGACTGACCAACACAGATGCAGGCATGAGCACCCTCACAGGGCAAAGGACAGGACGTGTCTTCAGGAGCTTGTTGCTCACATCTTCTCAGCCCAGCAGCCCCTGGGGCTGGAGGCTCATTGGACTAAAAGAACGAAGGGACACAATTTCAGCAGCAGGTCCTGCAGTGCTGTGTTCTAGAAAGCAGAAAAAAATGAGCTGCCACCAAACATAAATGAACCATCTGACTTTCGTGGAGTCGGTCAGCCTATCAGTAGTCAGTGTTTACAGCGGGCTCACAGCACGTGGAACTGTCTGGGTGCTGAGAAAGAGACAGACGACCCAGGACTCATCTTTGACCCAGAGCCCACCCAACCCCCAGAACATTCATTCTAGCTCCTTTTTTTTTTTTTTTTTTTTTTTTTTTCAGAGACAAGTCTCATTTTGTGGCCCAGGCTGGAGTGCAGTCGTGCAATCGTATTTCACTGCCACTTCAACTTCCTGGGCTCAAGGGATCTTCACACTTCAGTCTCACATGTAGCTGAGACTACAGGCACATGTCACCATGCTCGGCTAATTTTTTAATTTTTTGCAGAGATGGGGTCTCGTCATCTTGCCCAGGCTATTCTCAAACTCCTGGGCTCAAGCAATCTCCCACCTCGGCCTCCCAAAGTGCTGGGATTACAGGCATGAGCCACCATGCCCAGCCCTAGCTCATCTTCATAAACAGAATAGCTGATCAGGAGCAATTGTAGTTGAGCATTTATTGGGCAGGCAGACTTTGGGAAGACTCTGTTCTCTTTACTCAGAGGATAAATCACCTTCTTGGCAAATGTGGGTCTGATTTCAAGAGTCTCAGGAGGAGGAAAGAGCCATGAGGAAGAAAGAGAGGAAGCTAGCTTGGCTAGCTAGTGAAGGGGTCCTGGGGGAAGGATCACCCACTTGTAACAATCCACTAACCTGTTACAAGTGTGTCCAGCTTCTCGGCAGAAGTATCAGAATAGGAGGAAGACACCAAAGTAGGACAGAGGGAAGTGAAAGATGTACTTTGATTGTGGCTGGAATCTTGCTCCCAGGAAGAAAGACTCTAAATTTAAAAAAAAAATCAAAGCTCTTGCAGGAAAACTCGAAACAATACTCCTTACTCTCTCAAAATGCTTCAAAGTCTAAAAATATGGAACCTACTTTTCTAAGTAGCCTAAACAAGTCAACGGACATTTATCTTGGCAGTCAAGAGATTAAAATGATGATTTTTCAAATTCTTTTCTTCCTCCATCTGACCTCACCATTCCTAACCTATTATTTTCCTGGGAGGAAGGAGCCTTTTTTATTCTCTGTGGGAGGAAGAGGTTGTGCAGAATTCCTCATGTTGGTGCAGAAACACTGCATTGGTGCATGTAAAAGGCCTCAAGGTGGGGAAGGTAGAGGAGTCTCAGAACCACAGGCACCATGGCAGTGAAGGGTGGCATGCATTGGTGAGAGGGGGCAGAGGGAGGGAAATTACAATGCAGGGAGAAGATTACAGTTACTGTTTTTGGAGAAGGTCTTTGTATAAATATTCTTAGCACACATGTTGAGATTTTAGGGGCATCACTAGGCTTCCATGTGCCTCCAGGTATCTCTCAAACTTGTCTTTCATAATGATTAATGCTCCCATGGGGGAAAAAAAAAAAAAAAAAATATATATATATATATATATAGTTTCAGACAAAGGTTTCACGACTCCAAGAGGCCACACTTAGTGTATTAGTTTCATATTGCTGCTGTTACAAATTACCACAAACTTAGTGGATTAAACCAACACAAAATTATTATCTCACAATAATTCTGTAGGTCAGGAGTCTGACAAGGGTCTCACTGGGTTAAAAATTCTGCATTCCTGTCCGGAGAAGTTAAGCAAGAATATATTTCCTTGCCTTTTCCAGCAGCCAGCACTCCTTGAGTTATTGTTCCTTCCTCCAAATCTTCACAGCCAGCAGTAGCAGGTTGAGTCTTTTTCACCTTGCATCATTCACATCTCCTTTTCTACCTCCTCTTCTACTTTTAAGGACCTCTTGGTGATTAAATTGGGCCCACCCACCCAGATAACCCAGGATAACCTCGCTATCTTGAGATTGGCTGTTTATCAGCTTTAATTTCATCTGCAATCTTAATTCCCCTTTACATGTAAGATCACATACCCACAGGTTCCAGGGATTTGGACAAGGACTTCTTTGGGGAGGCAATTTTTCTGTCAACCACACCTAGCATGCATATTTGTTACCTGGGACTGATAATCCTAAATTATAACATTAAATAACGTCCACTCTGAAGAATGCATAAAATGAGCTCCTGAGGCTTTGGCCAGGCACATTTTGAAAAGAAGGAATCAAAAACAGGTCATCTTATTAGTACCTAAAAGGCTGGAGGTCCTAATGGGGACCCAATGCTTAATGTGAGGAGGTGGGAAAGGAAACAAAGAGTAGGTCCATAAACCTATTTGCCCTGCTCTTTATTTCTGGTTTCAAGTATGCCCAAAGATGTTTAACCACGAAGGCTTTTAACCACCCATTCCAAGGCTCTCCACACCTAAGCAGCCTGATTTCCTTCCCTCTTCATGGTATCTTTCTGCTTTGTAATCTCTGGGCCAACGAAAAGGACAGAGCAGGCCTTGACAAAGCATTTGGCAGCAGTAACTGCCAGTAGGACCCAGCAATGTTTCTCAATGTGTGGCCCACAATTCACCTGTATCAGAATCCTCTGACACATTTTATCAAATTCTGGGAGTAGGATCCAGGAATCTGCATTTTAAAGAGTTCTTTCATGACGCTGATGCAAGCTAAAGCTTGACGACCTCTAATTTACTGTTCCCTAATCTATGACCAGACTCTCCCAGCTCTTAGCAGCTCCCACAATTTGCCTAATCAATGTTCTATCCCTACTGTGATTCTCAGACAAAAAATATTTTTAACAGCATAACTTTTGTTCTCCTGCCTAGAGAGAGAAGAACAGACAGCGTAATATTTCAGTTCGGTTCTATGTTCTGTAATTGGGAATTCTGTAATATATCTTAAATATTAACCAAAAAGATGAAAACTGATTGATGCATAATTCATTAGTGGAGCTATTAGACCAAAGTACCTTTCAGAATTTAACAAATTGACCCATAAACCATTTAAAAATCACAAAAGAAACAGTGTTGATTTATGCAGTTTGATTCTGGTTGTGAATAAATACAGTATAAAAGGAATATAATATTATATCACTGCTGACAAACTACCAATCCCAAGCAATTTACGTGGGGAATAGAGAAAGCACTTCTTAGAAATTAAAAATCTGAAAAACTTAAAAACAGTTTTAAAGGGGAAAAGAGGCAGAAGTCTCAGAACAAATCTAAGATCAGATTGGTGTTTTTCATTAGCAATTGAAATACATAGGCTAGGTGCAGTGGTACACGCCTGTAATCCCAGCACTTTGGGGGACCAAGGCAGGTGGATCACCTGAAGTCAGGAGCTCGAGACCAGCCTGGCCAACATGGCGAAACCCCGTCTCTACTAAAAATACAAAAATCAGCCGGGCATGGTGGCACATGCCTGTAATTCCAGCTACTCAGGAGACCGAGGCAGGAGAATCGCTTGAACCCAGGAAGCAGAGATTGCAGTGAACTGAGATTGCGCCTCTGCGTTCCAGCCTGGGTAACAGAGCAAGACTCCATCTCAAAAAAAAAAAGAAGAAAAGAAAAGAAATTCATAAAAGTTAGCAGCAATCTGAATTATTACTCAGAATAAAAAAGAACAAAATTTTAAAGATAATAATATTTTCATATATGACAATCTTTTACTTTTCTCCCTTTGACTTTATCATTTTAATTACTTTTGCAACCTTTAATCCAATCATTAGGTAGCCTTCTCTTTGAAAGAAGACAATTTTAAGGAAATTTTTAATTGTGTAAGTATAAATAAATAAATACATCATATAAAATAAAAATGTCATTACTGTTAAGGCTGACAGCCCCTTTGACCATCTTCCCAATTAATCCAGTCCCTCCTCCTCTCCCCAGAGGTAAGCGCTGATTGCAGTTTGTAATATATTCTTCTACATCCTATTCCATATGGTTACATGCATGTGTCCATGAAAAGCATTCAGAATTGTTTGGAGCATTTTTAACATAAATAGTATCATACTGTACACAGTCTTCTACAACTTAACTTTTTTCTCCATTAGGCCTCAGAGAACTCTTCTCATATATAGTAGTAACTGTGTGCCAAATTTTGTTTTAACGTCTGGCACATATTATCTAATTTAATCCTCGTAGCAATCCCTTGAAATAGGTATTATTATCATCATTTCTCAGCTAGGGCAACTGATCTGGGTTTCCAAAGCACAGGGAGTAGTAAAGCAACTTGCTTCCACAATCACACAGCTTGTAAGTTGGTGTAGAGTTAAAAATTATAAACCTCAAATAATTTAAATTACCATTGACCTAAATTGAGACAAGAAGTCATCAACTTCAATAGCAGGAGCCCTCATATGATATAAGTGCTTCCCAAATTCATGCAAAGAATTAACAATTAGGCTTTGGTTTGATAGGTAAGACAGAAAGTTAGTAAATATTTAAATTTTGGTGATCATAAAAGTCAAATAAATCTATAATTATTTTGCATCTTCATGGCATACATTTTAAATTCTTAGTCTGTTTTCTAAGAAAGGCAAAGGGCTTTAATAAAGCCAAGGACTTTGACTTATAACCTTGAGATCATGAATACTTGTTAAAAATTAAAATAAAATTTGTCAGAAATGTACTGTAGAAACTGTCACCCTGACCTCAGGATGATTTACTTCTGACTCTGACTTCACAGATCTGGTTCTAATTAACTCAACAAGTGCAGATCTACTTTAAATTAGGAGCATAGCTAAAGGCACTCTTCCCTTTAAAAAGTTATTTCACAAGTAAAATAAAATGATTCTACCATATTAAATTTAAAACATAATTTGGATTCTCCATTTTCTTCAAAGTTCAAGAGCTATTTTTAAACATAGACAGTCTGGACTCTAGAGCTAACGCCCATTACACAATGGCACAACTACATCTACCTCACTCTTTTTACCTGCTGTCTGATACTCCACAGGATGACTACTGCCACAGTTTATTTGGACATTGACCTACTGATAGTCATTTAAATGGTTGTTAATACTTTGCAATTCCTAATAGTGCTGCAAGTGCAATATACCCTTTCCATTGTGCTGCTACACAAGTATTTCTCTAGAGCAATGGTTCTCAATGTGTGGTCCCCAGACCAGTAAAACTGACATTAGCTGGAACGAATTAGAAATGCAGACTCTCAGATTCACCCCTAGACTTGGTGAATCAGAAACTCTGGGGATAATACCTGGCAATCTGTGTTTAATAAGCAGGGCGTGGGGGGTGTTCAATGTACCCTTAAAATGGAGAACCATCACACTAAAGATACAAAGTGGCACAACTGCTGGAACATAGTAAACCCCATCTTTGAAGGCCAAAAATTAAACTTCCCCATATTATCAAGTGTAAAGATGAAATGTCAGAAATATTAGCAGTTAAATTTGACTTTTTAGGAAAATCTTCTTAGACTTAGGAATCCGTTAAACTTGTCTAGGAAAATCAAGACTAGTTTCAGAACTCAAATATGTTATCTAACAAAGCGTATATTAGGAAAAGTAAATCTGGACTTGAACTTTATATTTAAAGATTAATATAATGTTAAAGAGGTCTTCATGGATCACAGTCTGAGAAGGTCATCTGACACATGAAGAGACTAAGCCCACAAAGGTTAAAAATCTTTTCCAAATTTACTGGGCTGGTTAGCAGCAGTGATGATGGGAAATTTGGACCCTGGCCCTGGTCCAGTCCATCAAACATATCATTCATATTATGCTTAATCAAAGAAAGGCTTTAAGAAAGGTTTTACCACAACCTTAGAAAATCCTAACACACAGATTATCCTGAAAGTGATTTCAAAAGGAGCAAGAACTGCATGTTTATTTTAGAAGAATGTTGCTGAAATCAAATGATTCTAAGGTAAAGAAAATATTGTCATGAACAACTTCAATGACAATCTCATTGTCTTATCCTTTAATTGAACATTTTTATTGCAAAATAAAATATATTTATTGATGTTTAATATTATAATATGAAAGAGAAATTTTTAAGTGTACCTACATTCCTAATATAACACTTGTCTTTACATTTCTGTGTAATCTGTCTATTCTCTATACATATACACTTATTTTCACCCAGTGTGCTATAAGGCACACAAGTATTCTGCATTTTTTTAATATTTGGCAAACATTCTTCTGTGTTTTCCATGTTGCATAACATTCATAGTTAACTTATGGCTATTTAATAGCCTATGAGATACGCCATAATTTATTTGGCTGTTTTTGGATCTATAAATGGTCTCAGATATGCTCATATTATAAATAATACTACAATAAACTTCATGTGACACATATTTTTCCTTCTTTTGAATTATTTCCTTTGGTTAAACTCCAAGAGGCTGACTATGAAGTCACTGAGCACGGATGTTCATGGTTCTTGAGCAGCAGTACCAAATTTGCTCCTCAACGTCCCAGCAGAATTTTCACTGGGAGCCCCCACAAAAGTCTCACACTAAGTGCTTATCCCAAGGGGATAAAGACAAAGTCAAAATTAAATCAATTTTAACAGAAACTAGGCTTCAAATTAGGAAAATTAGACCCAAATTTAAATTAGACCCAAAACACTACCCTAGATTCACACTTCCAATTATTTACCTTTAACTAGGTTCAATACCAAGAATCCTTCTCAGTAACTTGAGAAAATATAAAATACAAAATGGGTATATAGTTCCTGACTTATCAACTAGCATGAAATTTAACCAATTAGCTTTGGAAAACCTTCATTTCTCAACTTGTCCACCTGCAAAATGGGAGCAAATGTATTTGCCTATCTTGAAGAGGAAATGTAAATAAAAATGAAGTGAGATTGATGAGTAAATACTTTCACCTTTTTAAAATTCAGCTTGATCATCACTTTTAAGAACCATTCAGGTCTAACGGAAAGCCATGGAGTTGCCGTCAGAGACAGGATGTGGCCAGATTCTAGGGTGTGCTCTCTGCCCTGTCAGCTCAGAAAGCCTGCATGACAGTTGTCTTTTGCTAAAAGAGTCTATGGGTGATGAATGACCCAAACAGAGGTACTATTTTTTTGTTATGAATGAAGTAGAACTCATTCATAACAGAAAACAGTTTATGAATCAATTATTTATAACAAGAAATATATCTCCCAGGATACTGGAGTGATCCATCCAGCGTTTTATCCCCCCGTAGGTAAAATCTTCCAAGGGAGCCAAATTATAATTAGGACAAAGCCTGCTTGGTAAGCATGGAATCAGACCTTGGGAGTTGGCTCTATGACAAAAATGTTGGATAGCTCTGGGCTCTGCAGCATCCCACTCGACCCAGATGTAGACCTTTTGTCCTAGTACCCAGGACAGCCTCTCTAGTCAGCACTTGAATGGCACTGCCAAGGTCAACCTCTGAGAATTCTCCTTTTCCTTGCTCCTATGCTGACCATCCTCCTACTGAAGGACATTTTTTCCTCTGGATATGTTAATAGCTTAAATCCAGTTCCAGTTAGGTTTTGTTGATCTGGGACCAATTCCATCCCCTCAGAGATGACTTTGCTCTTATCTGTTATGTGTTAATTGATGGTCCACACTCAGCTTAATGAGTTGCCAAATTAATGGGTTACCTCACTGTCACTTCCATCTTACAACTACAACAATGCAAAAATTAATAACTCACACAGAGTTGTCAATCCAGACCTTGCCAGACTTGGTACTTCTCTAACTAAGGCATTTGAAATGAGCACAATCATTATTAGAATGTACATAGGTTCTTCTAAAAATACCAAAACAATTTCCTCTCTTTAATAAGATAAACTGCAATCCCTGCAATCTTGTTTAAACTATAAATTTACTTGGCAAATCTTTTCTTCAAAGTTTATAGGTAGATTTTAGCTCAACTCAATCTTGTTAAATTTTAAAAGATCCTGAATCAAATAGATTCAAACTAATAAACTTTGAGTACATTACTCCATGAACTGAAAACAAAAACAAAAGCTGGTAAAAAGGTGGATTCTCCCCCTATCGCCAGAAGCATGTCACTTGCTAGTAACCTTAGTTCTCTAACCAAAATGTCACTATGCATGAGAACTTAATCCAAGCTGATTTCAGCTGTTTATCAGCTGTTTCCCAAGATTATCCTGCCATTTGCTACAACTGGATGAACCTGGAGGACTATGCTAAGTAAAATAATCTAGACACAGAAAAATAAACACAGTACTGTATGAGCTCACTTATAAGTGGAATCTAAAAAAATTGAACTCATAGAAGCAGGAGTCGAATGGTGGTTGCCAGGGCTAAGGGGTGAGGGACATGGGGAGATGTTGGCCAGAGGGTACAAACTTTCAGTTATAAGGTGGGAAAGTTCTAGCATCTAATGTGAGCATGGTGACTATAGTTAATAATGCTGTACTGTCTACTTCAAATGTGCCAAGATAAACAAGTTAAGGAAATGAAATTATGATTAAGTGCTAAGAAGAAAACAAACAAGAAGCCGAGATGGAAAAACCATGGGAGAGTCTATTTTAACTCAGTTGGTTAGGGAGGGCCTTGCTGAGAGGCTTGTGTTTAAACTGAAAACCGAAGGTTATGAAGGATCAGTTCTATGAAGGATAATGAGGAACATTACAGGCAAAGGAAACAGCATGAGGTGGAAAAGAGTGTGATGTGTTCCAGAAACTAGTGGAAGGCCAGGACTGGATTACAGTGAAAGAGGGGGAAAGTAGCATCAGATAAAAAGATGTAGGCAGAAGCCAGGCCATGGCGCCTTGTAGATCATAGAAGTGTTTCATTTTGTTCTAAATATGAAAAAATGATAGGGAGAGTGTTTAGCTGGGGAGTGGTATTTTTTAGCAGATTGCTCTGGAGGCTACATGGAAAGAGTTTGGATGGAAGCAGAAGCAGGGAGCTCAGTGAAGAGGCTACAGCACTGGTCCAGGTGGAGATACTGGTGACCTGGACAAATAATGTGACAGAAGAGATGGAGAGAACAGGAAAGATTTGAGCTAAATTTTTGAGATAAACTACCAGAACATACTGTAATTAAATAGTAAGTGGCTTTGGTAGGGAAAAAAAGGAAAGAACTATATCAAAATATCATGCTGAAGTGGAAAAAAAAAAAACCTTAACATTTCATTTTATAGAAAAGAATCAGAGGCTCAAAGGGTTGGAGTTATTGATTGGCTCTGAGATTTGGGGCTGATTCATAGCAGAGCCAGGACCAAAACCCAGTCTCCTGGCTCTCAGCCTAGTGGTCTCATTTCTCTTTCTTCTCCCAGAGCAGCCAAATCATCTTCATGGCCCCAGCCAGGCAGGAGAGTGAGAGCATAGTAGCCACACTCATGGCATTTATCCTCCCCTCCATTCTCGTACCTTCTGGATGCTCTAGTCATATGGAAGGTTAATCATTTCCCTACCCACCACTGTAGACAAAACCCTATACTTAGCCTTTGACATGGACATGGAATACAATGCCGAGGGAGAAGGCTCACTGTGAGTTCCTTTACTGGGTGACAGATGCTGATCTTAATGCTTTGCATATACCATGTCATTTAATCTTTACAACACTGCTCTGCAATAGGTACTAATATTAAAGTCATTCTTTAGATTAGTAAAATGAGACACATAGAACTTGAATCAGCTGTTCCCTAAGCCCCATGCAAACAGTACCACTGTCCCCTTAGCCATCCAGCTTTGAGCTGGGGAGAGTTCAGGCTCCTTGATGCCCACAGCTTCTATTCTGCCCTATTCTCATTACCTGTTGTATGGTGGTGATACTTTCTTTTTCAGCTACATGCCAGGAAGTTTCTTTGTGGGTAATTATATGGGAATAATTGGTCTTTATGTAAGCATTGCCTTGGAGGATATGAAAGACATAACTTTCAGGCAGCCAGAGAACCCAGGAGGCTGCTTGTAATCACTCACTAGGTTTCCTCGTCTCAAGAAGTAATTATAGATTGCAACCACAAATCACCACTTCAATTGGGTCTACACACCTTACCTTCTTCCCAAAATTATAATAGCAATTTTCTAGGGAAAGATTAAGGGAGAGGCACAGATCTCTGTGGTTCTGTTTTCCTGCTGGAGGTTTTCTTATAAGGAGCAGGAAGGGCATGCTGTCACCCGGGGAATAAATGTTGTGGCCCAATCACAGCCTTTTGCATTATGGGATATGACTTGGGACATGGAGTTGGGAGGGACATTAGAGAGTCTTAATTTAGGCTCTTTTGGTTGCACATAACAGAAACCCACTACAAATCACCTAAACCAGGGGGAGGGGATTGGAGTGTTTCATGGCTGCAAGAAAAGAAGTATAAGCAGACCTCAAGTAGGATCCATGTCTAGAACTGAAAGTCATCAGCATTCTCTCTTCTTATTTGCCACAAACTCAGTGGTGAACACAGTTATGAGGGTAACAGAACATCTCGAGGTATGTATGTATATACTCCCTGAAGCCCAAACTGCCCCACCACACCCTCTGTCATCTCCAACCCCACCACTATCACCATCACTCTCCAAAACGGAGAGTACTCCAGTTGTCTATTGCTGTGTAGTAACTACCCCAAGAGTTAGTGGCTTAAAACATCAACCATTTTATTAAATTTTATGATTTTCTGAGTCAGGAATTTAGGCAGGACTTAGACGGGTGATTCTTCTGTTTCATGTGGTTTCAATGGAGGTCACTTGGTGGTAGTCATCTGGCAATGGGCTCATTTAGGGACCCAAACAGCTTCATTCACATGGCTGGCACCTTGGTAGGGTTGCGTGGAAGACTGGCCCAGCTGCGACTGTCAAGTGAGCACCTACCCAAGGCCTCCCCAACATGGCAATCTTGGTGCAGTCAAATTTCTTACCTGGTAGCTCAGTACTCCCCAGAAACCCAGATGAAAGCTGCAAGCCTTCTTTTGATTCAGCTTCAGAAGTCTCAGAGCAACACATTGACCACATTATGTTAGTGAAATAAGTCATTAAAGCCAGCTCAGATTCAAAAGATGGGGAGTTAGACTCCATCTCTCAATAGGAAGAACATCAATTAACCTGTGGCCCTCTTTAATCTACCATAGACAGGCTGCTAGACAAGTATCTACCAGCTTAAATATTTACTGCTTGCTTAGATCCAAGGGAAAGATAAATGAGAAGTAAGACATCAAATGGTTCAGGGTACTCAGGGGACAGAGCTTCAGAATGGGCAGTTACAGGACTTATCCTCTGGGTGGTTCCTGTGGGAGACCTAGCCCCCACCAATCCTGCTCATTTCACTGATGGTGATACCTTTAAGAAGTGTTGAAAAAAGGATTATGAAGGAAAATCTGTAAAAGGAGGATAGGAATAGTATATCTATTTCACAGGGTTGTGGGGATTCAATAGATTTTACATATGTAAAAAAGTGCCTGGCACATAGTAAGTACCTTATAAGAATTCATTATCATCATTATGCTTGATGGACCATATAAAAATATTTCCTAACCCTAGCTAGGCATCAAAATCTAATGCCTCAGAGGCTGACTTTTCAGGACTGCAAAGGGAAGGAGAAATGTGGTTTACAACTACTTGACTCCATTTATATGCAAATTACTAGCAGTAATTCATTCAAGATTCTCAAAGTAAATAACTTTCAGCTAATGTATTCTCTAACCAAAACAATGATGCCATTTTAAAGCTCTCAGGTGCTTGTCCATGAGTCACAGGAGTTTATTACATAAAGAGTTGATCATTGAGGTGACTATTTGGTAACACTGACCACTTTTCTTGCAATTCCCAGAGTCCCAGAGAGGCTTGCTACAATCCTACGTAGCAGGAACAGGTGGCTTCCCCTCCACTGGCAAAGCCATCAATTGATGGGGCTACCCTGATACCAAACCCTACCTCTTTTAGTAAGCTGAAGGAAGTTTCTGCTTCTTAAGAAGTAAACTACTGGGGTTCCATCATTAGGCTTTCAGGGCCCCACACATTCCCAGATGCCTTAGCTTCATTCTTCACTTCTACAAAGAAAGACCACTCGTGGGAAAAGCTCACACAATGCTTTTGTATGGGACACCTGGAGATTGTTCTAACACACTGCTGGATTGGTTCATTGCAGCTTGGACACTATATAACCTCCAGTAAATGAGATGGAGATGTTGGCACTGCTTTGGCAGAGTGTTAAGGAGGGAGTCGAAAATTTCAGAAAAATGGAAATGTAGAATGGACATATTATGTGAGACCTGAAAACCCACCAAATGAATGTAATCTAGATGGCCCAGAAAACATTCTCTTCATTAAGCCAATAAAGAATGCACCGCAGAGAGGAGCCCTAAAATATTTGAAAAGCTTGGTTAGATGTCTTTTGAAGGTTGTGGTTGAAAATTGAGAAAAAGGTGCCATTGAGATGGGCTCTATAGAATAAGTGTAGAACTAAAAGGATTCTGGAATGGCAAATGGTAGTGCATAATTGTCAGAGGCAAGGTGAATGTCATTATCATACTGGTCAGCAAGACTTATAGTGGCAACAGGGTGCCTTGAATACCAGGGATCTGTAGTGATTGTAGTGTTGCAAGGAGGGAAGATAGATGAGAGTAGAGCAGAGTTATTACCTGACTTCTATAAAATGAAAGAGCAGGAGTGTAGAAACCTGCATGAGTTCAATAATTAGAAACTATGGTCTCTCACCTCATTTCCAAATCTAAGTCAGTACAGAGACTTAGAACCCACTGATTTAAGGGAAGGTTAGGTCTGCTTAGGAAGGAACCTACAGCAACAACACCATAAATAAAATAAATATTCCTGCTAAACCTTCCCCAAAGGTACATGTGTCCATTTGCTAGGGCAATGATATACTGGGGAAAGGGAAATATCTAGGTCTGCGCTACTTGAAAAGCAATTGTATTCCTTGGAAGGATTGGGGGCAGGGGGAGGCCAGATGATAAATGAAATTCTGTTTATAAGTGTATAATCACAATACACTTCTTAATAGCTAGCAGAACATTCACATTGATTTCCTGACCTATGAAGTAATAAGAGTCATTGTAACAGGAAGAGTTAGGTGGATGCCCCTGAAACTGTTCCCACACCTAGCCAAGATAATAAATCAGAAACAATGTCACATCCCAAGCGGACTTGCAGAACTTAGAGACATCATTGAAGACTTACAGCACATAGGGCTGGCAGTTGCCATCAAGTCACCTGCTTGTTCCCTGTGAAAACCAGATAGATCATGGCAGAGAACCATGGACAACCATGAACTTAAATGATGACCCAAATTTCAGTAGCTGTGACAGACATAGTGCCTTCACTAGAACAAATCAACTCAGCCTGTGACACTTGGTATATAGCCACTGTCTAGCAAGTACATACTTCTCAACCTTTATCAGTAAGGAAGATCAAAAGAGGTTCACATTTTTCATGGAAAGGAAAGCAGTATGCATTCATTATGTCTTATCTGAGGGTTCTCTCTCACAGTAGAGTCTGCAGAGACTTTGATTGTCTTGACATTCTGCAGACATCACATTTGTCCACCATATGGATAACATCAATACCAATTACACCTAGGGAGCAAGAAATAAACTAATTTAGATGCCTCAGTAAGACATATATGTGCTAAGAGGTGAGAGAAAAACCCCACAAAGATTAAAGAGCCTGCCACATTGCTAAAGTATTTAGAGATAGAGTGATCTGGGATATGCTGGTTAAATCCTACCTAAAGTGAAGGAAAAAATACTACAGTACTTTGTAATCCTGACCACCATGAAAAAGATATAGTGCTTAGGGGAATTTTTTTTGGATTTGAGTGCTCTAATTTATATAACTAGATTTAATTATATAAATGTAGTTTTTAGTGGGGTTACAGAAAAAGAGGACTGCAGCAGATGAAGTGTGGTGCAGGCTGCTCTGCCGCTTGAACCACATGGCCCAATGGATACATCATGAGCTAGAGACATCCGCAGAAGCTAAGGATGGTGTATCGAGTCTGACAAGACCCAATAGGAGAATCTAGGGTTCTGGAGCAATACCATGCCTTCTGTGACAAAGAAACGTTTGTCTTTTGGAGGAAAAAACCCTCCTGGAGAGCTACTGGGAACTGATAGAAAGTGATTGACTACAATCCATCAAATCATATGGTCACCTGAGTGCAGCTGTAATCCATCACTGTAGAATTCGGGATGGTACATTCATTCAGAATGGTACATTCAGGATCAAACTCAAGCACGTTCCAAAGGCAGAAATTAATTTTATCAACCACTGATCCCAAGTCTCATGGCACTTAACCTTTGTTTTACTGACATTTTTCCTCCAGTCGCACCAATGGAAGAGGAAGATTCTCAGGCCCAGTTCATAGATGGGTCTGCTCAGTAGATGAGTGCCGACTATAAATGCACTACTTCTGCTCTAAACCCCCAGGCAGGAGTGGCCCCGAAAGACAGTGGAGAAAGGAAATCTTCTCAATGGACAGAACTGGGACTACAAAATGTGGTGGTTCACTGGGTGTGGAGGAAGAAGGGGTCTGAGGTACATATATACCTGTACTTTTGGCCAGTGGTAATTGGTTTGGTTGTTTGGTCAGGATTCAGGGAGGAGCAAAAATGAAAGATTCGAGAAAAGAAAGTCTGGAGAAAGGGCATGTGAATAAACCCACAGAAGTATACAAATCTTTGTATCGTGCATTCATGCCCATCAGTGGGCGCCATTCTGAGGAGACATGCTCTTTGCTGGGAGGAATAAGAGTTCTCTGTGGGACCAAAAGGATGGCATCCCTCACCAAGGCTGATCTAGTTGTTTCACTATTAAAAGTCAATCTGCTACTGAGAAAAGCCTGACACAGGGTCCTCTATAGAGCATCATCCCTTTCAGAGACAGGTCAACCACCTCATGGCATGGGACCACTTCTACTCTGAAGACAGCTGTGATCTGTATGTAATAGAATCGACACATACTTTGGATATGGGTTTGCCTTCCTGCCCACAGTGCCTATGCCAGCCCCACCACCCAAATGCTTACATAATATCTGCCCTATCTGCATGGTATCCTGCACAATATTGCTTCAGACCAAGTGACTCAATTTATGGTGAAGAAGTTGGGCTAATGTAGACATGACCGTAGGATCTTCTGGTCTTAACGTCATCTAACAGAATGGTATACATGGCTTGTTAAAGGCTCAGCTGTGACACCAGCTCAGGCACACTAACCTGTAGGGTTGGAACACTGCTTTCCAAAATGCTGTTTATGTGCCAGACTAATAACTAGAATACAAAGGTAAACAAATTAAAAGGTGGAAGTAGTTTTGGTCTCTATTACCTTATTTACAGTGAACCATTTACAGAATTTATGTTTTCTCACCCTGCAAACCTAAGCTCTTCCAAAATATACATCCTGATCCATGAAATTGAAAATCAGGGGACACAGAATAGGTTCCACTGAGTCTGAAGCTGAAACTACCTCTTGGTCATCGTTTGCTCCTTTTGCCTCTAAACCAACAAAGAAAGGAGATACTGTATTGGTGGAAGTGAGTAGTCCTCATTGCCAGAAAGAGCAAGGTTGCTACCATACAATGGGAGCATGAAGGAGTATGTCTGGAACCTATGGGATTCATAGGACATCTGCTGGTCTTATTAACTGTCATATTGTGAACAGACAATTGCAACAACCATGACTGGACAAAAGAAGTTAGATAAGGACTCCATCCCTCAGAGATGGATGTCTGGGTCAATCCACCAGGCAAGCAACCTATAACAATGAAGGCTGGCTGAGAGTGAGGAAAATAAAGATTGGGTCACAGCAGAGGGAAGTGTGGTTATTAATTATGACCTCTGAAAACAACCGCAGCAGCAGAGATCACAGCTTGTTCACTAAACCTGAAGTTTGCAGATATTGTAGCTGGCTGGCAATTCCAAGGGTACTCTATGATAGATTGGACTTCATGTGAGAAAGAAAGGAGGGAAGAGAAGCCAATATGAGTAATGCAAGAGGTGGACTATATTGAACACTTCGTTTTCTCTCAGTCTCAATTCTTATTCCAGCTGGTGTCACAGTGACTGGTTCCACACAAGCCACTGTCATGCAGAAACAACCTGGTAGTGCCTTGTCTTGAGCCACAAAACTCTTACCTCTCATTCCCTGCTTCAGGATTCCTCTGAAGCTACTAGACCATGCAAAGAATACTCAGCTTTCATGCATGCACACCCCAGGAGTGCAGGGAACTTAATGCCCACGTAGCTAACCTTGACCAATGCAAGAGGGAAACTGATAGTTAAAGGCTTCTTCCTTTTGACCCTGGAAGCCAGTGCTAAGATGCACTTCCCAAGATTCCTCAGAAGTGTCTTCAGAATTGAGCAGCAATCAGCAACAGCAGTAGCCAATTCATTTATATGCCTTTGCACTGGCTTTCCCTGTGAGTTGCTGGAGTCAGCTGACACTGACTCAGGGGAGCTGATTGTGCGTATCTTTCCCCAACTCCACATTTAGCAATGGAAATTGGGCATGGTCAGAGCATTTACACCATGGAAAATAGTAAATGTCATAATCAGGGTTAATGCTTTTTCCAAAAAGTTGGCTAATAAACATTTACCAACACATGACTGCTTTATTTCCTTCCTTCCTCACCCACTCGGTTCCTAAAACCTGATTTCTCCAATTCCATTACCAAATAAACTACCTGGACAAAAGCTATTGTATCAGACTCTGCTTAGACTAGAGTCTAGGCTGAAACAAATACTTTCCTTAGGGTGTTGTTATGAGGTTTAAATGGGATCATATTGTAATAATGTGACTATGGCCAAGACTGAACAGCCTAGACCTAGAAAAATATACCTATCTTAGATGGTTTTATTTTTCTGAAGGTCTCTTAAGGACCTTGAGACTAAGGTACTTGGAATTTTAGCTGTCAGGAACCCTGAGGCTAGAAACAAGGTGGGTGTTAGGATGGAGGCAAATGGGACTTCCTCCAGTCTTGTTGCCTGAACAGGGTGTCTTGGAAAGGTTGAGAGAAAAATGTTCTGGTGGGGTCCTGCCGAGGAAGGCTGGGCTTGCAGCACCTCTGGGCTGTTAGTGTGTTCCATCCTTCCAGCTTCTCTGCCAGGTATTATAAAGCTTGAACTCCAGCCCCAGCAAGAAGCAGCAGAAAGAACCTGAGCTGATTCTTTGGTCTTGGTGGAGAGTGAATTTCAAGCATAGCATGTGGCTGACTCTGAAACCCCTTCTGACCTTTCCACCTGGTTTGTGGGCGTACACATCAAGAAAATGGCTGTGTTTGTGTACATGTATGTGTGGTTTAGGCAAAGAAAGCTGTATCCCTAAAGCTGCACTGTTCAAAATGGTACCTACTAACTACATGCAACTAGTATTTAAATTTAAATCAATTAAAATTAAATAAAATGTTTAATTGAGTTCTATAGACAACTAGCCATATTTCAAAAACTAAATAGCTACATGTGGCTAGTGGCTATCATATTGGACCATCCAGATATAGAATACTTCCATAATCACAGGAAGTTCTTTTGGAAGGTGCTTTAAAATAGCTGTGTTATTCGGATCCCAGGCCTAGAGTGTTGTCAACAACCAAACCAATAGGGAAGGATTCTCCTCTATTCCCTACACCTGGAAGGCTGTATGCATCAATGGAGAAGAAGGATTCGCCTCTATTCCCTACACCTGGAAGGCTGTTGCCAAACTTCTGAGCTCCCTTCCCACACTGAAGCCAAAGACAACAGCCCGGGCACTTGGGAACACCAGCGACACCTTGTAGCAGCAAAAATGTCGCTGGTTTCTGGTTTTCTGAACTGGTTTCTTGTTTTCTGTCCTCTGAACATGTGTAACCAGACCATCCCACTGTGCTTGAGGAGAATTATAATATTTAGTGATCATTTCCCACGTGGCAGAGACTGATAACATTGCTCTGATTCGACAAGAAAATATACGTGAAAAACTTAGCACCGTCTCTGCAGCGTGGGAAATGGGTGCTTGGGTGCTTATTGATATTACCCCCATTTTAGAGTTGAAGTAACTGAGGCTCAGGTAGACTAGTCTGAGCGTCTTCATGGTGAGGCTGGGAAAAAGGCTGTTCTTGCGCTAATGGATGGGATTTCGTAGCCATGTAATTTGAATATTTTTTTTAAAATGACTTCATTCTCATCTCAAAATAATGAAGTGGGATAGAGGATGTATAAGTGCAGAGCTAAGGAGGAATGTTGTAATGTTAATTTTCTTTCTCCATCCCCTCATTTTGGAGAGCTGCCTTCCTGTCAGACTTTTATTATCCACGGTGGTAAATCAAACTTCCCAATTTGCAGATTCCTAACCCCAAAGGAATACCTTCAAAGACTGTACTTCAGCAAGACTGTATATAGTTCGGAAAATAAATTCAATTATATTTGAAATAATAAACTTGTTACCAAATTATATGCCATTTAAGAGAGACAAACAATGTCCATTCCGAGTTCATCTGGCAGACATTTAAGAGCCTTTTTATAAATGTTTAGCTAAAGAACAAAATTATAGTATTACTTACAAAAGTTTTTCAAGGTCTCCAATTGCCAGGTTTTTTGCAACTCACAGACTGTCTTCTGCTGCATATCAAGTGTGCTTTCTTGAGCTTCCACCACCTGTCAATCATTCTGAGTCCTTAATTAGGACTCTTCCAAGGAGACTCTGACATCCCAGAAAGTGATGCTTCCAGTCGGCTCCTCACCCCCTTTCCCAGATCAAAAACCATGTCAGCAGACACGGTCAAAAGTGGCGCTTCCTACTTCGTGAGGAGACATTTTAAAGGGCAGATTTTTTAGCTATGAGTGGAGGAGACAGAGTGTGCTTTGGGAATGCTGAGTTGTCGGAAGCCAGGGCAACAGAAACGCTGTGCCTGACAAAATGGCTTCCAGAACCCCACCACAGCCAACAGCAACGGAATGTTCTGATGATGCCGTGTGGCTAAAAAGTTATAGGTATTGACTCCTGAAAAGTACACACTCATCAAAAACAGAGCCGGACACTGCCGACAGGGCTTCCAGGCACCAGCTATGTCCACAGCTGTTCTGCTTCACAACTTCCCTGATGAACCAGCATTGTTGTGTTGAGGAAGGGTTGTTCTATGCTGCCTCTGATTCAGAAAAGCCAACGAGAGCCAAGAGGGGGAATATGAGCAGAAGCAAAGGGCAGCTGGGGCTAGCCAGCAGAGAGGAGGGGAGCCAGATCATGAGCGATAATTGTTGGGAATGGAAAGAACATGGTGCTAGAATTCAGAAGACAGGTGCTATGGTCCTGGTGGGGTCGTTAAATCTCACAGCCTGCACTCTTCTAAAAAAAATCTTTTTTCTTTTTTTTATTATTATTATACTTTAAGTTCTGGGATACATGTGCAGAACGTGCCTGCACTCTTATTTAAATGATACCCTTGCTTCTGGAGGACACACTGGCTACTTGGAAAGTCACCACATTGAGTACCACCCCAAAATTACATGGGCCTCACCCGCATTGAGTCTTTTTTGAATCCTAATTCAATCAGCTCCTCTCTCTCCATTTATGGGAAATAGGTGACTGCCAATCCTCACCGCCAGCTGCTGCTGGCCCTGTTCAAGGACTCTTGTTTCCGGCACTGCTGTGGCTCCGCCCCCAGACGCTGGATGCTCTTGCTGCTCAGGCTCTGCTATTGTTACCAAACCAACCTGGCTCTGTCTGCCCACGTGCAATGGAAAGCCAACACCAAGGCATCAGCCTTTTGTAAAAAGAAAAGTTTACTGCAAGGCTGCCAAGCAAGGAGACAGGAGGAGTCTGGCTCAAATCTGTCTCCCTAAGCTGGGGGCTAGAAGAGGTTTTACAGGCAGAGGGCAATGAGGCATTATCAGATTGGATCTTGCAGTGAGGTGATGTCAGGAGGTGTGATCTGACTGGATCATACCATGGAGTGATGCCAGGGCTTGATCTGATTGGATCATGGATCATGCCTTGTGATATCTGCTTCTTAATGAGGTCCCCATCCTTGGTCTGAGCACTTAAGTTTCTCCTGTGGTTGCATACGGGGTTTATCTGGGCATGCTCAGGTTACAAAACTTGAAACCTGGGGTTCATGGAAACTGAAAAAAACAACTCACAACTTTGATACAGATTAGTCTGGCTTTAGAGTTACAGTCTCATGGGCAAGAGCAGAGGGACACCAGTCTTCCTGGCTTGGCATCACTGTGGCGACCTCTTTGCCATTGTCTCTGAACTTCAGATTCATAGATATTTCCATGAAAACAGACTTTTTTCCTCCAAATGTGACAACTTACTCAGTCAGTGTTAGACATCTTAGTCTCATACAGGGATCATCAAAACCTAAGGTAACCATATCACTTATATCACATCATTTATGCTTCTGAGAGCACAGGGGAATTATTAATAAACCTGCAAGGATAACACGCATAAACTTGGCTGTCTCAGACAAACTAGACTTATGTCCAGCCTCTCAAGAAAAGAAAAAACTCAACCACTCTGGGCCCTGAGGTTTATCACCACCTCTGGGGAAAGCAAGCTTTTCAGGGGCCAGTAGGAGTGATGTACGGGGCACCTACTTGGGGTTCACATGCTGGCCCCTTTATTGAGTTCATTCTGAATCCAGAAGCTTGGCAGAGTTCAGCCAGATGGCAGGGTGAGCGCCCTGCCTTCCTGGTAGTCTCTTCTTCTGCAAGGGAATAGGAGGCGTTCACCCTCCTTTGTTCAAGAGTCTATTTCTAGGGGCCTATCAGCCCAGGGTCCCTTCTCCAGCTTTCTCAGGAGGCCCCACATCATCAGGCAATTAGCTCTCTAGTGGGTATAACTGCTACTGCCACAACCACTGTCCCAGGGGTAGGGTGGTCCTAAGTGTCCAAAGCCAGAATAAATCTACAAGATGTGTCTCTTCTCAGCGGGAAAGGCAGGCTAGAGATTCGCTATGGAACTATGCTTCCAGGACAATTTGGAGCTCGACAGAGATGACAGGATCTGATATTCAGATTGGAAGCCTCCAGATGCCTATTTTGAAGAAAGGCAAAGAACAAGAAGACTGAGGGGAAGAGAGTAAAGTCAAATTTTATACACAAAGCAAAGTAGCAATTTCTAAAATGATGGAAATGCCAATCCATGGAGCTCCTTCACCTAAAAATACCCCCAGTTTCTTTTAAAATGTCCTCACAACTGAGGTGAGAGGGTTTGGCAGTGGGGAGGGAACAGGATCTAGCAGGGGACAACTCTGAAAGCAACAATCATCACTTTGTGAATCACTAACCCGGCTTAAGAAGAGCCGCTCGAGAAACACCGCCAGCTTGTCTCCAGCTCGTAGGAAGCAGGAGGATCCTGAGCAGAACTGCCTGGGGCCTTGCTGGATGTCGGGCCACGCACTTTCCAGAGCAAGGCTGGCCCTGCCAAACTCAGACAGAGGGCTCACACTTTTTCTTACCGTGGAAAATAAAAAGGAGACAAGTGTTTCCAAAGCTTAATAAAGTAAAAATCCAATATGGAATTTCTGTAATGGTTTCATCTATATAAAAACCAGGTCGTCATCTGAGCAGAGACCCGAAGGGAACAAGAAGAAATGTAATATTCACATTATAGGAGTAGCAGGGTGGTAAAGATGATTTCCTCTGTGTCTTCTTTTCCTATTATATAGTTATTTCCTATTGTATAATTTTTTCCATTACCTTTAATGGCAAAAACCGCAATTACTTTTGCACCAACCTAATAGCAGCTATAACATTAAGAATAATTTGGCCGGGCACGGTGGCTCACAGCTGTAATCCCAGCACTTTGGGAGGCCGAGGCGGGCGGATCACTAGGTCAGGAGTTCAAGACCATCCTGGCCAACATGCTGAAACCCCGTCTCTACTAAAAATACAAAAATTAGCTGGGCGTGGTGGCGCACCTGTAGTCCCAGCTACTCCGGCGGCTGAGGCAGGAGAATCGCTTGAACCCCAGGAGGCGGAGGTTGCAGTGAGCCGAGATTGTGCCACTGTACTCCAGCTTGGGCAACAGAGCAAGACTCCGTCTCAAAAAGAAAAGAATAATTTAACTGGATGAAGAACTCTTGAACACTAGCCATTTCAAAAGAAAAGAATCCAATCTATGCAGTGGGAATACGCCTTGCAGCAGACTCTCCAGGCTCCTTCTGGGCCAAGGAAGCTTCATCTTCCCCATTCAGCAAGAGCCAGAGGATTGGGTCTTGGGCTGACATATTGACAGTGTGATTGTAACAGGATCACAGTATCTCCACTGTATGACCAGATGAGGACCCCCAGCTTGCTCCTGCCTGCTCTCTCAGAGCCATCTCTCTCAAGGCCATCACACAGAGAGAAGGACTGAGCTCTCCTTGACCTCGTTCCTTCTGGGACCCTGGCAGAGTGATTACTTTCTCTTACCTTGGGAAACACGGTTAATCAGTCAAAACCTTGTCGGGCTGAATCCTACTAAACGTGACAAATTCTATTTCTTGGATCATGCTACATTTTAAAGCAAACTGTAGTTGCTATCCGAACGCTGGCCTTGACTCTATCTTGGGGTGAGAAGAGCAGCTGAAACCTCTGTGACCTTTTCCACACAGAACTTTGTGGGCTGGGAGAGGCTTTGTGCACTTCCACAGACATCTCTGTATTTTAGGTTCTTTAAAAAAGCAGATAATAAATAGTAGCTAATGGGTTGAAATGCTTCCTATGTCCCAGGAGCTGTGCTGAGCAACATCATACATGATTTTGTTTAATCTCTCCCTATGACCTTCATGCCATCCCCATGACATCTACTCCAACTCCTACATAACTTCCGATTGCTGAGCTCTGGGGGAGAAGGTGCAACAATTACCCCCACTTCACAGATAAACGAAGAGGAGTTTTGATAAAGAAATCTAGCCAGGCACAGTGGCTCACGCCTGTAGTTTCAACACTTTGGGAGGCCCTGGTGGGAGGATTGCTTGAGCCCAGGAGTTTGAGACCAGCTTGGGCAACACAGTCAGACCCCATCTCTACAAAAAAATAGAAAATAATTAGCCAGGTGTGGTAGTATGCACCTGTAGGCCCAGCTACTCCAGAGGCCAAGGTAGGAGAATTGCTTGAGCCCAGGAGTTCCAGGCTGCAGTGACCCGTGATCACACCACTGCTCTCCAGCCGGCGCATCAAAGTGAGATCCTGTCTAAAAAAGAAAAGAAAGAAAAGAAAAAATTGCCCAGGGTCACATTAAGTGACAAACCAGGATGGGAAACCAGGCCTTTGCACTCCAAAGCCTGCTCTCTTAATCACTATGCATATATTGTCTCAAGCAAAAAAGAAGTCCTGTGGTTGATATTTGGGAGATTTAAACTAAAGTTTTCTTTTTCTGTTGTTTATTTTAACTTCCCAATACTCTAAATCTGGAAGGGATCAAGAGATTATTTTCTACATAGGCTTTCATTAAAGAGGAAACTGTCATCTCTGGGCCCTTGAGTCAATCTCAGCTCCAAGAGAATTATGAGTGGCCAGGTCAGGTTATGGGCCCAGTCTTGGGATGGTGAGGCTGGCAGGAGATTATCAATAGAAAAGGAAGGTGAGAAAAACTGTTCGTGGCAGAAGCCATTGTTGCCTGAATCTGTGGTCCCAATCTCCATGCACACGCTCATTTCTCATTCCTCAGGGAAGGAAAGTGATTCCCCATCACCCACCAGGACCATGGGATGCTCACCCTAAAGAATTTCAGTCTATAAATAAAGCTGGTCATGTCCATCAGACAGGCTAAGCCTTCATCTATCTTGACATATCGAACATCAACAAGGCCAAAAACAAGAGTGAGGA
This sequence comes from Homo sapiens, assembly GCF_000001405.40. NCBI lineage: Eukaryota > Metazoa > Chordata > Mammalia > Primates > Hominidae > Homo > Homo sapiens. Next base: position 57,987,164 of record NC_000014.9, read on the forward strand.
AGAAGAGAGAGTGCTGCTGTCACCTCCTCTGACTCAGGGTCTTACTCACTGGTTGTGACTGCAAGTCCATATGTGTGACCAGACCCAAGCCTAACTGGATTCTTCTGCAATGAGGAGCCTCTCAGCCTAAGAGTGGAGCAATGCTCTGCCTGTAGGCCTCTTGGAGTCAGGATTACAGTCCATAAAAGAGGTGTCCCTTCCTGCAGGCCAAGTAGTCACCTGTAATGTAATAATAACAGTGGCCATAATGGAGCATGTGCCATGGACCAGACACTGTGCTCAGGACTTTACATGCACCATCTCATTTAATGTTTACAACAGCCCTACGAGGGAAATGCCATTACTGTTAGCATTCCCATTTTACAGACAAGAACACAGAGGCTTATTGGATTTGGGGTGGTAATACTGAATTTGACTGTGATATGTGTTCTGCTCATTTCTTAGTACTGCTTTGTGTTCCCAGGAGACTGGCCTCTGTGACTGCATCAGTAGGGCCTTTTTGCCCTGTGGTTCCAGTTGAGTTGGGCTAATGGGAGGCAGTGGCTTGAGCTGCAAAGTCAGAAGAGAGGTGTGGCCATTTATCCCTCCTCCTCCCTCCCTGTTGGGCCGGTTTTACCACTGGCTGTATTCCTCCTCTTCAGCCAAAGCTCCAGTTCTGTGGGCCCCTCCTACACGACAGCTCTCCCTAGGTTCAGGTAACCCTGTTCCTGCCCCTTTTGTCCCTGAAGGCAGAAAGGTGACAATGGCTTCCCCTGCTATTAGTCCCTGGGGACTTCACAATCCCTCGCTGGTTACTTTAACCTTCCCACACCCTTTGTTAAACTCTCTTCAGTAACATTATTTGAGTATATCATCTCTTTCCTGCCAGGACCCTTGGCTGAGGCAGAAACTGAATTTCTTGCTCCAGTTAGCACAGCTAAATATGGTAAAGCTGGGATTAGGAATCTTGGCAGTCAGACTCCAGAACCCACATTTTACATCACTATCTACATTGGTTAAAGCACCAAATAAGGCCACCAATGACACAGAAAGAGGAATCTAGCGCCTCATTTCAAATCCTCTGTCCTTTCTCAGATGCTACCATTTCGGCAAATAGGATCCACTGTCAGGGCCGAGTCCTGGGCCTCACTTTCTCCCGAGACTGTCAAGGTCGCCCCCATTCTCCCAGAATAGCCAGGGCCACTGTGAGAAGGACCTGTCCAGAGGCCCAGGAGCTTAGCAGGGAGACTTTCTCTAATTCAGGCCAGGCACATTCTCTCACTTGTCTTGCAGAGGCTAGCTGACCACAATCACCCCTACAGTGGGATCTAGATATTGTTATATGGCACTTAATCCAGAACAATGAAAGCAGAACCTCTAGGGGTGGGCCCTGGGCGGGTTAGTTCTAAACACTCTTCTAGTGTGTCTAGTGTGCAGCCATCTTTGGAACCATGGTACTAAACTGCAGGCAGCTGTTCAAATGTTACCTGTCATCATGACGTGTCCCTCCCAAGCCTGCGGTGAAACAGGTAGTAGCCTTTCCATCAGGAAAGGGGGTGGGGAGAGGAGGGGACAGTCATGTTTAAAAGTGATGGAATGTTTTATAGTATCTGAAGCTGATCCACAAGCGCTTCCAAGGCATGCTGCCTTAGGCACGAAGCAGCCACACAGCAGGCATATTCTATATGATAAGGTTTTTAAAATTTGGAGAGGGCTCAAGTCAGCTGAGTCAATGATATACTTGCTTCTATATCCAGCGTGCTCTCGATTAATAAATCCTTTGAAATGAGCCATATATAAACAAACTCAGATCCTAATAAATCACGCAAAGGTGAGCTCCTACTTGCCTGCCATTAGAACCACATCAAAATTTCCTCAGTGCACAGATTCCACGTGTCTCCTCCCAGTGAAGAAGATTTGAGTTTGAAAACGATCTCATGCTTTCTACTGCTATGCCTTCTTCTCTCTTGCCACCTCTGCCTTTTCTGTCTCTTCCACTAACTAGCTGTGGGACTAGAGCTAGTGAGGTCATCTTTCCAAGCTTTCCTTTCTTCATCTACTAAATCTGGTAGTCACTGGTTCTCAAAGTGTGACCCTGAGATGAGGAGCATCAGCATCACCTGCGAGCATGTCAGAAATGCAGATTCTCAAGCCCTACCCAGACCCACTGAATGAGAAACTCCGGGGTGGGGCTCAGCAATCTGTTATAGGAAGGCCTCCAGGTGATTTTAATGCACACTCAAGAACTATTGTTCCCAAATATCGTTATGAAGCTGTTCTCCACAACCTCCTTGTATGGTTTCCTTTCTTTGATGGCCAGTTTTCTTCCCAGGATGTCCAAAGCCCTCATTCTCTCTACCCCTCACTGAAACATGGTAAGTTCTGAAGACTTTTGCACCTGCAGTTCCTTCTGCCTTGAATGCTCTTCTCAATGGCTTCTTCACATCCCTCAGGTGACCTCAGGGTATGAAGTAGTTGGCTCCTAATATTGTCTACCCAGCAGACAATAGATTTGCATTGTAAGACTAAATTACCATCTATTATTATTTTATTTATTTGCATATTTTTGTCTCTCTCTTTCCCCTAAAATGTAAGTTCATGAAGTAGAGACCATATCTATTCATTTGCTGTATCCCCAGAACTTAACAATGTGTCCAGCATAGCCAGAACTGTTCATTAGCACTTTCTGTGAAGATGGAAATGTTCTATATCCACTTTGTCCAATATGGGAGCTACTAGCCATGTGTGGTGGCTATTTGGGCACTTGAAATGAATCTAGTATGACTAAGAAACTACATTTTAAATTTTAATTTAAATTAATTTAAATTTAAATAGCCATATGTAGCTACTTCCTACTGCACTGAACAGTGTGGCTCTAGACAAAAAAAAAAAAAAGCGTATTGAACAAATGAATAAATTCCTATCAAAAGCACTAAGAATGTGATTTTTTAAATTTGACATTGATTGGTAAATAATATTTTCATTAACTCTGATTCATACAATCATCTTGCCTGCAAAAAAAAAATTCTTTTTTACTCTACTTTTGGTAGGAACTTTTTTTTTTTTTTAAATAAAATGTTTTCAAGTTATAACCAGCATTCTGGTAAAAATTTTTAGCTGAGAAGTGGAATGGTAAAGGTAGAAACTAAAGTATATTAAATTAGCCTTCAAGGTAAAATCGAGTTCTTCTTTTTATAGGAGTTTTGGGATGGAGGGACCAGAAGGAATGATCCACGATCTCTTCCTACTTCTAATGGACTATTTTTACAGCCCTGGCAAGGCCGCCTATAAACTCTGGAACTGCTGGGGATGGAGGAAACTCTGTCTCCTCTTTAGCAGAAGAAATATGGTGAGGTGGAAGGGAAAGAATACAAGCAAAAGCACTTGGATTATAAGTCATCTTAGAAAGTTATTTAACCTCTGAGCCTCAACTTCCTGACATAGAAATTGAGGTAATAATGCCTACCTCACATGGCTAAGTATGTCAAGTGCTTGGCATGCAGAATGCATTAGTTCCCTTCTTTCATGGCCAAAATTTAACAAGTTCCAAGAGAAATCTATCTCCTGGGAAGGTTTTTTGGTCTCTCTGAAATACTCCCAGCCCTTATACTTTTTGAGCACAAGTCAACCTTCACTCAACCTTATCCTAACCCTGTTTTGCCTATTTTTCTGTCTTCTAAACTCTTAGATATATAATTTTACACTTGGGGGAATATTCATCGTTATCTTTGTTAGTAATGGATGATTTGACATAGTGTAATCCCTTTTATCAGATGTACTGGAATATATTCACAGCCCAAACTTCCTTTTCTTTAAAATAAAAGATAGGCTAAAAATGAGATCCAAGGATCCTTCCAGCTCTAAAATTGCTATATTCTCTGGTTATAGAGTTTCTAACAAGGAAGCATGTGGCCTAAATGTGTCACTTCATTATTAGAAATATCATAGTACTAAATTAAGCTCTGATGTCCCAAAATATCCCTGCACTTTAATACCAGATCACAGTTTCTTCCCTTGCTTTGTACCCTAGCCTAGCCTGTCTTCTTCTCTCTCTCTCTCTGTCTATCTTAGTTTGTATTCTCCCAAAAACAGAACCTGAGACAAAAGCTTAAACACAGTAGTTTGTTTGGAAATGTGATCTCAGGGACCAGGAGTATAGGATGGAGCTGGGAACAGTGAAGGAGGGAAAGGATTAGTGAGGATGCATTATCAAGGTGGCCACTGTTACAAGTGACTGGCTCCAACAGGATTTCTGAGAAACTTGATAAATCGCAACTCAAAACTGTCTGCCTGAAAGAGGAAAAGAGAGCAGTTATTCATCAATCCTCATCCCCCTTGATGGACAAGGGTGGCCTCACAGATATCAACTCCCTCGTACTTCTGAACTGTGCATGCCTTAGTATTGACGTGCTTCCCAAGGCATGGTGTCAGGACAGTCCAGCGTCAGAGAAGTGAGAAAGCCACAGCACAAGGCTAGTCTCTATCAGGCTGCACCCATGCAAAAGCTGATTGACACCTGCACAGACCTGGTAAACACAATAGTGGCATGAGCAAGAGGATCTGGAGTGGTGTACAGGGAGGTACAATCCATTTCTTGTGCTTGTTTTTTGTGCCCTTCTTTAAATTCAGTCTATCAGAGAATCCCTTTCATGGTGGTGGCCAGCCATAGTCTCTGCAAAGACTTAATTCAAGAGGGTTAGTGGAACAAGTTCCAGTTCTACTGTTCCAGCTGATCCCAAGATCATAATATTCTTCATCTCCCTCCTCCACTATCCACTTTAGACTTTTCTCACCCTTGCCTGATGTAGGCTCATTAACATCTTGCCTGATCTAGATTGCTTGCTTGGAGGGTGACCTTGAGTGTGAGAATGACAGCACAATCCACCAATGTGAGTCTCCTGATACACTTCCATACAGATCCTCTGGCTTTCATGACATGCCTTATGTTGCTAATTAACAAACCTGAGCCTGTCATTTTCTTCATTTGCTTTTTTCAAAGCCTCCAAAGCAGTCTAAACACACCAGCCAGCTCAATCCTTGTTATTACCATTGCTCCTGTACTATTTAAGGACCACGGCTATCACACCACCCAATGCTCTGCCTCTGCCTGCACCTCATCCCAATCCACCTCAGTAAGAGTCTTAGTAACTGAGATGGCGCTGGCCAGATACCACCACTCCACCCACCTCCAAAAATGGAGTCCTTATTACCTCTGAACAGTGAGTGATCTCACTCCAAAATCCCAATTATTGTAGCCTGAGTTCCCCTGAAAGCAGGACCTCAGACAAAGTCTTGCATGCAAGTAGCAGTGAAACAAGGAAAGAGAGAAGGCCAATACAAGGATGAATTTTCAAGGTAGCATTGCAATGGACAACCAGTGCTCAATCCTAAGGACTATTCTGAGAAGCCTCATGAAACGTATCTGAGAACCGGCCACATGAGCAACAAATGGTGGGAGGATTTATCCATCAGTTTCCATCCTCATTCGTTAAGGCCCACCAGGTTAGCCCCCCTAACATTTCCAGGTTGTACATGTGTGAGTGACAAGTGAAACCCCACAATAACCCACACCCTGGCAAACTGGTGGAAGCCTGTGCCAAACTAAATGCTACTTAGGTGACTGGAATAAAAGATAGGATTTGAAGTGTCTGTTACACTTCCTCTAAGAGGTGTCTGATACACTCCCTCTAAGATGTCCCTTAGGTTCCTATTTTCCCAGGATCATTCCAGTTTATGCCTGTTATCCCATTGTAATTAACAGTGTCCCCACTTTTTTGTTTTTGAGATAAGGTCTCATTCCATCACCCAGGCTGGAGTGCAGTGGCATGATCATGGCTCACTGCAGCCTTGACCTCCCAGGCTCAAGTGATCATCCCATCTTAACCTCCCAAGTATCTGGGTCCACAGAGGCACATCACCACATCTGGCTAATTTTTAATTTTTGGTAGACACAGGGTCTCCCTACATTGCCCAGGCTGGACTCAAACTCCTGGACTCAAGTGATCCATGTGAGCCAGCGCACCCAGCTGTGCCCCTTTCACTCTCAATTGTATCCCAGTTTAGACCATAAGGATATATTCACTTAGTGCACTCGCTCTCTCTCTTTCTCTCTCTCTCATACACAGACACCCATCCCCCCCACCTTCTACCCACCTTCCAACACACACACACACACACACACACACACACACACTTTGAGAAGCACAAAAACAATCCCCCATAGAATTGGTTTATTCATAGTTGTTTTCTTCTTCATGGTTGTTTTTCTTATTTTTTACTGCCCTTTGCAGAAACGTCTCTTGATACAATGCATTTTGCGTTCATTGAAATAAATGAAGAGTGCATCCAAAGAAACCACCTTCTACTAAATCTTTAAACAAGGAACAGGTCTTGTGCCACACATTGCATTTTAATAAACTTAATTTAATGAAGCGCTGCATTCCACAAGTACAGTCAGTACAGTAGCTCTCCTTTGGGATGGAAAAATTACAAGAAGCAATGCCGAGGACCGTGAACTGTATACAGAAGCCTTGTGGATCTAGAAACCAACAGTGTGTGAACTTAGGACATTCTCAAGTTTTAAAACGTGGCCATTATAATATCATCACATTACATAAATATCACATCACCAATATTCGTTTTGTTTTTTTCTTTTAGAACCAAAAAAAAATGCTTGTAAACTGCAAAATTACTTTAGATCACTGCGATAAATCTGAATTAACTACTAGGTACCGTCAGCCCTTCATATTTGTGAGTTACACATCTGTGGATTCAACCAACCCTGGATGGAAAATACTCAGAAAAAAAAATCAGTACAGAGTAGTGTCTGTACTAAACAGGTACACACTTTTTTTTCTTGTCATTATTCACTAAATACAGTAATAACAACTAATTACATAGCATTTACATATTAAGTATTATATGTTTAGAGATGATATAAAGTATACTTGAGGATGTGCATAGGTTATTCGCAAATACTACACCAAGTTATGTAAGGCGCTTGAGCATCCATGAATTTTGTTATCAGCAGGGAGTTCTGGAACCAATCCCCCATGGATACCTAGAGACAACTGTAATTGCAAACTACTTCAGTGAATAACAGAAGCTAACTAAAAACTTAGTTCTGAATGATTGGATTGTCTGTTGCACTCTACCTACTGAAGCAGAGTGTTTACATGGCCACAGGTAATTCATTCAGTAATTTCAGGGTATGACTCAAGATGCAGTATTCTTCTCTGCGGCTCTTCGCCTTGGAGCACTTGGAAGATGCATTATCTGCTGAAAAACCAATGTTCAGTGTGGGCTGATATAATAAAAATTAAATACTTTAAAAACTGAATCAAAATCATAGCTAAAAATCAATGCTATATAGTTTCTATGACATGAAAAATCTGTGAACAAATCATTTATTACAGGTCTTGTTTTATGTTTCTCTTGTCAAAGATAATTATTTATTACAAGTGAGGTTTCTGCCATCAGCAGAGTCAAGGGTAACCTGGAGTGCCTACCTCTTTGAATTGTGATACTCAATCGAGTTTATCCATGTTAAGTACTGAGCACAGCACTTGGCCTACAGCAAGAGCTCAAGAAGTATTTGTGATTTTATTATCGCTAAGTAAAAATAAATTTGAGTTTCACTAAGATTTTTGAAATTCACATTTTATTTGCATGGCATAAAACTAGCCTATTCAACAACTCCCCATAATTAAACTTGAAAAGATCCTGATTATTTATAACAGAAAATAATTATGTCCCTAATTCATTTATTTGCCTTTTTTTTTTCTGGTTGCCTTTGATTGACTTCTGACCTTAAGCATGAACAGAAATGTGTGCTAAAAAGCCTGGTCTTTCCAGTGAAGAGTCAATCAGTTTGCCAAATGCTTACTCCATAATTTTAATCTAATAACATTTTACTAATAACATTTTATGAACAAGAACTTACTTTCACATCCAGACAATATTTTTAGAATAAAGCTCATTGCACCTTATAATGTGCTTTATTTAATGTCATCTTCTACCATGTGCAAGAAGTTTGGGGGAGTATGGGCTAGTAGAGATGTTTACAAAGGTCTTGATTGAAAGACCCACAGGGCTTTGTTAATTGGTTTTAAAGATACTTACAATTTCTCTGCAAATACATAGAACAAAGACAATAAAACGTTATTTAGTAAGATATAAGTCCTATTGAATCAGTTGGTACCCACTTTCATTTATAGACCCTTCAGAGCTGAAAGGGATGGGGAAGAGGGTGGATGAAGAAGGTCTAATGGAGAATACACAGAAGAAGCAGAAGCCATGGCTCCTCTTTTTAACAATGACAGAGAAAGGAAAACAATGGACATAGCAATAAACATTTGCTCATTTAATTTTAGTCAAGTTAAATCAAATGTAAAAAATGTGTGCCCTATAATAATAAATGACACAAAAATACTAATTAGATTCAAGAGAGTTGAACTGAATAACCCTTTAATCAATTTAAGTCACACAGTAAGTGTCCTTTTCCCCAGTATTTCTCATAATACTACATATTAATTGCGCTTATGGTTATTCAGTCTTATTATTTAATTATAAAAGCTTATAGCTTTTACTTTGGGGGCAAAGACAAAGAGAAGAAAGTGTTCTCTAATCCCTTAAGGAACAAGAATATGACATTTGCCAATGTGCGTTGTGTTTATGGAGACTTCTTTCAACTCTGTTCTTATTTTCATCCTATGGAGGCATCCTGAGGTAAATGGGCAGTTATGGACCATCAAATGCGAAATAAATGTTTTAATGAGGAAACACAGCTTGCTCGTTCAAATACAACTTAGGATTTTCACAAGCTGTTTTCCTTTCTTCTATTCCTCTTAAAACAACCATGGGAAAACATAGCTACAGAGAGGTAACAAAATACTATGTAAATTATAATCCTGATTTTGTATAAAAATAAAAGTATTTATTGCATATCATAAATGCATAGGAAAAAAAAGATTAGAAAAGTACAGACCAAAATGTTACCAATGTTTATTATTGTTAACATTTCGGGTGGGACTGGAATGATAATTATTCTTAAGTTTTTCTGAATTTTCTCAATTCTGCATATCATTGTCCCTGAGGCCCTCCAGAATCTGGCCTTGTGCTGATATGGCAACTATGGGAAACTTGCTTTATTTTTTATATGCTAAGGAAGGTAAGTGGCTTGACGATTGCCCGTAAGAACTGTCAAAAGGCCACAGAAACTGCTCAGCACCAGGACACAGAGCTGCATTGCTTGATTCTGCAGGCTGCACATCTAAGACCAGATGTTGTCCTCATACATACCAGCCCTGAGAAAAAAGTTTCTTGGATTTGTTTTCAAGAAAAACAAGATATTGAGCTTTGTTCCCTTGTCAAAGAATAAGAAACTCTCCTATTAGCCTTTACAAATCAAGACAGTCAAACAGATCTGAGATAGTAACTCATATCTAGGGATCAACCAAAGTAATCCCCTAAAGGTATTAGGAGAATTTTCCCAGATATTTAAGTTTCATTAAATGCAAAGTTAGTTCACTGGTACCTACTATTAAAAGTAACAGAAAATGGCGAGGTGCAGTGGCTCATGCCTGTAATTCCAACAGCTCAGGAGGCTGAGGCAGCATAGCTTGAGCCCAGGCGTTCGAGACCAGCCTGGGCAACATAGTGAGACCCTGTCTCTACAAAAAATAAAAAAAAAAAAAATAGCTGAGAGTGCTGACACACATCTGTAGTCCTAGCTACTCAGGAAGTTAAGGGGGAAGGATCACTTAAGCCCAAGAGTTTGAGGCTGCAGTAAGCCATGATTGCACCATTGCACTATAGCCTGAGTGACAGAGTAAGACCCTGTCTCAAAAAAAGTAAACAAAAGAAGTCACAGAAAATGACCACACATTTACACTTTGTAAAAATTAATGCTGCCTATACATTTCTGGCAGGCTTGTAGGTTATTTTTCTCAGGCCTAGATATGCTGGGATAATACAGGGTCAGCCCCTCCAGAAGGCAGAACACTAGACCATCGTATCTAGAAGCCTCAAAAGTCCCATGACCCTAGTCAGCTTTAAATGTTGTCTTTTCCCTCATCTCTCCATCTAAACAATCTGCAAGTCCCACTGTCTACCCCTGCTGAACACCGCCAGAACCCATTCTCCCCTTCCATGTTCATTTCTGCAACCTTGGTCCAGGCCATGATTATCTCTCACTTACATTGCTGCATCAACCTTGACCTTCACTGGTGTCTCTGACTCCAGACTTTAACCTTCCCAAACCAGTCTTCCTATTAACTCAGGCCTGATCATAACACTTCACAGCATAATATTTTTGCATGACTTCTAATTGCCCTCAAATAAAGTCCTCATTCCTTGACAGGACCTAGAGGATCCTTCCCATTCAGCCCCGTATTTCACATAGCATACTACCCTCAACCCCAACTCTCACTCCCCTAGAATACCTAGCACCCCAGCCAGGCTAACTACTTGATCTCTCACCCCTGGCCTTTGCACATGGGGTTTCTCTGGCTAGATCACATATCCCCTTCTCCCCTTTATCTGAATAACCCCACTCATCCTCCTGGCCTTAGGTTTGATGTTACCTGCTCTGGAGAAGCATCCCTGATCTTCTTGACCCAGTTAGATATTCCTTTTCTGGATCCCAGTGTCTCTGATATGAAATTGCCCATTTTCTGTCTTCCCTACTAATCCATAAGCCCTTTCCAGTCATGGACTGTGTCTTGGCTCCCCCAACACTTAACATATTACCTGACACATAAAAGGCATTCAATAAATACTGATTCAGTCAGAAGCAATATCAAGTGTTCTTGGTTTGCTGAAGATAGAGTCTCTAGCCATCCTCACCCTCCTCGGCAAAGAACCAATCAAATCTTTGGGATTCGATTGGTTCAACCACAAAACCATTTCCTATTCCTCCTCCTTTACCTCTTACATAAAGAGGGAAATAAAGGAAAATGACCATTGAAGGTTTTGTATCAAAATTCCTTTTTGGAAGACTACTTATAATTTCCTACTTTAGTCTGTCTGGTCATGAAGAAGTCTGAACTACACAAATGCTGTGGCCATGTCATGAGACATAAAATTAGAGAAATGATTCAAATGCTTTTGGTCCCTTCCTTTATTTGACTGCTAATTAGGAAGAGAATATTGAGATGGACATGACACTGGTTAATAAAAACCTCAGTTTCCTGAACTGATGCCAGGTTTATTCTTTTGAGACTAGAGCAGATGATCTACCCACCTTAAAGGTAATAAAATAATCCAAGTGGATGCCCACTTTGCCTGCAACTTTGCTTGCACTCCATTCCTATACCTATACACTTTGAGAAAAAAGATAACAGGATTTTCCCCCCACAGATAATTCTTCTGTTTCTACTCCTCAGTTCCTCCATCCTTAACCCACAAAAGGTTACACCTCTCAGCAACATCCATCTGAAGAATTTATACTCTATATTACAAATTGTTGATGGTTATCACTTACATAAGTGATCTTTTCCTGCTGCTTCTTGAAAAGAGAAAGTAGGATATTTGCTTTACTAGGTGGAATATGTAAGTTTTTTTACATCAATTTTTTTGTGCTTTTACACAAACTAGAACATGGGAGCAAATGACTTGTTTCTTTGTGCTTTTGCTGCTACTTACTGAGGGAATTCCTTAATTACTTCCTTCCTTCCTTCCTTCCTTCCTTCCTTCTCTTTATCCTATATGCACATGGTAGAAATTTGGGTTAATTAAAAGGGAGTTAGATATACCTATTACCCCAAATAGGACACTCCCAGTGCATTTGTATTACAGCGGCTTGCAAAATAAATGCTGGGGTTTTTTTCTGCATGCAGAAATTAAGCAACAGGATTATGTTTCCAGCTATGTTAACTGCCAGTCTATAATTATCAGGGCAACATCTCTCCACAGCTCATCTTCAGCTTATCAGTCTAGGAGTGCTAAATGTGCACATGTGGGACTTTTACTAAGTCAGTACCATTATTTTGCTTTCAAATTATTTCCTATTCCTAGAAGTTTATATTCAGTCATTTGAAGACTGTGCAATTAAAGAAGATATCTAACTGAGCTTAAGCTCATTTAAAGTAACCAAGCACCTTTTACCTCCTCATCCATCTTGGACTTCAGTTCCCCACCCCCAGCTATGTTCATTCTAACTACTATGAGATAATATTATTTGATGGAGAAGGTGGAGGCAAAATGGATTTGTGTAGCTTTATGGTCCCTTCTCCTGTTAATGATCTTCCTCATTTGTATTCTTCTCCTTGCTTTTCTCTATATTTTTTCAAGCATTGGTCCATTCAGAACTTTGGCATCCTCCAGCACTTTCTAATGTTTTGTGCCATTTTTATATTTGCCTTGCATTATGATTTTCCTCCATCTTCTTCTACCATATTTCTTTGCTTGAAACCACACCTTCACATACCATAAAGGGAAGAGATTTTTTTTCAGTTGTGTTCCTGCCTCTTCAAATTCCTCTGTGGTCATAAAAAAGCCTGTCTTGCCAAAATGTCACGTAGCTATAACCTTGCGCCAAATAGTACATCTTGTTTCCAAAAGCTGTTTTTTTGGCAGCTGGTAGGAACATGGATTATTCATATCTGCAGAAATCACAATCCCTGTGGAGGATTTGATTCTTCTCCCCCAGGTTGTGGCTGTGATTGGAAATAAGGTGTTTCATTTGGACTTCTACAGGAAGAAGACACCTGGAGGCAGACACAGAAGGAAGAGCGAGGTATTCAGTATGCTCCATGCACTCTATGTAATTTTCGGATACCTATATAAAATGTTTTGGCTTTTAACGCTTAGCATTTGGGGAAAAAAATCATAAAATGAAAAACCACTTTTAATTGACTCTTCAAAAATTACTTTAAATGTGTTCTAAAACTTGGCTTTAAAATTTCTTCATACAGTTTTGACCTATGTTAAGAGATACAGGTACTTTAAGAAAGTGTTTCTGGAAAATTGTATTTGAGGCAGTTTATCAGCTGAAGGCACAGCTAAGGCATCGCTAAGGGAATCTGTTACCCTGGGATACTAATTAACTCCAAATATTGCATATAAATTAAGCTAGCAGCTACTGAAAGAAACAGCTTATGGGAAAGAAAAAACTAAAGAGGTTGGAAAGAAAAGCACTGTCTTTTCTAATTAGAGAAAAAGACATCAGGGGTATGGGAGAAACCCTTTTCTCTCCATCCCAGCCTTCTATTCTTTTTCTAGTAGCTTCCATCCTTTTCTCTTTCCTTGTTTTCCTTTCTCCTTTCTCCACAGCAGGTGTGATTTATTGGATAGCATGACCAGGGAAAGTGTCTCTTCCTACAGGGGACTGCTCTCCTTGTCTCTTTTGTGTGTGTGTGTGTGTGTGTGTGTGTGTGTTTGTGTGTGTGTGTGTTAAGAACATTTAATGTGAGATCTACCCTCTTAACAAAAATTTTTGTTTTGTTTTGTTTTTTGTTTTTGTTTTTGTTTTTGAGACAGAGTCTCACTTTGTCGCCAGGCTGGAGTGCAGTGGCGCAATCTTGGCTCATGGCAACCTCCACCTCCCGGGTTCAAGCGATTCTCCTGACTCAGCCTCCCGAGTAGGTGGGACTACAGGCGCGCTACCAGGCCCAATTAATTTTTTGTATTTTTAGTAGAGATGGGGTTTCACCATGTTAGCCAGGATGGTTTCTATCTCCTGACCTCATGATCTGCCCACCTTGGCCTCCCAAAGTGCTGGGATTACAGGCGTGAGCCACCACACCCGGCCCTCTTAACAAATTTTTAACTGCACAGTACGATATTGTTAACTATAGGCACTATGTTATACAGCAGAGCTCTAGAACTTATTCATCTTGCATAACTGAAACATAATTAATCAACATCTCCCCACCTTTAACTTTGCCCAGCCCGTGGCAAGCACCATTTTGCCTCTGCCCTTATGAGTTTGATTATTTTGGATACCTCAAAGAAGTGCAATCATGCATTTGTCCTTCTGTCACTAGTTTATTTCACTTAGCATAATGTTCTCCATGTATATCCATATTGTCACAATGACAGAATTTCCTTATTTCCTATGGCTGAATAATATTCTACTGTATGTATATACCACATTTTCTTTATCCATTCATCTATTGATAGATATTTGCATATCTATCAATGCAATTTCCATATCTTGGCTATTGTGAATAATACTTATAAGCTTATTGTGAATAATATGCTTATAAGCATAAGCAATGAACACAGGCGTACAGATACTTCTTCAAGATCCTGATTTCTATTCTTTTGGATATATGCCCAGAAGTGGGATAGTTGGATTATATAGTAGTTCTATCTTAATTTTTTGAGGAATCTTCATACTGTTTTCCACAGTGGCTATCCATTTTACATTCCCACCCACAGTATACAAGGATTCCAATTTCTCCACATCCTCAGAAACAATTGTTATATTTTGTTTTATTGAATAATAGCCATCCCAATAGGTGTGAGGTGGTATCTCATTGTGACTTTAAATGACCTTGTCTCTATCATAAGGAAGTGGTTCTCTAGATAGATCCCTCCTAGCTGTGTTCCCAAGCTTGCTGGGGCATGAATACCCCAAGCTCCTTCCCTGGAGATTCTAACTCATCAGGTCTGGGGCAAGGCCTTGAGATCTGTATGTTTCACAAGTGTCCCAGGTGATTTTTATGAGCCTGCAAATTCTGGAAACACTGCCTCTCCCTCCGAGAAGAAGACCTAGTTCCTGCCCCTGCGGTGGGATGCTGGCAGTTCTGGCTGGGTAAACTCAGTCCAGTGGGGATGGTGTTCACAACTGAAGCTGCAGGAATCAGCCCTCCTTTCCAGACAGCTTTATTTGTTTCACTGTTAAATGTTTTAAGCCTAGTTGTTTGAATAAAAAGTTGACTTTCTATTTTAATTGTGCAAATATAAGCATACTTGTCACTTATTTTGGGTAAACCTACAAGTGCCTGATTTACTACTTCTCAACTGGACCACTATATAACCACTGGCCAGCACTTCCATCTCGTAGCAGCATCTCTAATCCCAGGTTTTGTTTAAAATATGACAACCTTTTCTGATCCTCTTAATAATCTAAGCCAACCACTGAAAATCATTATTCCACAGCCACCAGCAGCAAGGAAAATGGCCAAAATAAACATGTCATTTGTACCATCCACCGACCTTCCACTCAATCCAGATGTTTAAATGGGTTTGTACAGAAATGTACTCTAAGTATAATCTTTTCCTTTAAGAAATCATGTGTCCCAAAAAGGACCACAGAGATACTGTGTTAAGCCAAAATTCACATACATGTCATCCTCACGGACCTCTGAGAAATGAAAATATGGGTCTGTTATTTGGGAATTTATTACACTACAGTTTGAAGATTCAACCTATTAGCCATGGTTTAGTTAAGACTATAGATTGAGTAGCCCAAGGCAATAATGGCCACTAGTATCACCCATGTGCTACTCAGTTAAGTGGCCTACGACGTATTCTCAACAAATAGTTTGTCAAGAATACAAAGACAGTAATGCCACACCATGCTCACTTACTCCCAACCTTAGAAACACTTACAGCAAAGGGCTGCTCTTAGAAAAGGAAAACATCCCTTATGCAATATCAGGATGTCTCTACTCGTGAAATTACAAATCACTTCTGAGTGTCATGATTCTGAATTCTATTTTTAAAATCTGACCTTGAGCTAATTTGCCAGTTGCTAACTTCTATTTGACTGTACAGAGCTTTTCACTTCTCTTGATCAGTTTCACATATTTGCTTACATCTCTTGGCAAAAAGAGTTAAAATTATTTGATGAAAATGTTCTTGTGAGCCAGACATTATTCAAAAACGGATTCTAGGAAGGTTTATTAGTTCCATAGAGGTGATACTCAAATGTATGACTGTAAAGGAAATAACTGATAACTGAGATGGGGAAGGAAAGAACTTGTGTGTGAGTAAGAGAGAAATTAGAAAGGCATCATTCATTTAACAAAGATGGAAATTCACATCAAACGTTCCTTGACCAGGCAGCTATTCCCTGCTATTCCCTTAGAACCTTTGTTTTAAAGAAGGACCCTGAAATGTCACTGCTTCCACCAAAGTCTATGAAAAGGTTACTGAACTGAAGATAAGGGTGCATGGCTGGGTCCAAGTGGGTTCTCACGCTGATTCTCTCTGGGTACAACTTTGGAAAATCATTTCACTTCTCTGCTTCAGTTCCATCTTCAGTCAAATGGGAGAATAAAAACATATGTCCTACCTCACATAGTAGCTCTGAGGAATAACTGTGCAACTTTTCTTGAACATAGTAGACAACTTCTAATAAACACCAACAAGTACTCCACAGTGACAGCACTATTAATAAATAACTTTTATTCTTCCATGGCAATGAGCCA
Source organism: Homo sapiens (assembly GCF_000001405.40). Classification (NCBI taxonomy): domain Eukaryota; kingdom Metazoa; phylum Chordata; class Mammalia; order Primates; family Hominidae; genus Homo; species Homo sapiens. The sequence continues at coordinate 58,003,522 of NC_000014.9, forward strand.
AGCCTTTACCCCAAAACTCAACTACAAATCCTCAATCCCTAGATTCAAATAGCGCATTGGAATATCCTATTTTGTATAGGGCAGGGAATTACATTCCAAGGGAGATGAGAAATGATTGAACATATTTCAATATCCTCATAGCGGGGTGCCCTGAGAGAGGCTGGTTTCCCATGAGCTCTGTTGTTCACCAGGACTCTGGCCACTGGGCAGACAAACGATAGAATGTCTATTTTTCTAATAAAGCCATATAAGGACCAATGGTAGCCCACCTTTTCCATGGTGGAGTCCACAGATGTGGAAATACAACACTCTGAATTAGTCACATTAGCAGCCACATAAGCATAGAACCAAATGGCAGACAGAAATGCTCTGAGAGCTTACCTACCCTCATCTCATTCTTGAATTCTTCTTCATTTTTTCTCGGCAAAATCAACTAGCACACAAAAAGAATATCTCTTAATCATAAACATGTATGACATGTATGATTGAGTCTGTTGGACTCAATCACACTATTTAAGACAGCAAACGTACATTAAGACTAAGAGTCAGTTTAATGTATTATTTCTAGTGCATTTTTTTCCTCGCCAAGAATAAAACGGAAGGTGAGAATAATAAAACTAGGAGACTGAAGTACATAATGCAAAATACATACAAATCTACATATAATCCTAATATGCTGAGAGAGCTTCTTAATGAAAATGATTTCATTCTGAGTTACTGCTAGTTTGATGCAAATGCAGTATGTACCATGGCCCACAACCCTGTGGTTTCAAGTAGGTAGAGTATATCTTGAGAAGTTATTCTTTGTTAAGATTTATATCTCAGAGTCAAGCATGCCTTGGTGGCAACAATCATTATTCTCAATGCAGGTAATTCAAACCAAGGAAAAGACACTGTGGAAAACTACAAAATATTTACTCTGCCTAATGTAGCAACTCCTACTGAAAAACATATATGTTGCATATTTATGAGTTGTAGCCCACGGTTGTGGAAAATTCACTACAGAATAAAACCAAATACTGCATGATACGTTTAGTATACAACATGCCATTTCTGCTCAGTACAAGAAAAATCTACTACCCAGCACCCAGCAGACACTAGGACTAACGGCCTGATAGCAGCAATGTGGCAGGTTGTTCTTTTTTTTTTTCTGCTCCAAAATAAAAATTAGAATAGTAGCATCGTTGAATATCCCAATTAAAACCCAGTCCAATTCAAAATTCATCTTCAGAGCTGTCGGCTAAGAGCATTACTCGATCTTGCATGCTGTTGAATTCTCTCTGCTAGAGAAAGAAAACAGAAAAGCATTAAACTCTTTCTGCCACAGAGCAAAGCTGAGAAACAGGCCCACTTTAAAAGACATGCTAACAAACGAAGCCAAGGCAGGAGCTACAGCAGCTAATCCAGACCACTGGGCACGTCAATACCACCCAAGCATCATTAAACCCCGTGTGCTTTATTAAGTAAATTAGATAAGCAAAGAATGTTCTGAAACTGATTAGGTTTTGCTGTTGTTGGTTCCATACCTTTCTTTTATGCCTTTTGAAGCCATTTCTCCTTCGGCGATTCATAACCTTAATGCTGTAGAGGGCTCCCAAGATGAACAAGGCTCCAGCTATCCCAACCCCTACAGGCACCAGCATCCCAGACATGTAACCAGCCTGCATAGAAAAGGAAACACACATTAGGATGCTAAACAGAGCGCGCCGCCCTGGGTTTCTCATTTCTGCTGGATGGCAGCAGGTTTTTAGACACTTTGAATTCTCCTGTCTGCTTTGTTGTAAGATAAAACTAAGCCTAAAATACAGTAACTTTTTAGGGAGAAGGCAACAGAGAGAGAGACAGGCCTATTTTGGGGATATTTCAAATACATAGAAGTATTGAAATAAATCAGCCAGACCTAGTGGCACCTCCAGCCACTAGCTTATGCACATTTGTCAACCTCAGGTTCTGATGACAGAAATATAATTTGTATTAAAGATGGATGAAGTAAGCCTCTGAGAATGCCAGGACTACTAAAATGCTATAAATTGGAAATATCAGCCAGAGTCAAGCTTAAAGGAGGTCAAAGTGTCCTCTGGAATAGTGTGTTTGCTGGGGGCTAAAAGGAGGGCCTTGACAGTGGTGGTCCTCTCTTCTCCCTCTCTGTCTGTCTTGGCTGCATTACAGTAAGAAAAGAAAGATGAAAATGCTTGTGGGTAAAAGGGGAGGGCTTCTGAAAACAAGGAAAAAAAAGGCCTGCAAAGGCAAGAGGAGGAATGTTAGATGTTGGAGCAAAGGCAGAAAAGACAAGGACAAGGGGAGAGTGTGCACACAAAATGGATGGACTGATTTCTGTGAATGGAATCACCTTCCCAACAGACAAGACAAAGTTGGAGGTTGGGAGGGAATTCTGAATGTCCCAGCCCCAAAGAAAGGAAGTGGCAGAGAAGTACACAAAGATCACTGCCAACAACACGATACCTCCAAAAGATCCTGGAAGTGTCAAATTCATCGATGTCTCCAGGGTCTCCAAGGTGTCACTATGGATACCTTTATCCTCAGAGAGCAGGATGATCCCTGGACTTGAGTAAGTACCTCAGGACCTACCTAAGCTCAGGGAAAGGCCATTGTACTCAGAGTGATCCCTACACCTTGGCCAATAAGACTCCTATGGGCTAACAGGGTATGTACTAACCTATAGCCCTTTCATGGGGGAACACAGGTAATGGTTTGCCTCCCAAGAAGCCCTTCTTAGAAGTCTACCCATGCAAAATACATAAACAATTTAAATTGTTCATAAGTCTATTCATTTATATGACTATTTTTTAAATTTTTAATACAGCACAAACTGTTTTAGTATTTTTCAAAGTGAGCCAAAAATGGAGCAGGACAGAGGATAAAAGTTTTCCTGAAAGTGCTGAAGTATGCAGGCTGTGATGTTTTCCCAACATTTCTAGCAGGACATCCAAAGAATACATCAGAGTTTATGAAACAGCAGCACTTTCCTCTTGTGCTCAGCCAGCTCCCTCACTGTTTCTGCCTCCCAGAGTCTTCACTTAGGGCAAAATATGGAAATTCTTCCATTAATTTGAGAACAATAGCACTGTTCCTCAGCATACTAAGTATTTTTCCCCAAGAAACAAAGCCTAGACATTTTTCAATAAATTAATATGCCTTCTTCTCACTCATAGGTGGGAACTGAACAATGAGAACACTTGGACACAGGAAGGGGAACATCACACACCGGGCCCTGTCGTGGGGTGAGGGGAGGGGGGAGGGACAGCATTAGGAGATACACCTAATGTAAATGACAAGTTAACGGGTGCAGCACACCAACATGGCACATGTATACATATGTAACAAACCTGCACGTTGTGCACCTGTACCCTAGAACTTAACGTATAATAAAAATAAATAAATAAATAAATTAATTAATTAATATGCTTTGTAGAAGCCCAAACTTTTTCTAAAGTTCTTCCAAATCTACTTAAGGCTTATAAAAACTCTGCAATTTTCCATGTGGGAAAATACTGAACAACATCAAAGTGTTGGTGCTCACACAAGAACTGTGAATTATTTTTCATGACCATTCCCAGTGTATGGAAACACACACATGTTGAAATATGATAAACTTTAAGCCCAGATGATTAGGCTTCTCATGTACAGTAACATTTGAACTTTTGGAAGGTCAACTTGATCAGCCTCTGTGCATGTCTCCTCATACTCTGTAACTTAACCCCATACCAACAACATCGGTACTCTCAAATATGTCACCATTTCTGCATTTCTTATTGACACACTTAAGCCTTTTACTTATGGAGCTTTATTTTTTCAAATTTATATTTATATTTGTAAATTGACATATAAAACTGTACGTACTCATCATGTACAACATGATGTTTTAAAGTATACTTTCATTGTGGAATGGTTACATTTAGCTAGAGCTCTAAATTATGTAGATTTCACAAAAACTCAGTTACATCTCTCTTTTTTGTCTCCTCTGTTTTGTTTTTCTTTTTTGGTGGCATCTGCCTTGCTTTGAAATTACAAGTAAATTACAAGATGGGAGCAAAGCAACGTACCATCTTAAGATATAATTTAACTATTCTTCTTTCAAAACTGACTAAGGGAAAATAAGCTCCTCTGTTAGAATTGCTCATGACTTGATTTCTTCAGCAATGAAAATAAATAAGACAACATGCACACAGTTTTAAGTTATAAATTCTGCCTAGTACTTTTTCTCTGTCCAAATTATTGCATATACACATGCCCCGAGATGTGACACCTTGAGAAAGACACAATTGCACCAATGTATTATTCCAACCAGGAATGCATAACCTGAATCTAATCATGAGAAAACATCCAACAAACTTAAAGTATATTCTGTTTTTTAAAAAGACTGTGTTCTTTAAAAATGTTAATGTCATAAAAGATAAAAGATGGCTATAAAAATGTTCCAGATTAAAGGAAATTAAAGAAACATGACAACTAAATGTGTTACATAATCCTAAAGTGGATTCTGTGAGAGAGGAGAAAAAATGCTCTTATGAAGGATATTTTGGGTTTGTTGAAAAAACTGAAATATGAATGCCAGATTCCATAAAAGTATTATATCGATATTGAATATACTCCAGCTAATAACTGCACAGAGATCTGCTTAAAGTATATATTCATTCTTAGGAAATATACACTGAAATATATAAGGGTAAACAGGCCACAACACATGCAACTTATCCTCAAATGGTTCAGGAAAAAAGAGGAGAATGTGACAGCAAATGATAAAGCACATGGGGTAAAATGCAAACAGCAGGCGCATCCAGGTAAAGGTGTAGGAATGTTCTTTGCACCATTCTTACTCTTGTATCTCATCTGTAAATTTTAAATTATTTCCAAATAAAGTTTTAAATTTTAAAGTAAATTATAAGTCAAATATTGCTAAATATACTTGTTTTTGTTTGGTTTTGAAGTTTTGTTTGTTTGAAGTCAACAAGAAAGGTATCCTTCCTTCTTAGGATAACATATTTATTCAGAATAGCTGTCATCAAGAAAGCCATAGGAAACCAAATGATATGCTGTACTGCCTAAAGTCTGCAGAATTGACACAGCATCCTTACGATTTCTGTGCAATGGTTGTTCTCAAACTCCAGCATGGATCAGGAACACCTGCAAGACTTACTAAAATGCAGATTGTTGGGCCCCATTCCCAGAGTTCCTGGGAGGTATGTCTATGGTGGAGTCTGAGAATTTGCATATCCAACAAGCTCCAGGTGATGCTGATGCTGCTAGTCCAGACCATACATTGAGAATCGCTGCTATGAAGTATAGTCTGGGCCATGCATTTTCTGGATGGTTTCCTAAAGCTAGAAGAAATAGATTGGTTTTATTGATATAACAACAGGTCTGGTCTTTATTACACAATTAAAATTGTTATGCATCTTCAGTTTTGAAAATCAGTTTAGATGCTGAGAAGATATACTAATGGGTAGCCAAGTTAAAACTTGCCTAACAAGGATCACCAACTTGGATTAGCCAAGAAGACAGTTAATGATGGAATTAATACAGGAAGTGTCCTTCAATATCCATTCTTTTCTTCTTCTATAGCAAAAGAGCTTCCAGTTTGGGACTGGGCACAAAATAAAAATGACTTCTTGCCTGCTGGGAAGCTGGGTACAACCATGTGGTAAGTTTCACCAAGAAGATGATATGTCAGTGGCATAAGAAAATTTCAAGATACGTTCTATAAAAGGGGAGCAGAGCCTTTATTCTTCCCCTTTAAGAATGACAGTGCTTTTATCCTCCCTTTTAAAAAGAAAGGGGTGTCATTAGCCTCCCCCTTTTTCCTCCTTCCTCTGGCTAGAATACGCACATAGCTAAGTCAGAAGTGCCATCCAGGATCATGAGGTGACCTTGGGAATGAAGGTCACAAATGGTGGAGCATCACATAGAAGAAGCTTGGGCCGCTCTCACTGTGTAACTCCCCACTAACCTGTGACTATCTCCAGACTTAAAAACAAGAGACAATAGGGGCCGGGCACAGTAGCTCATGCCTGTAATCCCAGCACTTTGGGAGGCCGAGGCAAGCAGGTCAGATAAGGCCAAGAGTTCAAGACCACCCTGGCCAACATGGTAAAACCTCATCTCTACTAAAAATACAAAAATTAATTTGGCATAGTGGTGCATGTCTGTAATCCCAGCTACTCAGGAGGCTGAGGCATAAGAATCGCTTGAACCCAGGAGGCGGAGGTTGCAGTGAGCCAAGATCATGCCACTGCACTCCAGCCTGGGTGACAGAGCAAGACTCTGCAAAAAAAAAAAAAAAAAAAAAGAGAGAGAGAGAGAGATAACAAACTTCTATCTTGGCTAAGCCATTGTCATTGGGGGTGGGGGCGGATTGGCTATCATTCACAGCTGATCTTAATCTTAATATAGAAAGACTAAACTACAACAACAACAGGAATAATTCAGAACTTTTGAAAACACCACCCTTTCTAGAATCCAGCTAACCAACAGAGACTCAATACTGGAACAATTAAATGAAGCTAACCTGACAGAGTGTCCTGGCTTGCCTGAAGAGCCAGGTTGGGCATGTAGTTTAGTTTTTAGTTCTAAGGGATTCTGTGACTTTCATCAAAGAGACAAAGAGTTTTGTACTCAAATAGTTTCTGAAGATAATGACTAACAAGACTTTAATAGATGATGGATGGATGGATGGATGGACAAACAGAGAGTGAGGAAGATATATGTATATATATATATGTGTGTAAGATCTATGTACATGTATCTTCTCAAACTCCAGCATGTATCAGGATCACCTGTAAGACTTGTTAAACGAAGATATATGTACATATGTGTGTATATACATATAAAATATACATATCAAATTAGCATGTAATCGTTCAAGCATGGAAGAAGGCAGGGAATATGGGGAAGATTTAAAGAGTTCCTCCAAGAGTCAAAAGATGAAGATATAGGCACATATGACAGTCACTATTGGAATTCAAAATTTTCTTCTTACAATTTTTTTAATTAAAATATGCTGAAAAAAATACTACGGAAGAAAGTGATGAGAAAGCTGGAAAAACTTCAAAATAAGCCAGAAAACTAGCGGTCACATACAAAATTATTTCTCTTGATAAAAAGGAGCAAGAAAAAGGTACCAAGATTTTGAGACAAGATAAGAATAAAGGGTTCATAGGAATAAAAAAATATAGCCTTTCTCTAAAGCTGTACAGATTTTTTTAGGGAATGGTAAAGCTATATATACATGCAGATAAGAAATTTAACAATATCAAATTTCAAAACTGTTTACATGACAAAATTTATTTTCTTAAGCCTTTTTTTTTTTGGTCCCTTTCTTAAATAACTCAGGATACTTTCTATGGAAACAATGATATATGAATTCCTAGGTTAACATAACAAATCCTGTTTAATTTTCATTGCATCATATTTTTCCCTGAAAAAATAACAAGAAACACTACCAATGTAAATATATCCAGTTCTAAACTTTTGAGCTTTTCTTCCCCCCAAGTTTTTCTCAGTCCATCTGATCCCAGCCCACCTCTCTTCACAATTGGACCCATTACAAATACCAAAATGGCCTCCATTGACCTCAACAGGCTTAAAATTTTTCAATGTCACTTTTAATTTATATGAACACAAAATAGTCTCATTCTCAAAAACTATCTGTGCTAAATTTTACTGAGAAGCAGAAATAGTAAGGAGAATTAATACAATTATATAAATTTATTTGCAATTGAATGTTGTATTCTTTAATATTAAGCTGTAGCAAAATAATATTAATAATTCAAATATGAGGGAAATTGACTGCAGGTAATAAAAAAGATATGGAATGCCATCAACAGAAATATATTGAGACTGGTGAATTGAAGGCAACTCAATATCTGACCACTGAAAAGATTTCCATTTAGCTGAAATCCCAGTGAAATCTGAGCTGGGCTGTAATAATGGGACCTGACACTGGCTACAACAAGGAATTCAGGACTCCATCAATATCTTTATGAGTAATTCAGTTTAAAATTACCAAGTAACCAAAAGTGAAAACTTGGAGAGGATTGAAAATCAAAAGAAAATGAACAATATCAACCTGGAAGTTAACGTTGTCAATCACTATGTAGATGGCAGAATTAATGCAAAAAAAGAAAATCTTTATCTGTAGTTGGCCATTCCAGACAGGTCAGCTAATCAATACCTACTAAGTGGCAGCACTGTGATAAACTACACACCTAGAGAGTCTCATATTAGAAAAAAAAAAAAAAAAACAGATGGAATGAGATGACAATCCTGAAATTCCCAAAAAGAAACTTCACCTTGATATGTCAATGATATTATTCTGTGGAGCATATCAAACAAGGTAAATTCTTACACTTTTATAAGAGTGAATGGTGCTCCAAAGAATAAGGTGTCTCCTGTATTCTAAAAGAAGGGATTTAAAGGGAAGGGCTTCTTTTTTGCAGGTACTGCAAGTTGCCCTGAATCTTTAGATAGATTACCAGAATCAGAATAATAAACCAAAGCCCTACTACTCTGAAGATCTTTTGCTTAATAAAGCTATATGCCCCTAAAAATAAACCAATGGAAGAAAATACTTTTCTTACCTTGTCTTTTAATTTTTCCATCCAGCTTCTCACTAGGAAAAAAATAAGATAATAAAATGAAATAACCATCTTTTACTTATAATTCATGGCATTAAGTTAATTTGACAAATTAAAGAGTTTTTTGTATTAAATACAGTAAAAGGATTAACAATATAACATAATGACGATAATGGCCTTATTTTTATTTCTACTTATTTAGAAATGCAATGGAGAGCACAAACATCCCTCATATCATTATTACATAAATGGAGAATATTTTTGTTTGCTAAATGTTTTTTCTATTATTATTGAATGATTAGTGGGGAGGTGTGGGCAAAGCGAAAATCACCTTTAAAATATCAAGTTCATTTATTCTCTGACACTTTTTCTTTGGCTTATTTCTCATCTTTCTCAGTTTGTAAGCTCAGTGGGAATGCTGCGCTTGAATCAATATCAGAGGGCAGAGATTAAGGGAGGAAGGGAAAATAAGCAAGCCCAGGTTGCCCAGAGCTGGCTCCAAAGAGAAGCATTTGCAATCATATTTGAAGAAGCAAGGATTGGATGAAAGGCAAGAATAAGAAGTATTTCAGAAAGACATATAACTTGTGAACTGTACCATTCTATAGCAATACAACCACTATGAAAAATAAAAGCAATGACCAAGTAATATTCACAAAGCCAACTGAAAAAGGCTGATCAACTATGAAATTTTATGTAGACCATAGTTACAGCCATTTGGGAATACATAAATAAGCCAAGAGTAGAAGGAAGCATCAATTTCATTTTTGAAATATGTGTTAGAATGGCCACGTTAAGGTTGGTTTGAGTTTGTTGGTGGTTTTTTACCCTAATTACCTTTCAAAGTCATAATAATGTTTCAACATTGAATGAAGATTTACTTTTAAAAGCATCAGACAGGAGGAAAAAAAGACAAATATATTCTCATTTTACCTTCATTATCAAACAAAAGAAATAAGTGTAAAAAAAACTTTTAAGATTTCCTGAAATTTTCTCTGCTTTTCAGAAGCTTCAACAGACAGGAAGGAAGGAAACAGAGTGGAAAACTTTTATTATGAAGAGTCAGATAGTTAATATCTCAGGTTTTGCAGAGCGTATAGTCTCTGTCACAACTACTCAACTCTGATGTTGTATAACACAAAAGTGGCCGTAGACAATACATAAATAAATGGGTTCAGCTATGTTCCAATAAACTTTATTTATGGATATTAAAATTTGAATTTCATGTAATCTTCAAATGTCATAAATATTTTTCTTTTGATTTTTTTCAACCCTATTAAAATGTAAAAAGCATTCGCATTCTTTGCTCAGGAGCCATATAAAAGCATGCAGCAGGCTACATATGGGCCATGGACTACAGTTTGCTGGCCCCTGGCATAGATATACTTTAACCAAGAAGTCGGTGCCTCCATTTACAATCTGACTCTAGTAATAATATATCTGAAAATACTGATGATGGCTAGCATGCACACAGCTCCACCCTTTACAAAGCATGCCACATGCATTGCATCACTTGAACAGCAAACCAATGACAAACATGAAAGTCAGGTCAGATTATGCTCAGGGAAAAGATGAGGAAACTGGGGCTCAAGGGAAGCTAAGAGACTTGCTCATGGTTAACCAGAGAGTAAGGTGTCATTGGGGCCGAGCACGGTGGCTCACACCTGTAACCCCAGCACTTGGAGAGGCAGAGGCAGGTGAAGTTCAAGACCAGCCTGGCCAACATGGTGAAACCCCGTCTCTACTAAAAATACAAAAAAAATTACCAAGGCGTGGTGGCAGACACCTGTAATCGCAGCTCAGGAGACTGAGGTAGGAGAATCACTTGAACCCAGAAGGCAGAGGTTGCAGTGAGCCAAGGGCACACCACTGCACTCCAGCCTGGGCAACAGAGTAAGACTCCATCTCAAAAAAAAGAAAGAAAGAAAGAAAGTCATTGGAACTCAAACCTGATTTTAAAACCCAGGAGTAAGACTTTCGAACTACCAATTTCTTTTGGTGATACTACCACTGTTCTGCTCCTTCAAGTTGAAAATGTGAAGCTACCTTTGGCCCTTCTACCTCCCTTAGGTCCTGGCTTTAATCTCTCATGCAGAGCCCTTGTCAAGACCTCTCTCTTGTCCTTCCCTCCTAGCTCCCTCTGTCTCAAAGGGATTCAGACAAAGACGGTGGTGATCAATCAGGATAAGAGCAGGGTCATGGGGAGGTCAGAAGAAGAAAGCCTAGGAACCTCAAGAATAAGGCCAGGGGTTAGTGATTCTAGGAGTGGTTCCGTGGAGAAGTAAGATCCACCGCTGATTCACTGAGTGAATCTGGAGAAACTCTGGACCCACAGCTTCCTTATATAGAGAGATGGCAACATCTGTCTTGCAAGATTGTTGTGAAGATTAGAAATAACAAATGCAAAGTGTTTAGTACAGAAATCCAGGGCAGGAGGGGAAGAAAGGTAAGTAAAATACGAGTATTTTGTAAATACGTCTCATTTAAGCCCATGACACATATTTAAATAGAAGCAAGATAATGTTTCCAATTTGTTCATTCAACAAATATTTATTATGTACATTGTGTTCGATCAGGCATTATGCTCTAAAGTGGGTCAGCAGAAGTTATAAGACCTAATTCCAGTGAGAAAGGGGTTAGGCCACCAAGTCTATAAGAAGTGGATGACAAGCAGCAATGTAGGGACTAAAGAGTGAAGAACAGAGGAGGAAAGCCAGTTGCTAGAGTGCAAGGCAGAACCCACCAACCTTTGAAGCAAGATGCTTGCAATCAGGGACTCAGTTGGGTATTATACAATAAATAGGGCAAATCAAAAGAGAGGTGGAGGCAGGAATGTTAATATGAGCACCTAGTGGAGGAGGCAAGATGGTGCAGAATAGGGATAGCCTGGAGAAGAGGAAAAGGAGGCAAAGACCAGCCCAGGGTCCAAGGCACTGATAGGCTTGTGTACTGTAGGAAGCTCATCGCCAAGAGAAGCATTTTAACTTAGGCCTTATCAATCCAGGCTTCACCGGTAAACTGTCCACATCTTAGGTTCTTAGAGTAAATTTCACAGAGTCCTACTTTGGATGATTATCTAATGAAGAAATTCTCCACTGAAGGCAAGAAGGCACATCAGTGCAAGATGTTTACATGTGCACAGATATCTGAAGGAGCATGTTCCATTGATCTAGTTCAGTAATTCATAACACAGAGTGGGAAAGCCAGGCAAAATATTCTTGGCTGGAGAGAGAGGATAGTGAGTAAGTATTCTGGTGGGCACAGGTCTAAAAAGGTTGAGGAAACACTATTCTTAGACTGTGAGCTTGATGACATTTCCCCATCTAAGAACATGAGACCCCGGAGCGCCATGCCTTGTGCTTCTCAGGTATCCGCCAGGGTCCTCTGCATAGTATTGAACACTCAGGTGCTTAATAAGTATTTTTCCTTCTTTCAGAAAATATTTATTTAAGTGAGTTCACAATCTTTGAGTAAGCATGATTCTCATTCATGAGGATCCTGTAAACAGTTTTCGGTAAAACATTCAAGTTGCAATAAATATAAATTTTATGCAATGAACATTTTAAAACTTAAGGAGTAGAAAATGATAAGAGAATGCAATGCAAGAAGAAAGAAAATTATAAAGAAATATTTTTAGTTAAAAAAAAAAAAAAAAAGATGATGGCCAGACACACTGGCACATGCTTGTAATCCCAGCACTTCGGGAGGCCAAGGCAGGCAGATTGCTTGAGACCAGTCTAGGTAACATAGCGAGACTCCTGCCTCTACAAAAAATAAAATAAAATTTAAATTTAAATTTAATAAAATTTAAAGATGATTATTTATAAATAGGAAAACTGACAACTGTAATTTTTAAAAAATAGACAAACATCACAGTAATTAAAGAAGTATGAATGGATACAGCTTTTCAAAGGTAAAGAGGTGGAGGGGAGATTTGCAATCCATATCAAAAGCTTTATTAAGGTTAAAATGTTTTATATGAAGCTCCAGTTATAGAAGACATGTATCTTAAAGGATTAACCATGAATGTGCACAAAAATTTTGTTTAAATCATGTTCACAAAATATTTATAATAAAAAGGAGCATGTAAACAATATTAATATCCAACAAAACAGGATTGGTTTAAACACTCAAGGGAAAACAAAACCTTAGGTTATGTCTATAGAGTATTATATGAAAATAAAATTATTTTTAAAATACTTAATGGCAAGATGTTGTTCAACTTACACATTGCAAAGGAAAAAAACAGTGTAGTATAATGTAAGCCTGAGTTTGTAGATAAAAAATATTACGTGTAAAATTTGAACAATGCACATCAAAATGTTAACTGAATTAATCAATTCAGTTGATTGATTAATTGGGTAGTAGAATTATCGATGATTTGTCTTTTATTCTCTGTATTTTTCAGATTTAGCAAATCACAATTTCTCACTACTTTTAAATTAAGGAAAAAAACACATTTTACAACAAAACCCCCAAAATTCCATAAACCTTTGCAAACTAAAGTTGACAGTAGATTGCTGATAGTGAACACAAGAAGTTAGAGCCTTTCCAGTTGGCTCACAGCTCAGCCCACAGCTACAAATTCACTCTAATCCCACTGTTTTGTTATCTTTCTTGAAATTTTATTTAATGCAAATCCAAGAGCACAGTGCTATAATAAGGCCTCTGGTCTCCTTCTAGTAGAGAGAAAGGTACACAGAAAAGAAAGTAGGCATGAATAAAGGTCATATATGACAAGCCCACAGCTAATATTATACTCAATGGTAAAAAGCTGAGGGCCTTTCCTCTAAGATCAGGAACAAGACAAGGATGCTCACTCTTGCCACTTATATTCAACTTTGCAGTGGAAGTCCTGGCCAGAACAATTAGGTAGGAGAACAAATAAAAGCCATCCAAATTATAAAGGAAGAACTTTGGCTGGGCACAGTGGCTCACACCTGTAATCCCAGCACTTCAGGAGGCTGAGGCGGGTGGCTCACTTGAGCCCAGGAGTTCAAGACCAGCCTGGGCAACATAGCAAAACCTTGTCTCTACAAAAAATACAAAAATTAGCTGGGTGTAGTGGCACACCTGTAGTCTCAGCTACTCGGGAGGCTGAGGTGAGAGGATTGCTTGAGCCCAGGAGGTTGAGGCTGCGGTGAGCTGTGTTCATGCCACTGCACTCCACCCTTGGCAACAGACCAACACCCTGTCTCAAAATAATAAGAGGAAGAACTTAAATTGTCGCTGTTTGCAGATGACATAATCTTATTTGTATAAAAATGTAAAACTAAAAACTCCACCAAAAAAATGGTTAGAAGTCATAAACAAATTCAGTAAATTTGCAGGATACAAAATCAACATGCACAAATCAAGCATTTCTATATCCTACCAACAAATTATCTAAAACAGAAATCAAGAAAACAATTCCATTCACAATAGCTACAAAAAAAATACTCAGGCATAAATTTAATCAAGGAGGTGAAAGACTTCTTCACTAAAATCTATAAAACATTGATGAAAGAGATTGAAGAAGACACAAATAAATGGAAAGATACCCCATGTTCACAGACTAGATTAATATTATTTAAATGTCCATATAATCAAAAACCATCTACATATTCAATGCAATCTCTACCAAAATCCCAATGACATTTTTCACAGAAATAGAGAAAAACGATCTTAAAATTTGTATGGAACCACAAAATAGCTAAAGCAATCTTCAACAGCAACAACAACAAAAAAAAACAAAGCTGGAGGCATCAAAGTACCTAACTTCAAAATATATTACATAACCAAAACAGCATGGCATTGGCATAAAAACAGATACATAGACCAATGGAACAGACTCAAGAGCCCAGAAATAAATTCATGCATTTACCATCAATTGATTTTCAACAAAGGTGCTAAGAACACACAATGGGGAAAGGACAGTCTCTTTAATAAATTGTTTTGTGAAAACTGGATATCCACACGCAAAAGAATAAACTTACAGCCTCATCTCACACCATATACAAAAATCATCTCAAAATGAATTAAAACTTAAATATAAGACCGGAAATTATAAATCTACTAGAAGATAATAAAGGGGAAAATCTTTATGACACTGGACATGGCAATGATTTTTTGGCTATCACTCCAAAAGCACAGGAAACAAAAACAAAAATAGAAAACCGGGATTTTATCAAACTAAAAAGCTTCCATATAGCCAAGGAGACAACCAACAGAGTGAAAAGACAAGCTGTAGAATGGGAGAAAATATTTGCAAACTATATATCTGATAAGGGGTTAATATCCAAAATATATAATGAACTCATACAACTGAATAGCAAGAAAACAAATATGGGGGAAGGACTGAATAGACATTTCTCAAAAAAAAAAAAGACAAACTAATGGTCAAAAAGTACATGAAAAATGTTCAACATCACTAATTAATTTGCTTATCAGTGAAAAGCAAATTAAATGTACAACGAGATATGAATTCACACCTATTAGAAAGGCTATTATCAAAAAGACAAAACATAACAAGGTTTGGCCAGGATGTAAAGAAAAGGAAATCCCTGTACACTGTTGGTGGCAATGTCAGTTGGTACAGCCATTATAGAAAACAGTATGGAGTTTCCTCAAAAAATTAAAATAGAACTATCATGTGACCCTGCAATCCCACTACTGGGTACATATTCAAAGGAAAACAAATCAGTATGTTGAAGAGATATCTGCACTCTCATGTTCACTGCAGCACTATTCACAATACTCAAGACACAGAATCAAGTGCCAGTCAACACATGAATAAAGAAAATGTGGTTACTGTATATAAACACAGTGGAATATTATTCAGCCATAAAAAAGGAATAAAATCTTATCATTTGCAGCAACATGGATGAGCCTGGAGGACATTATGTTAAGCAAAATAAGCTAGGCACAGAAAGACAAATATCGCACAATCTCACTTATATGTAGAATCTGAAAAAGTATAAATCACAGAAGCAGAGAATGGTGGTTACCAGGTGTAGGAGGGGGTCACGTTGGAGAGATATTAGTCAAAGGATATAGATGGGAGGAATAAGTTCAAGAGATCTATTGTACAACACATAACTATTGTTAATCGCAATGTATTGTATTCTTGAAAATTGCTAAAAGAGTAGATTTTAAGTGTTCTTACCACAAAAATGCTAAGTATGTGAGGTAAGACTAAGTATGTTATTAGCTTGATTTAGCCTTTCTACAATGTATACATATTTCAAAACATCATGTTGTTTTGAATTTCAATAGTCATGTTGATAAATATATATGATTTTTATTTGTCAATTAAAAACTAATTTTTTTATAAAAAAGTAGTCATGGGTTATTAAAAATAGATCCTCTCTCATGCTCGCCAGCACCCTCTTGTGTATACGAGTCCCAGGTGTAGCAACTTGCCACTCTCCTAGTTTTTCTGCTGAACAAAAAACGTGTGAAGATCGAAGATGCAGCTGCAGATAAAATAACATTTCCTCCACCCTGGCCAACAAGGTGAAACCCCGTCTCTACTAAAAATACAAAAATTAGCCGAGTATGGTGGCATGCACCTGTAGTCCCAGCTACTCAGGAGACCAAGGCAGGAGAATCGCTTGAACCCAGGAGGTGGAGGTTGCAGTGAGCCGAGATCACGCCACTGCACTCCAGCCTGGGTGACAGAGTGAGACTCTGTCTCAAAAAAATAATAATAAAATATAATTTAAAAAAATAAAATAACATTTCCATGCATCCTACCAATGGATGTGTTTTAATGGGCTGTGGCTGAAAAGTATCCCAAACTGTTTATTTAGAGGAGTATGTTTAATTTTCATTTATTTCCAGTGACAAAGTTTTATGGACTATATTTATCCCAGATATATGCATAAATTCCCTTTTACTAAAGGGGTAGGGATGGGAGCCAGAAGAGATCCAGGATTTGTCTGAAATAATAATTAAGATTTGTTAAACACCTCACAAAAATTCTGCAAGGTAGATACTATTATCCACTATTTTACAGATGACGAAAATGAAGCTCAAGTAGTGCTCACAGTCACACAGCTAAAGAGTAGCTGATCTGGAATTGGAACTCAGACCTTTATGGCTCTAAAGCCTGTTCAGTACACCCATGGGTCACTCTGGGGAGGGGTGAGGGCAGGTGGGCCAAGGAGACCTTATCACAGCTCACGGGGCTTTCCTGAGTTCTGGATATGGGGGATACTCAAGCTGGGAGGCAGCGTGTATTAGCTCACCTGGTATTCTGACTCCTTTACCTTCTCCTCTCTGTTCCCTCGGACAAATGTGCTTCTCTTTCTGCCTCTGTATGTGTCTCCCTCTGTCTCTGTCTCTCATTGTGTCTCTGCATATCACATTGTGATTTGTGTCTGTCTGTCCTTTCTCTCCCTCCCCTTGTCTCTTTCTCTATGACTCTGTGTCTGGATGTCTGCCTGGTTCTGTTGCTCTATTATCTTTCTCTCCCTGTCTCTCTCTTCCTGTCTGTGGTGTGTGTGGGGTGAGGGGACTCTCTTTGTATATGTCTTTCTCATTCAGAGAAAATAAACTGGATCTCTTAGTTCCATGTTCGCCAAGGACTTTTCCAACTCAGTCCTGTGTGCCAGGGTAGCAGCATCCTTAGCTCTCCACTGGGCAACAACCAACTGAGTGGCAGAAATCTTAGGGTGAACCTTAAAACTCAGAATGAGCAATGCTGAAGAGAGAGAGAATGATTTATTATAAGGCGTTGGCTCATGTGATAATGAAAACTGAGACTTTCCAAGATCTACTGCCTGTAAACTGGAGATCTAGGAGAGCCACTGGTTTAGTTCCAGCCTGAGTCCAAAGGCCTGAGAACCAGGAGAGCTGATGTAGTCCAAAAGCCTGCAGGCTCAAAACCCAGGAAAAGCTGGTGTTTCATGCCCGAAGGCAGAGGGAAAAAAACAATGTCTCAGTTTTCAGGCTGTCAGGCAGGAGGAATTGCCCCTTTTCATAGGGCAGTTGGACTTATTGTTCCATTTAGGCCTTCAGTGGATTGGATGAAGCCCACCTACATTAGGAGAGTATTTACCCAGTCTACAGATTCAAATGCGATACGGTCTGGCTGTGTCCTCACCCAAGTTTCATCTTGAATTGTAACTGCCACTATCCTCACATGGCTTGGGAGGGACATGGTGGGAGATAATTAAATCATGGGGGTGGGTTTTTCCCATGCTGTTCTCATGATAGTGATTAAGTCTCACAAGATCTGTTGGTTTTATAAAGGGCCATTCCCCTGCACATGCTCTCTTGCCTGCTGCCATGTAGGATGTGCCTTTGGCTCCTTAGCCTTCTGCCATGATTGTGAGGCCTCCGCAGCCATGTGGAATTGAGTCCATTAAACCTCTTTTTCTTTGTAAGTTGCACTGTCTCAGGTATTTCTTCATGGCAGTATAAAAATGGACTAATACAAAATGTTAATCTCATCCAGAAACACCCTCACAAACACGACCAATATAGTGTTTGATCAAATGCCTGGGCACCCATGGTCCAGTCAAGTTGACACATAAAATTATCCATCACAGAGTGAGACTGGAGGTCAAGATCATAATCCTGGTTCCCCAACATTTAAAGACCAGCCAGAGGAGAAAGGGCCAGGAGAAGAGACAGGTAGGGAATGGTCAGAGAGGCTCAGAAACCTGGACTGTTCATATGAAACAACCCAGAAGAGCTCGTTCCAAGCATTTATGAGGACATTTTCACATTTCATTGATCAAACAAAACCTTTGTTCAGGTTAGCCTTCAGTGGATTGGCCAGAAACACAGAGAAGGTATCACCCTAGGAGCCATCTGCAACCAAGGAGGGCTGCAAGTATATTAATACACTGGTATAGTATAGTAGTTTCCTAAAGCTACTATAACAATACCACAAACATAGTGGAATAAAGCAACACACATTTGTTATCTTATATTTCTGGAGGCAGAAAGGCCAAAAATCAGACTCATGGCCTAAAGTCAAGGTGTCAACAGGGTTAGTTCCTTCTAGAGGCTCTAGGAGAGAATCTTTTTCCTTGCCTTTTCCAGCTTCTAGAATCCACATGCAATCCTTGGCTCATAGCCTATTCCTCCATCTTCAAAGTCAACAGCATAACGTCTTCAACTCTCTCTCTCTCTCTTCCCCACCGCCACTCTCCAAGCTCTGCCTCCCACTGTCATATTTTCTTCTCTGACTCTAACCCTCCTAATTCTCTCTCAGAAAGACCGTTGTGATAATCTCCCCATCTCCAGGTCCTTAAGTCAATCACAACTGCTAAGTAGCTCTTGGCATGTAAGGTAACATATCCCCATGTTCCAGGGATTAAGAGGTAGACATCTTTTGGGGAAGCCACTATTCTGCCTCATTACATCAGGTAAATCCCTGAGTTTTCCTCATTTCTGACATGTGTTCTACACAGCTTCCCAGAGAATCCCCAGCAGCAAGGAGCTCCAGCAGTAATCCATTCATTAGCATCTCCTCTATTGATTGGCTTTCCACCCTCCCCACCTCACTTCCTCACTCCCTCTCCATACTTCCATACTTCCTGGGATCACCTCCCAAATAAACTCCTTATACCCAATCCTGTCACAGGGTCTACTTTTAGGGAGAGCTCAAACTAAGACACTAATCTAATTCAGTCACCATATAGGCAAGCTGGCCCTTTGCCATACCAATTTCATTCATTTTGTACATTAAAACCAACCACAGACATACCTTGGAGATATTGTAGGTTCAGTCCCAGACCACCATCATAAAGCAAATGCTGCAATAAGATATGTCACACAAATTTTTTGGTTTCTCAGTGTCTGTAAAAGTTATATTTGCACTATAGTATAGTCTAGTAAGTATGAGATTGCATTATGTCTAAATAAACACATCCATACTTTAACTAAAAATACTTTATTACCAAAAAATGCTACTGATCATCTGAGCCTTCACAGACTATTTTTGCTGGATGAAGGGTCTTCCTCAATGCTGATGGCCGCTGACTAATTAGGTGGTGGTTGCTGAAGGCAGGGGTAGCTGTGTCGATTTCTTAAAATAAAACAACAATGAAGTTTGCTGCATTGAATGAGTCTTCATTTTATGAAGGATTTCTCTATATATGCAATGCTGTTTGAGAGCATTTTACCCAGAATGGAAATTCTTTCAAAACTAGAGTTAATCCTCTCAAACCCTGCCACTGCTTGGTGAGCTAAGGTCATGTAATATTCTAAGTCCTTTGTTGTCATTTCAACACTGTTCACACCAGGAGTAAATTCTATCTCAAGAAACCACTTTCTTTGCTCATCCATAAGAAGCAACTTTTCATCCATTCAAGTCTTATCATGAGACTGCAGCAATTCAGTCACATCTTCAGGCTCCATTTATAATTCTAATTCTCTTTCTATTTCTAACACATATGCAGTTACCTCCTCCAATGAAGTCTTGAACCCCTCAACGTCATCCATAAGGGTTAGAATCAACTTCCTCCAAACTCCTGTTAATGATAGCTTGTCCTCTTCCCATGAATCATGAATGTTCTGAATGGCATCTAGAAAGATGAATCCTTTCCAGAAGGTTTACAACTTACTTTGGCCAGATCCATCATGAATCATTATCTATGGCAGTTATAGCCTTATGAAATGTATTTCTTAAATAATAAGACATGAAGGTCAAAATTATTCCTTGATCCATGAACTGCAGAATGGACATTGTATTAGTAGGCATAAAAACAACATTAATCTCCTTGTACATCTCCATCAGAGTTCTTGGGTAACTAGGTACATTGTCAATGAGCAGTAGTAATAATTTGAAAGCAGTCTTTTTTTCTGAGAGTAGGTCTCAACAGTGGGCTTAAGATATTCAGTAAAACATGTTGTAAACAGATGTGCTGTCATCCAGGCTTTGTTGTTCCATTTATAGAGCACAGGCAGAGTAGATTTAGCATAATTCTTAAGGGCCCTAGGATTTTAGGAATAGCCAGTGAGCATTGACTTCAACTTAAAGTCACCAGTGGCATTAGCCCCTAACAAGAGAGTCAGCCTGTCTTTTGAAGCTTTGAAGCCAGGTACTGATTTCTCTCTTGCTATAAAAGTCCTATATAACATCTTCCAATATAAGATTGTTTCATCTGCAATGAAAACCTGTGGTTTAGTGTATCCACCTTCATCAATGATCTTAGCTAGATCTTCTGCATAACTTGCTGCAGCTTCTACTTCCCTCTGTACTTTTATATTATGGAGGCAGCTTCTTTCCTTAAGCCTCATGAACCAACCTGTGCTAGCTTCCAACTTTTCTTCTGCAGCTTCCTCACTTCTCTCAGCCTTCATAGAATTTAAGAGAGTTAGGGTCTTCCTCTAGAATAGACTTTGGCTTAAGGGAATGTTGTGGCTGATTTGATCTTCTACACAGGCCACTATAATTC
This sequence comes from Homo sapiens, assembly GCF_000001405.40. Classification (NCBI taxonomy): domain Eukaryota; kingdom Metazoa; phylum Chordata; class Mammalia; order Primates; family Hominidae; genus Homo; species Homo sapiens. The sequence continues at coordinate 58,024,508 of NC_000014.9, forward strand.
TCTCCACATCAGCAGTAAGGTTGTTTCTATCTCTTATCATTTGTGTGTGCACTAGAGTAGCATTATTAATTTTCTTCAAGAACTTTTCCTTTACATTCACAACTTGGCTAACTGGTGCAAGAGGCCTAGCTTTTGGACTATCTTAACTTTCAACATGCCTTCCCCACTAAGCTTAACATTTATAGCCTTTGATTTAAAGTGAGAGATGTGTGTCTCTTTCTTTCACTTGAACACCTAGAGGCCACTGTAGGGCTTTTAATTGCATTAATTTCAATATTGTTTTGTCTCAGGGAATAGGGAGGCCTAAAGAACGGGAGAGTGATTAGGGAATGGGCAGTCAGTAGAACAGTCAGAACACACACAACATCTATCAATTAATGTCACCATCTCATATGGATGCTGTTGGTGGCACCCCAAAATTATTACAGTAGTAACATTAAAGACCACTGATCACAGATCACCATGATAGATATAATAATAATGAAAAAGCCTGAAATATCAAGAGAATTACCAAAATGTGACACAGGGACACAGAGTGATCCCATGCTATAGGGAAAATTGCACCAACAGACTGGTTGAGTGCAGGTTGCCACGAACCCTCAATTTTTAAGAAATGCAATATCTGCAAAGTTCAATAAAGTGAAGGGAAATAAAATGAAATGAGCCTGCATTACAATGAACAGAATGAGGCATATAAGGAAGGCAGGCAAAATGGCCAAGTTCAAGGTAGAAGCCATCTCTGTTTATCTAAATTAATTCTAACTGAAGAATTTCAGACTACTTGAATTTATAAAACATAGCACTCCCATATAGCATTGTGTGAGATATACTTTTAGCTAGATTCCTTAGGTTCCCATTGAATTTTGAGTTATAAATATAGTCTCTTTAATAGAAAAATTTTCAATATCACATCTTTCAAGGTGGGAAACCTGATTGTTATCTTAATCAATGAAAAGAGAAATGCATGCTCCATCTAAATAAATGAAATATTAGAGCATAGTCCTTTGTTCAAAGCATGTGTAACTAAATCTCAATTACAGTATTTCTACAATGTCAAGAAATAAATGGAGACCAGCTCTTTTTCTTTCTTGTTATTTAACCATAAATGCTATTTCTAACACAAGAAATGTTTTTTCCAACTTATATAACACATTTAAGAATAACAAAACTTACTAAGTTTTAAGTATTATCTGCATGTTTTTAAAGAATCTTGAGTTTTTCTAGCTACAGATTATTCTCTAATGATGCTAAATTTACCTGCTTCAAAATCACACAGAAACTCTGTCTATAATAATTTGCTCTTCACGTAATTACAGAACAGCAAGATTCCAATAAATAGAATGACCCACTTCTTTGCACAGGGCTAAGTGAACATTAATCGTCTATCTAAGAAGCAATTAATTCTGAAAGCTCTGCACTGATATTTACAAAGAAGGGTGCAAAGAGCCCAGGTACCCTAATCTCTACTTTCAAGTAATATTAAGAATGTCTTTAGTTAATTGCAAGTTTAGGAATGATACTAGATACCTAGTGGGAAGATGCAAAGAGAACGTCCTGCAATCAACTGTACATCCTGCCAGGGTTATTTATTAGTGCTAATAATACTGATAAACTATAAACCACATTATCACAACTCTTGTGATGAGAAGGCTGTCATGAACTTCAACCATAGGGAAATATATGACACATAAATGAGGAAGAAAGTATCCCTCAATGTGTCTTCCTTTTTCTTCCCAAAAAGGAAAGCAATAATATTCAACATTGCTTCCCATTATTCACCAGGGGAGAAAAAAAAAGTATTTGCCTCCCCCTATGCTTGATCATGAAGCGGAAAAAAAAAATCACTTCTCTTTACCTAAGCAACCTTGAAGTTTCTGCTGAGCACCAAGGTTTCTGATCTATGATTTTACCACCCAGCAGCAACAAGTGCATGCTCAGGGAAACTGAAATTCTCATTCTCATGAGATCTCTTCTCACATTTGCACTACCTGATCTTCAATTCATTGGTGAAAAAGAAAATAGTTTGGCCTTCATACTTTATTTTTAACAGAAAGTTTACTGCTTTCTGAAGTTCAGTATCATCAAGCTTCCAGTGCAAAGTCAAGTTTGTGTGACTTGCTTACCAGATCTGCTGAATCAAAAATTTGCCATCTTGAGATATAACCGAGGCTTTAGCAACCATAAAGCCCATCAGCTCTACCCTCAGTCCCTCCTCATTCTCAATTTTAGGTAAGGTGATAAGCCACTTTAGCATCAAGACAAGGTCCCCAAGCATTCTTCTCCTTTATATAAATTTGGGGGCTTCCACTGATAAAAAGCCATGGCTTGAACATAGGGCAAAGGTAAATAGAAGATTGCCTACTGACCAAGTGGCTGTAGTCTCTTGTTTGCCATTGGCCCTTAGCTGGAGTTTCTGACATGATTCTACTTAATCAACAAGAAGCTCCCACCTCCCTAGTGCCTTGACTTAGCCAGCAGATGAAATCAATTAGAAGTGGAGTGCTAAATAAGTACTAGAGTGGTTTTCAAGGAAGCTTCAGGGTTTGTTTTCCAAAAGTTCCATTTACCAGTTCATAATCTTCACTCCTCACAATAATGGGCAAATACCAAGCTGCACACTCAAGAGAGATTAAGGCAAATCTTTGGTTAAGAACACCTGAGCACTGATGACTAAAGAGTAGACAATTTCAGTTATGTAAGATAAATAAGTTCTGGAGATCTATTATACGGCATAGTGCCCATAGCTAATGATACTGTATTGTACACTTAAAATCTGCTAAAAGGGTAGATCTTTTTCTTTAAGTTGCAGTTTTGAGTTTTATTTAAAGAAGATACTTGTAACCCTGAGTTGGTAATGGCTAGGAGAAGAAGATGGAGTCCTCTGAAGTTTTGTTTCATTTTCTAATTTAGAACATAAGATCTATTAGTTACATGTTCAGGGAGGACACCTCCCTTTAGGTTTTGGTACTGAGAGGTTGGTGTGACTCTTTGTGATGTCTTGAAAGTCATAGGCTATCTCTGTTAAAATAATATTTTTTTAAAGGCATATGACTTGGTGGTTTGATATAGGTAAACATGATCACCACAATCAAACTAATTAACATATCTATTAACATCTACACAGTTACCTGTGTGTGTGTGTGTGCTGAGAAAATTTAGCTCATGTTCTATCCACTAAGACAGTAGATGTTAAGTGTTCCTACAACAAGTAATAATAATAAAGGGGACAAAAGGCAACTTTGGGAGGTGATGGATATGTTTATGGCTTTGGTGGTGATAGTTTCAGGGGTGTATACTTGTCCCCAAACTCATCGAGTTGTATACATTAAATATGTACAGCTTCTTATACATCAAAAGCATTACAGTTAATATGCTCAAAGGCAGAACTTTTCTGCCATCTAAATAGATTACTTGAAAGTTTCCTTGAGCTCTTGATCCTTAGGAAAAAACCTAAAGGTCTTGACAGACCATTATAGGATAGCAGGTGAACAGGCCAGACTCTCTTTCCCCTTTTTTAATCCCTTAAGCAAGCATGTTACACACCCCTGGTAGCAACTGTTCAACTATATATGAAGAAGTACAGCCAGTCTCAACTTCCTCATTCCTCAGTCATTGGAAACATGCTTCCACTTGGCCAGGTTCTTAAGATGCTACCCCTCCTGTTTGTTACATTTATTTACTTTCCCTCCTGCTGGAACATTTGTTTCCTTGTGTGATCTGTAATTTTTCAGGTGAACTTATTTTTCATGGAGGGTGTTTTACCCATGGGAATCCTGTACACCCTGAATTGCAGCAGTGTCACTACAAATGAACAATTTCTTGTTTGCTTGTGCTGAGTACACCAGGAGCTTCACCCACCTGGAACAGGGTTGCACATTAATCTCTGAGTTGGGGATTCTTGCATCAAGAAGTCAAGGCTGGGGCTTCATGTCTTTTATTCTCTCTCACTCAGAGCCTCAGAAACAGAGGTGCTCCTTTGATGTTCCCCTGGCTTGCTGACAAGTAACTTTTCCAGACCTCCTTTCGCTGAGGGGCAGCTTTTCCAGGGTGCCATCTTTGTGCAGGGGTTTCAGCTCCCATTCCCTGTCCTCCACCAGCCAAGGCCATGTCTCTTGATGCCATGTTGGTGTTAAACATCCCAGCATTATGTTTGGTCCAGTGTCCCTGCCAGGACACCATGGCTGCAGTGCAGGAGGCCAGTACTCAGGCTTCAAGTTGCCTCCACAGACAACAACAGATTTCCTTCCAAGATCAGTTGCATATTTAAAAATTTTGTTGTAACGTATCCAGCACTTCTCTGTGTTTGTAGCAGGATGTAGAAATCCACAGTCACTCAGTCCACCATGCTGCTGGAACCAGAAATCCAGGCTCAACTTCTAACCAGGTGTTTTTGGTTTTTAATTTATTGAGGTAAAATTCACATAACATAAAATTGACCATTTTAAAGTGTGCAATTCAGTGACATTTTGCATTTTCACAATGTTGTACAACCATTACCTCTATCTAGTTCTAAAATATTTTTATCAACACCCCCCCTCCAAATACACACATACACACAAAAAAACCCTAGACCTAAAAGCAGTCCCTCTCCATTCCCCTCACTCCCCAGCCCCTGGCAACCACCCATTCACTTTCTGTCTCTATGGACTTACCTATTCTGGACATTTCATATAAGTTGAATCATACAACATATGACCTTTCGGTCTGGCTTCTTTCACTTAGCATAACTTTTTTTTTTTTTTCCAGATGGAGTTTCACTCTTGTTGCCCAGGTTGGAGTGCAATGGCGCAATCTCGGCTCACCACAACCTCCGCCCCCCAGGTTCAAGCGATTCTCCTGCCTCAGCCTCCCCAGTAGCTGGGATTACAGGCATGTGTCACCATGCCCAGCTAATTTTTGTATTTTTAGTAGAGACGGGGTTTCTCCATGTTGGTCAGGCTGGTCTCGAACTCCTGACCTCAGGTGATCCGCCTACCTCGGCCTCCCAAAGTGCTGGGATTACAGGTGTGAGCCACCGTGCCCGGCCAGCATAATATTCTTAAGGTTAACCCACACTGTAGCATTTATACAAATGGCCAATAAAGGCATGAAAAAATGCTGAACATCATGAGGCATTAGGGAAATGCAAATCAAAACCACAGTGAGGTAGTACTTCATATCCACTAGGAAGGCCATAAAAAAAGAAAGAGAAAATTAACAAGTGTTAGTGAGGATGTAGAGAAGTTAGAACTCTCATACGTTGCTGGTGGGAACATAAAATGATGCAGCCACTGTGGAAAAACCTCAGCTGCTCCTCAAAAAGTTAAATAAAATATTGACATATAACCCAGCAATTCCACTGTTAGGTATATACTCACAAGAACCGAAAACAGGTCCTCAAACAAATACGTGTACACGAATGTTCATAGCAACACTACCCACAGCAGCCAAAAGGAGGAAATAACCCAAATGTCCATCAACTGATTGATAAACAAAATGCGGTATAGACATACAGTGGAATATTATTCAGCCCTAAAAAGAAATAAAGTTCTGATACATCTACAAAATAAAATTTTTATGTACCTTGAAAACATTACACTAAGTGAATGAAGACACTAAGGGAATGTGCTAAGGGATAGAAGATGGGGTAAAGAAGCTATGTGGTCCCTCCTAGAAGCTGGGTGGGTGCCATAGAGAGGGGAGAGAGTAGAACTCATATTCCATTCACCCATACTTCACCCATCCTGCCTCAGTGCCCATGTGATACCCACCTGATGCACTCCCTGCTGCCCAGCATTACAGGCAGGCCAGCCAGCCTAGATGGCCAGAAATAGGAAGTCCTCTTACTGAAACAATTTCTCACTTCTTATTTCTTTGAAGTAAGTGTAAAATGTACAGAGTCAACCACTAGGCAAAAAATGGAGGGAAAAGAAGCAAAACCACACCTGTGTTGATTTCCCAATTTTTTTATCGTGGTAATATACACGTGACATAGAAATGACCATCTTAACCATTTTCAAGTATGTAATTCAGTGGAATTAACTACCGTATATTCATAATGTCATCAGCACCATCCATCTCCAGAACTTCCCATCAAGTAACACTGAAACTCTATACCCATTTTTTAAAACTCTCCATTCTCCCCTCCTGCTAGCCCCTGGGAATCAGCATTCTGTCTCTATGAATTTAACTACCTGAGATGCCTCACATAAGTGGAATTATATAGTATTTGTCTTTTGGGGATGGGCTTGTTTCACTTAGAATAATGTCTTCAAGGTTCATCCCTGTCATATTTCAGAACTAACTTCCTTTTTAAGCATATGTCAGAATTTCCTTCCTTTTTATGGATGAATAATATTCCTCTAGATATTGTTTATCCATACACCCATCAATGGACACTCGGGGTACCTCCACATTGCAGCTACCATAAATAATGTCACTATGAACATGGATGTACAAATATCTATCTGTGACTCTGCTTTCAATTTTTTTGTATATATACCCAGAAGTAGAATTAGGTTATTACTTGATATGTGTTTTCATTCAGTTAGAAGAGGAATTCAATAATGTAACCAACTTCTATTGAGTATCTAATAGGTACCAGGTACTGGGCCAGAAAATAGCTATAAAGTGTTATGTATTTATGAATTAAAATGAAGACTGCAGTTAGGCTTAAAAGGGAGGAAGAGAAATTGAATTGTGTTTCTTCAGCAGACATAATTAAATCCCAAAGCTCTGAGCATCGATTAGACACTAGAAATAAAATCTGATTATCCCAGAGACTCATTTTCATATACTTTTATGAGTTGCCTATATGGCTGTGAATTAGCCATCAACCAAAATGGATTTGTTTTTACCCAGTAACAAACAAACCTTGAACCCATTTACAAGTTTGTTACGAAGAGGCAGCCAGAGCTTTTGTTTAATTGGCAATATAATCATGTACATTATTAATGATAAGTTTATTTTCTTCCTAATGCAGAAGTTAGGCCATTAACACTGCAGCAAGTTACAAATGTACACTAAGAGAGCCTGACCAAGTCAGCCACTTGCTCCGTGGTCCAACATTACAGAGAAATATTTTTCCAAGACTTGTGCGAGGTTTTATACTCCCAGAGAGGAACTTGCAACAGACTTCGGCGAGAACTGCAGCTACTATGGCCATCTCAACTCTAAGAAAAAGGCTTCCAAAATTGTAATGCAATACATGATACACTAACAAATTGAAATTCAGGGCCCAGTCATTCTCACAGAGTCAGAAAGAAATCTTCAACAGAAATCAGACAAAAGTAACTTGAAAAGTTCTCTCTGCCATTGTTTCCTATCATATACTTCCAAGCCACGCCACCTTCATTTTCACCTTAGTACCACAAGGGTGTCTCCAGTTTCTTTCCAAGCAACATTTTGAAAGGCAGTCTGATCACATCACTCCCTACTTAAAACCCCTTCCAAGCTTTCTACTGCCCTCAGGAAAAAGTCTGACCTTCACTCAGTTTCTAAGGCCCTATATGATTTCAGTTCTTACAGTGAGCTGAGTGCCCCACTTCCAAACCTTCACACTTATTCTTCCTTCTGTCTTCACCTTTTCTTCTCCCGGCTCACTCCCACTCATTCTTCAGACCCAGCTTAAAGGGCCCTTCGTCGGAGAGGTCTGTTCTGGGCCCTACACTAGATCTCTCATCTGGAGAACCCAGATGAGACTTATGTGTTTTGCTCATTGCTGCAGCTCCAGCACCAGAGAAGGCCTGGCATGCAGAAGACACTACTGGTTAAATCAATGAATCATCTTCTACCATAATATATTCTAATGAGAACTGAGGCTGTTGTTCTCATATATTAGGAGCCCAATGAAGGGTAAGTCTATTGGACTCATATAAATAATGTAGTCTTCCTGAATACTATCTACAGGAGGGCTTCCTAATCATTTTTGTGCTATGGACCCATCTGACTGTCCAATGAAGACTATGAACCCCTACTTAGAACACTATTTATAAATGCATAAAATAAAATACATAGAAAAATACATCTAAAGAAACATTTAAAGAAATACTTAGGGGAGGAGCCAAGATGGCCGAATAGGAACAGCTCTGGTCTACAGCTCCCAGCGTGAGCGACGCAGAAGACGGGTGATTTCTGCATTTCCATCTGAGGTACCGGGTTCATCTCACTAGGGAGTGCCAGACAGTGGGCGCAGGCCAGTGTGTGCGCGCACCGTGCGCGAGCCGAAGCAGGGTGAGGCATTGCCTCACCTGGGAAGCGCAAGGGGTCAGGGAGTTCCCTTTCCGAGTCAAAGAAAGAGGTGACGGACGCACCTGGAAAATCAGGTCACTCCCACCTGAATATTGCGCTTTTCAGACCGGCTTAACAAACGGCGCACCACGAGACTATATACCACACCTGGCTCGGAGGGTCCTACGCCCACGGAATCTCGCTGATTGCTAGCACAGCAGTCTAAGATCAAACTGCAAGGCGGCAACGAGGCTGGGGGAGGGGCGCCCGCCATTGCCCAGGCTTGCTTAGGTAAACAAAGCAGCCGGGAACCTCGAACTGGGTGGAGCCCACCACAGCTCAAGGAGGCCTGCCTGCCTCTGTAGGCTCCACCTCTGGGGGCAGGGCACAGACAAACAAAAAGACAGCAGTAACCTCTGCAGACTTAAGTGTCCCTGTCTGACAGCTTTGAAGAGAGCAGTGGTTCTCCCAGCACGCAGCTGGAGATCTGAGAACGGGCAGACTGCCTCCTCAAGTGGGTCCCTGACCCCTGACCCCCAAGCAGCCTAACTGGGAGGCACCCCCCCAGCAGGGGCACACTGACACCTCACACGGCAGGGTATTCCAACAGACCTGCAGCTGAGGGTCCTGTCTGTTAGAAGGAAAACTAACAACCAGAAAGGACATCTACACCGAAAACCCATCTGTACATCACCATCATCAAAGACCAAAAGTAGATAAAACCACAAAGATGGGGAAAAAACAGAACAGAAAAACTGGAAACTCTAAAACGCAGAGCGCCTCTCCTCCTCCAAAGGAACGCAGTTCCTCACCAGCAACGGAACAAAGCTGGATGGAGAATGATTTTGACGAGCTGAGAGAAGAAGGCTTCAGACGATCAAATTACTCTGAGCTACGGGAGGACATTCAAACCAAAGGCAAAGAAGTTGAAAACTTTGAAAAAAATTTAGAAGAATGTATAACTAGAATAACCAATACAGAGAAGTGCTTAAAGGAGCTGATGGAGCTGAAAACCAAGGCTCGAGAACTACGTGAAGAATACAGAAGCCTCAGGAGCCGATGCGATCAACTGGAAGAAAGGGTATCAGCAATGGAAGATGAAATGAATGAAATGAAGCAAGAAGGGAAGTTTAGAGAAAAAAGAATAAAAAGAAATGAGCAAAGCCTCCAAGAAATATGGGACTATGTGAAAAGACCAAATCTACGTCTGATTGGTGTACCTGAAAGTGATGTGGAGAATGGAACCAAGTTGGAAAACACTCTGCAGGATATTATCCAGGAGAACTTCCCCAATCTAGCAAGGCAGGCCAACGTTCAGATTCAGGAAATACAGAGAACGCCACAAAGATACTCCTCTAGAACAGCAACTCCAAGACACATAATTGTCAGATTCACCAAAGTTGAAATGAAGGAAAAAATGTTAAGGGCAGCCAGAGAGAAAGGTCGGGTTACCCTCAAAGGAAAGCCCATCAGACTAATAGCGGATCTCTCGGCAGAAACCCTACAAGCCAGAAGAGAGTGGGGGCCAATATTCAACATTCTTAAAGAAAAGAATTTTCAACCCAGAATTTCATATCCAGCCAAACTAAGCTTCATAAGTGAAGGAGAAATAAAATACTTTATAGACAAGCAAATGCTGAGATATTTTGTCACCACCAGGCCTGCCCTAAAAGAGCTCCTGAAGGAAGCGCTAAACATGGAAAGGAACAACCGGTACCAGCTGCTGCAAAATCATGCCAAAATGTAAAGACCATCGAGACTAGGAAGAAACTGCATCAACTAACAAGCAAAATCACCACCTAACATCATAATGACAGGATCAAATTCACACATAACAATATTAACTTTAAATATAAATGGACTAAATTCTGCAATTAAAAGACACAGACTGGCAAGTTGGATAAAGAGTCAAGACCCATCAGTGTGCTGTATTCAGGAAACCCATCTCACGTGCAGAGACACACATAGGCTCAAAATAAAAGGATGGAGGAAGATCTACCAAGCCAATGGAAAACAAAAAAAGGCAGGGGTTGCAATCCTAGTCTCTGATAAAACAGACTTTAAACCAACAAAGATCAAAAGAGACAAAGAAGGCCATTACATAATGGTAAAGGGATCAATTCAACAAGAGGAGCTAACTATCCTAAATATTTATGCACCCAATACAGGAGCACCCAGATTCATAAAGCAAGTCCTGAGTGACCTACAAAGAGACTTAGACTCCCACACATTAATAATGGGAGACTTTAACACCCCACTGTCAACATTAGACAGATCCATGAGACAGAAAGTCAACAAGGATACCCAGGAATTTAACTCAGCTCTGCACCAAGCGGACCTAATAGACATCTACAGAACTCTCCACCCCAAATCAACAGAATATACATTTTTTTCAGCACCACACCTATTCCAAAATTGACCACATAGTTGGAAGTAAAGCTCTCCTCAGCAAATGTAAAAGAACAGAAATTATAACAAACTATCTCTCAGACCACAGTGCAATCAAACTAGAACTCAGGATTAAGAATCTCACTCAAAGCCGCTCAACTACATGGAAACTGAACAACCTGCTCCTGAATGACTACTGGGTACATAACAAAATGAAGGCAGAAATAAAGATGTTCTTTGAAACCAACGAGAACAAAGACACCACATACCAGAATCTCTGGGACGCATTCAAAGCAGTGTGTAGAGGGAAATTTATAGCACTAAATGCCTACAAGAGAAAGCAGGAAAGATCCAAAATTAACACCCTAACATCACAATTAAAAGAACTAGAAAAGCAAGAGCAAACACATTCAAAAGCTAGCAGAAGGCAAGAAATAACTAAAATCAGAGCAGAACTGAAGGAAATAGAGACACAAAAAACCCTTCAAAAAATCAATGAATCCAGGAGCTGGTTTTTTGAAAGGATCAACAAAATTGATAGACCGCTAGCAAGACTAATAAAGAAAAAAAGAGAGAAGAATCAAATAGACACAATAAAAAATGATAAAGGGGATATCACCACCGATCCCACAGAAATACAAACTACCATCAGAGAATACTACAAACACCTCTACGCAAATAAACTAGAAAATCTAGAAGAAATGGATAAATTCCTCAACACATACACTCTCCCAAGACTAAACCAGGAAGAAGTTGAATCTCTGAATAGACCAATAACGGGCTCTGAAATTGTGGCAATAATCAATAGTTTACCAACCAAAAAGAGTCCAGGACCAGATGGATTCATAGCCGAATTCTACCAGAGGTACAAGGAGGAACTGGTACCATTCCTTCTGAAACTATTCCAATTAACAGAAAAAGAGGGAATCCTCCCTAACTCATTTTATGAGGCCAGCATCATTCTGATACCAAAGCCGGGCAGAGACACAACCAAAAAAGAGAATTTTAGACCAATATCCTTGATGAACATTGATGCAAAAATCCTCAATAAAATACCGGCAAACCGAATCCAGCAGCACATCAAAAAGCTTATCCACCATGATCAAGTGGGCTTCATCCCTGGGATGCAAGGCTGGTTCAATATACGCAAATCAATAAATGTAATCCAGCATATAAACAGAGCCAAAGACAAAAACCACATGATTATCTCAATAGATGCAGAAAACGCCTTTGACAAAATTCAACAACCCTTCATGCTAAAAACTCTCAATAAATTAGGTATTGATGGGACGTATTTCAAAATAATAAGAGCTATCTATGACAAACCCACAGCCAATATCATACTGAATGGGCAAAAACTGGAAGCATTCCCTTTGAAAACTGGCACAAGACAGGGATGCCCTCTCTCACCGCTCCTATTCAACATAGTGTTGGAAGTTCTGGCCAGGGCAATCAGGCAGGAGAAGGAAATAAAGGGTATTCAATTAGGAAAAGAGGAAGTCAAATTGTCCCTGTTTGCAGATGACATGACTGTTTATCTAGAAAACCCCATTGTCTCAGCCCAAAATCTCCTTAAGCTGATAAGCAACTTCAGCAAAGTCTCAGGATACAAAATCAATGTACAAAAATCACAAGCATTCTTATACACCAACAACAGACAAACAGAGAGCCAAATCATGAGTGAACTCCCATTCACAATTGCTTCAAAGAGAATAAAATACCTAGGAATCCAACTTAAAGGGATGTGAAGGACCTCTTCAAGGAGAACTACAACCCACTGCTCAAGGAAATAAAAGAGGACACAAACAAATGGAAGAACGTTCCATGCTCATGGGTAGGAAGAATCAATATCGTGAAAACGGCCATACTGCCCAAGGTAATTTACAGATTCAATGCCATCCCCATCAAGCTACCAATGACTTTCTTCACAGAATTGGAAAAAACTACTTTAAAGTTCATATGGAACCAAAAAAGAGCCTGCATCGCCAAGTCAATCCTAAGCCAAAAGAACAAAGCTGGAGGCATCACACTACCTGACTTCAAACTATACTACAAGGCTACAGTAACCAAAACAGCATGGTACTGGTACCAAAACAGAGATATAGATCAATGGAACAGAACAGAGCCCTCAGAAATAACGCCGCATATCTACAACTATCTGATCTTTGACAAACCTGAGAAAAACAAGCAATGGGGAAAGGATTCCCTATTTAATAAATGGTGCTGGGAAAACTGGCTAGCCATATGTAGAAAGCTGAAACTGGATCCCTTCCTTACACCTTATACAAAAATCAATTCAAGATGGATTAAAGATTTAAACGTTAGACCTAAAACCATAAAAACCCTAGAAGAAAACCTAGGCATTACCATTCAGGACATAGGCGTGGGCAAGGACTTCATGTCCAAAACACCAAAAGCAATGGCAACAAAAGACAAAATTGACAAATGGGATCTAAATAAACTAAAGAGCTTCTGCACAGCAAAAGAAACTACCATCAGAGTGAACAGGCAACCTACAACATGGGAGAAAATTTTCGCAACCTACTCATCTGACAAAGGGCTAATATCCAGAATCTACAATGAACTCAAACAAATTTACAAGAAAAAAACAAACAACCCCATCAAAAAGTGGGCGAAGGACATGAACAGACACTTCTCAAAAGAAGACATTTATGCAGCCAAAAAACACATGAAAAAATGCTCATCATCAATGGCCATCAGAGAAATGCAAATCAAAACCACTATGAGATATCATCTCACACCAGTTAGAATGGCAATCATTAAAAAGTCAGGAAACAACAGGTGCTGGAGAGGATGTGGAGAAATAGGAACACTTTTACACTGTTGGTGGGACTGTAAACTAGTTCAACCATTGTGGAAGTCAGTGTGGCGATTCCTCAGGGATCTAGAACTAGAAATACCATTTGACCCAGCCATCCCATTACTGGGTATATACCCAAAGGACTATAAATCATGCTGCTATAAAGACACATGCACACGTATGTTTATTGCGGCATTATTCACAATAGCAAAGACTTGGAACCAACCCAAATGTCCAACAATGATAGACTGGATTAAGAAAATGTGGCACATATACACCATGGAATACTATGCAGCCATAAAAAATGATGAGTTCATGTCCTTTGTAGGGACATGGATGAAGCTGGAAACCATCATTCTCAGTAAACTATCGCAAGAACAAAAAACCAAACACCGCATATTCTCACTCATAGGTGGGAATTGAACAATGAGATCACATGGACACAGGAAGGGGAATATCACACTCTGGGGACTGTGGTGGGGTCGGGGGAGGGGGGAGGGATAGCACTGGGAGATATACCTAATGCTAGATGACACGTTAGTGGGTGCAGCGCACCAGCATGGCACATGTATACATATGTAACTAACCTGCACAATGTGCACATGTACCCTAAAATTTAAAGTATAATAAAAAAAAATTAAAAAAAAAAAAAGAAATACTTAAATTCCATTATCAAGTTATCTTTTAAATTTGTGATACAATAGTAAATATGTCTTTGTACTATCTGATTAAATAAAAAGATATAGTGGCCGGTTTAATAACTACTATAGTTTCAAAGTAGTGATGAGCATAAATGACATTTTGAGTTATCTGTGACAACTATAATGTGATATGAAATTATCTGTAATATTTATTGGTGACAAAGACACATATACTGCATTATGGCTACTGGCTACACTCATAATTAGACAAACCACTAAAATTCAGTTAGAAGTTACTGAAAATAAGGATGCAATTTTTACCCTTAGAGTTCATGGACCCCTAGAGAGATCCCTAAGAAAGTCATGGAAATGCACTGCGTAGCTCTTCTGTCGTTGGGGTGCATAGGTAACTGACAGTCCCAGGCACCCACCACCACCCCTGGAGCCACTACCACATTTGTGCAGTGTCCACGCTTCCCCTGGACTGCTCCCAGGCAATGTCTGAGCACAGCAGGGCACCTGTGCAGACTCATTCCTGTGGGACACAGGAGTCCTCAAGTGGGCCACTTCGGCTCCAGAACTCACAAGCAGCCTGGCAAAAACATTCTCAGAACTGAACTATCATTTGAGTCTTTCTCTCAGTCCTCCTTTCACAGCAGTCAGTCTAGCATCGCAATCTGAGAGCTCTCCCCACCTACTCCTATTCCCTTCTCTTTATCCTTTCCAGGTGTTTCTCCCTATAAATCTCTGCCACAAGTAATCCCATCTTGCCTCTGTTTATCAGAGGACCTGAACTAACACAATCCCTTTGAATTAAGGAAAAGAGAAACGCCTATTTACCCATGTTGATTCAGAATGGATATTCTGAAGATATTTGAACACGTTGCATTTTTACAACACTTTACCAATATCTACCACTTGATTTCAGGAAAAGACTTTGCAGAGATTATTTTTAAAAAAGAAAATCTTTCCCATTAACTCTTTGCCATTTAAAGGAAGGGCCACAAAGGGTTAAGTCCAGGGATTAGCCTCCCTGAACTGACAGCAGTGGCTCATTAAGGAGCCTGGAGTAAAAGAACAGGGCTGAGACACACAGCCAGCACAAAAACTGTTTAAACAATATGATGTGAAGGATACACAAAGTTAACCTACTAGAATTTCCTGCTTCTCATTCCTGAGAGCCCCTCTGACTCAACACTATGGCTTATGAAGTAAATGCATTAGAACTCCTCATACACAAAAGAGAAATTAAGATACTGGATAGCTGGGTATCATGTAGAACTGCAGCAATGATGCTGAAAAAATCAGGAATCACGACAAGTAAATTTTAATAGGAAAGTGGGACAAAGACTGTCCACAGCACAGAGCATTTCCCTTCCCTACTCTCCACTCCTTCCACAAGGGATTTCAGGTACAACAATAACATAAAAAGTAATACTAGAACCAAAACAGGGAACAAAAACAACAACAACGAAAAGGAAATGTAAATGAACACAGAAGAACCAAGAAAGAAAAAACACAAGTATGAAGTTTCTAAGACCCACCAGAGCCAGTGGAGCTGATGAGAAAAATTGGGTTCTTAGCACCCTAAATTGATTTTTTTTTTAACTTTTACTTTGGGTTCAAGGGTACATGAGCAGGTTTGTTATATAGGTAAACTCGTGTCACAGGGGTTTGGTGTACAGATTGTCACTCAGGTATTAAACTTAGTACCCAGTCGTTGTTTGTTCTAAACCTCTCCCTCCTCCCACCCTCCACCCTTAAACAGGCCCCAGTGTCTGTTGTTCCCCGCCATGTGTCCATGTGTTCTCATCATTTAGCTCCCACTTATAAGTGAGAATATGCAGGATTTGGTTTTCTGTTCCTGTGTTAGTTTGCTTAGGATAATGGCCTGCAACTCCATCCATGCTCCTGCAAAGGACATTATCTTGTTCTTCTTTATAGCTGCATAGTATTCCATGGTGTATATGTAGCATATTTTCTTTACCCAGTCTACCACTGATGGGCATTTAGGTGGCTTCCATGTCTTTCCTATTGTGAATAGTGCTGCAATGAACATACATGTACTTGTGTCTTTATGATAGAATGATATACATTCCTTTGGGTATATACCCAGTAATGGAATTGCTGGGTCAGATAAGCACCCTAAATTGAAACCTGGAATATATTTTCCCACCAAGATTTTGTCTGGTGCATTGTTTAGGTTCTATAGGACCCTTAACAGAAATTCTACTTCCAGTATATTGTGAACTAAATCAGTTGTTATGGGCTGCCCCAGAAACCTCACTATGACATAGAAGATGGTTTCTAAGGGAGAATGCCCTCTGCATTTCAAATCAATTTTTGGAAAAAGAACTCATTCAGAAATGTAAAGTATCCTACGTTCCTCTAAGTAAAATGAAACATGGTCAGGGGGCGGTTCCAAGATGGCTGAACAGGAACAGCTCCAGTCTACAGCTCCCAGCGTGAGCGACGCAGAAGACGGGTGATTTCTGCATTTCCAACTGAGGTACTGGGTTCATCTCCATGGGGAGTGTCGGAAAGTGGCTGCAGGACAGTGGGTGCAGCACACTGAGCATGAGCCAAAGCAGGGCGAGGCATCGCCTCACCCGGGAAGCGTAAGGGGTCAGAGAATTCCCTTTCCTAGCCAAGGGAAGGGGTGACAAATGGCACCTGGAAAATCGAGTCACTCCCACCCCAATACTGCACTTTTCCAACGGTCTTAGCAAACGGCACACCAGGAGATTTTCAACCCAGAATTTCATATCCAGCCAAACTAAGCTTCCTAAGTGAAGGAGAAATAAAATACTTTACAGACAAGCAAATGCTGAGAGATTTTCTCAACACCAGGCCTGCCCTACAAGAGCTCCTGAAGGGAACACTAAACATGGAAAGGAACAACCGGTACCAGCCACTGCAAAAATATGCCAAATTGTAAAGACCATCGATGCTAGGAAGAAACTGCATCAACTAACAAGCAAAATAACCAGCTAACATCATAATGACAGGATCAAATTCACACATAACAATATTAACCTTAAATGTAAATGGGCTAAATGCTCCAATTAAAAGACACAGACTGGCAAATTGGATAAAGAGTCAAGACCCATCAGTGTGCTGTATTCAGGAAATCCATCTCATGTGCAGAGACACACATAGGATCAAAATAAAGGGATGGAGGAAGATCTACCAAGCAAATGGAAAACAAAAAAAGAGCAGGGGTTGCAATCCTAGTCTCGGATAAAACAGACTTTAAACCAACAAAGATCAAAAGAGACAAAGAAGGCCATTACATAATGGTAAAAGGATCAATTCAACAAGAAGAGGTAACTATCTTAAATATATATGCACCCAATACAGGAGCATCTAGATTCATAAAGCAAGTCCTTAGAGACCTACAAAGAGACTTAGACTCCCACACAATAATAATGGGAGACTTTAACACCCCACTGTCAACATTAGACAGACCAACGAGACAGAAAGTTAACAAGGATATCCAGGAATTGAACTCAGCTCTGCACCAAGCAGACCTAATAGACATCTACAGAACTCTCCACCCCAAGTCAACAGAATATACATTCTTCTCAGCACCACATCACATTTATTCTTCCAAAATTGACCACATAGTTGGAAATAAAACACTCCTCAGCAAATGTAAAAGGACAGAAATTATAACAAACTGTCTCTCAGACCACAATGCAATCAAACTAGAACTCAGGATTAAGAAACTCACTCAAAACTGCTCAACTACATGGAAACTGAACAAACTGCTCCTGAGTGACTACTGGGTACATAACGAAATGAAGGCAGAAATAAAGATGTTCTTTAAAACCAATGAGAACAAAGACACAACATACCAGAATCTCTGGGACACATTCAAAGCAGTGTGTAGAGGGAAATTTATAGCACTAAATGCCCACAAGAGAAAGCAGGAAAGATCTAAAATTGACACCCTAACATCACAATTAAAAGAACTAGAGAAGCAAGAGCAAACACATTCAAAAGCTAGCAGAAGGCAAGAAATAACTAAGATCAGAGCAGAACTGAAGGAGATAGAGACACAAAAAAACCTTCAAAAAATCAATGACTCCAGGAGCTGGTTTTTTGAACATATCAACAAAATTGACACTAGCAAGACTAATAAAGAATAAAAGAGAGAAGAATCAAATAGATGCAATAAAAAATGATAAAGGGGGTATCACCACCGATCCCACAGAAATACAAACTACCATCAGAGAATACAATAAACACCTCTACACAAATAAACTAGAAAATCTAGAAGAAATGGATAAATTCCTAGACACATACACTCTCCCAAGACTAAACCAGGAAGAACTTGAATCTCTGAATAGAGACAACTTCTCTATTACAGGCTCTGAAATTGAGGCAATAATTAATAGCTTACCAACCAAAAAAAGTCCAGGACCAGAAGGATTCACAGCCGAATTCTACCACAGGTACAAGGAGGAGGTGGTACCATTCCTTCTGAAACTATTCCAATCAATAGAAAAAGAGGGAATCCTCCCTAACTCATTTTATGAGGCCAGCATCATACTGATACCAAAGCCTGGCAGAGACACGACAAAAAAATAGAATTTTAGACCAATATCCCTGAAGAACATCGATGCAAAAATCCTCAATAAAATACTGGTAAACTGAATCCAGCAGCACATCAAAAAGCTTACCCACCATGATCAAGTGGGCTTCATCCCTGGGATGCAAGGCTGGTTCAACAGATGCAAATCAATAAATGTAATCCAGCATATAAACAGAACCAATGACAAAAACCACATGATTATCTCAATAGATGCAGAAAAGGCCTTTGACAAAATTCAACAACGCTTCATGCTAAAAACTCTCAATCAATTAGGTATTGATGGGACGTATCTCAAAATAATAAGAGCTATTTATGACAAAACCACAGCCAATATCATACTGAATGGGCAAAAACTGGAAGCATTCCCTTTGAAAACTGGCACAAGACAGGGATGTCCTCTCTCACCACTCCTATTCGACATAGTGTTGGAAGTTCTGGCCAGGGCAATTAGGCAGGAGAAGGAAATAAAGGGTATTCAATTAGGAAAAGAGGAAGTCCAATTGTCCCTGTTTGCAGTTGACATGATTGTATATCTAGAAAACCCCATCGTCTCAGCCCAAAATCTCCTTAAGCTGATAGGCAACTTCAGCAAAGTGTTAGGATACAAAATCAATGTGCAAAAATCACAAGCATTCTTATACACCAATAACAGACAGACAGAGAGCCAAATCATGAGTGAACTCCCATTCACAATTGCTTCAAAGAGAATGAAATACCTAGGAATCCAACTTACAAGGGATGTGAAGGACCTCTTCAAGGAGTTCAAGGAGAACTACAAACCACTGCTCAATGAAATAAAAGAGGATACAAACAAATGGAAGAACATTCCATGCTCATGGATAGGAAGAATCAATATAGTGAAAATGGCCATACTGCCCAAGGTAATTTATAGATTCAATGCCATCCCCATCAAGCTACCAATGACTTTCTTCACAGAATTGGAAAAAACTACTTTAAAGTTCATATGGAACCAAAAAAGAGCCCGCATTGCCAAATCAATCCTAAGCCAAAAGAACAAAGCTGGAGGCATCACACTACCTGACTTCAAACTATACTACAAGGCTACAGTAACCAAAGCAGCACGGTACTGGTACCAAAACAGAGATATAGACCAATGGAACAGAATAGAGCCCTCAGAAATAATACCACACATCTACAACCACCTGATCTTTGACAAACCTGACAAAAACAAGAAATGGGGAAAAGATTCCCTATTTAACAAATGGTGCTGGGAAAACTGGCTAGCCATATGTAGAAAGCTGAAACTGGATCCATTCCTTACACCTTATACAAAAATTAATTCAAGATGGATTAAAGACTTAAATGTTAAACCTAAAACCATAAAAACCCTACAAGAAAACCTAGGCAATACCATTCAGGACATGGGCATGGGCAATGACTTCATGTCTAAAACACCAAAAGCAATGACAACAAAAGCCAAAATTGACAAATGGGATCTAATTAAACTAAAGAGCTTCTGCAAAGCAAAAGAAACTACCATCAGAGTGAACAGGCAACCTATAAAATGGGAGAAAAGTTTTGCAATCTACTCATCCGATAAAGGGCTAATATCCAGAATCTACAAAGAACTCAAACAAATTTACAAGAAAAAAACAACCCCATCAAAAAGTGGGAGAAGGATATGAACAGACACTTCTCAAAAGAAGACATTTATACAGCCAACAGACACATGAAAAAATGCTCATCGTCACTGGCCATCAGAGAAATGCAAATCAAAACCACAATGAGATACCATCTCACACCAGTTAGAATGGTGATCATTAAAAAGCCAGGAAACAACAGGTGCTGGAGAGGATGTGGAGAAATAGGAACACTTTTACACTGTTGGTGGGACTGTAAACTGGTTCAACCATTGTGGAAGACAGTATGGCGATTCCTCAGGGATCCAGAATTAGAAATACCATTTGACCCAGCCATCCCATTACTGGGTATATACCCAAAGGATTATAAATCATGCTGCTATAAAGACACATGCACATGTATGTTGATTGTGGCACTACTCACAATAGCAAAGACCTGGAACCAACCCAAATGTCCAATAATGATAGACTGGATTAAGACAATGTGGCACATATACACCATGGAATACTATGCAGCCATAAAAAATGATGAGTTCATGTGCTTTGTAGGGACATGGATGAAGCTGGAAACCATCATTCTCAGCCAACTATCGCAAGGACAAAAAACCAAACATCACATGTTCTCACTCATAGGTGGGAATTGAACAATGAGAACACCTGGACACAGGAAGGGGGACATCACACACCGGGCCCTGTTGTGGGGTGAGGGGAGTGGGGAGGGATAGCATTAGGAGATATACCTAATGTAAATGACGAGTTAATGGGTGCGGCACACCAACATGGCACATGTATACATATGTAACAAACCTGCACGTTCTGCACATGTACCCTAGAACTTAAAGTATAATAAAAAAAAAAAAAGAAACACGGTCTTGTGAGTTGAATTTTGTCCCCTAAAAATATATGTTGATGGCTTAACCCTCAGTCCCTCAGAATGTGACCCAATTGGAATTAGGGTGGTCACAGATATAATTAAATTAAAATGAGGTCATACTGGAGTAGGATATGCCCCTAATCCAATATGACTGATGTTCTTATAAGAAGATGAAGAGAGAACAAGACTCACAGAGAAGAATCCCATGTGAAAACACAGAGACACACAAGAAGAAGACAGCCATTAACAAGGAAGGCAGAGATTAGAGTGAGCAATCTACAAGTCAAGAAACACCAAGTATCACCAGGCACAGCCAGAAATTAGGAAGGAAGCATGAAACAGGCTCTCCCTCAGCCTCAAGAAGGAACCAACCCTGCTGACACCTGGCTTTTTACTTCCAGCCACCAGAACTGGGAGAGAACACATTTCTCTTGTAAGCCACCCAGTTTATGGTCTTTTGTTATGGCAGCCCAAGGAAAGTAGTATAATACAATAAGCACAGGGTGCCTCATTATGCACATTCCTGTCCAGCCTTGTTGCTAATTTGTAAATCCCACGGTAATGGACCAGGTTTCACAGGGCTTGATTCCATCTAGAGATGGACCAATACGTTTGGAAACTAAATCCCTGGTAGCAGTAATCAAGAACTTGCTGAGATGTTCTAATGACCTGAGTCACCTCTTTGTTCTGAGGGGACAATTTGCGTGCTGAGATGATCTAGTTCAATTCTGGCCTCAATATATTATATTTAAATTGTACTTTTCTTCCAAGAACACTTACAAAAATTGCCTCATTAATGCTTGCTACTCCCTTGTGCAGTAAGAAAGGCACAAGTACCATTATGTCAATTTCGAAGATGAAGACACGGAATCCTAAAATCCCAGGGCTAGGAAGAACACTGAAAGACCATCTACTTCAAAGAGCCCAAACCTGTTGCTTAGCAAAATTACCTGAGCAACTCAGCAAAAATAAAGGTTCACTGGCCCAGCTCAGCAACTACAGGATAAAGCCTAAGTGTCTGTATTTTTAACAAACTTCCCAAGGGACTTTCTTTTACCACCTTCTTAGCACAATTCATATACTGGCATTTGGGAAGCACAGAGTGGTCTCATCTTGCCCAGGTTTGAGAAATATCTGGACAGACTCCTTTTATGAGATAAAAATTCTTATGGCCCTCCAGTGCTAACAAATTATTTTTATTATAATGTTACTTAAATAAATGTAACCGTAAGCCTACATAAAACTCCGAATCCTGATAGCTCTTTTATATTACCATAAAACCAAAACAAATTCCTAAATTAAGTAAAATCCTAATAAAACCCAAATTTGTTTTAGTGCACCAGTCACTAAAATGTGGCTATGTACTGACTGCTACAGAGCTGGTCTCTAACAGTTTGACAGGCTCAGATTACATGTACTGGAAGAGACTCTATTCCCCCTCCACTCTTTTCTCTAAGACCATAGCTAGGCCTTCCTTGCAGCCAGCCTCAATATCATGGTCATCATTGCATAATAATACGACCGTAAACACAATGCAAATGCAGGCTTTCTAATAACGTGGGATTATCAGCTATGAAAAGTTGTCCAAATAATCCAAAAATATGCTTATCTTGATGTATTTACATTTTCATCCAAATGAGAGCACAAGATTTAAATTTTCTCACAGTAAACGTTTGGATCCCCCTCTGATAAGCATTGATCTAATCCATCTGCCTTATTGCTGGCAGTCAGAGTTTAGTGAATGTGGATTTTAATGTCTTAGTAACAGTTAAAACATATAGTGTTAACTGTGTAGCAGACACACTGTTCTAAGCCCTTTACATAGAGTAATTTTTTACTCTTCATTTCAACCCTGTAAGGTAGGTACAGCCATTATCTCCACTGCACAGATGAGAGAACTGGGGTAAAAGAGGTTAAACTTCTTGCCCAAAATCACACAGCTTATAAGTGGCAGACCTGGGATTTGAACCCAAGGAGACTGGCTGCAGAGCCTGTGCTCTCCTCCTAGCCACATATACTTTTCAGATGAGGTAGTCACAATCCAAAATTAATGATAGAGTCTGACTCCTCCCTGCTCCAAGAAGTAAGAATCTGAGGCAATGAATCCAGGTTGGTTTAAGGTGCAGTAATTAAGGAGCTTGGGTAAAGGATGGGAGGTTGCACTGCATAGGAATAGGAAAAAAAGCCTTAGGGACCCGCCAAGTCCCCAGGTCATAAGTCAAGCAAACCACCAAATAAGCATCCACCCAGAAAAGCCAGGTAAAGTAGAAGGATCTGGGTAGATGGCAGAGAACAGAAACCAAGGAAACCAGGCAAGTGAGCAAGTCTGAAGCAGAGTGAAGCAGAGCTTAGAAATATTCTCTAAGCAGAACAGGAAAATGCCTGCAGCCTTGGGTATGATAGGGAGGAAACTGTTAAAGTTACCAATTTAGCTCCAGTGGAATCCTGCAAAAAGGAATTCTCATTAACTGAGTATGAACTCATACATGTTGCCCAAAAGGACTTCTCACAAAAGAGGTAAAGGTGACACTGGAATCTCTGGAGAGTTAAAGTCACAAAAGCTTATAACGGGAAAAACCCAAGACCCCTTATCAAAGACAACTGCATCTTTTATCTTCTCATCTGCCAGGCCTATAAATGATCTTTACTAACTTACTTCTTTTATTCTAAAAATATAAAGGCATCAAGCTACATCTGGTTGCTATGGACTCAATCACAGATGAAGCAAAAAGATTAAATGGTTGTGCGACTTTAATGAACGGCATTTGCTTTTTGAAAAGCTGATTTGGATGTAATTAATAGCAGGCTGCCTAAAAGGAGAACTGGATTTGTGTGGTGATGATAAGAGGCATTCCCGTAACACTGACCAGTGCGGCTTTCTCCAGCCCTTCAAATTGCTGAGCGTTCACCTTGGCAGTCAGCACTTTATGCTTGTCTGCTTCTGGAGAGAACTTGGTACTTTTTCTAATAGAAGAGCAATTTTCTTTGAAGGGAACAACAACCAAGAAAAATAGCATGAGAAAAATGTTGAAAACAGGAAGGAAAAAAACAAAGAATGTGAGTATAAGCAAGGGGCAAAACAAGAGCGAGACATATGACCTAGAAAGACAAGGGAGAGCCAAGGAAAATAATCTCTGTGAGTGACTGACATTGAGTGTGAAGTGAGAAAGTCACTCAAAAGCAACTTGAAAATGCTTTGCACCCATAATTAAACTCTTTATTTCATAAATGGGAAAACGAACCTACTGAACTTCTGATCAAAATACATTAAGCCTCACTGATGAGAGAAACAAATTTAAGAAAAATGAAAGAAAAACTGGCTGGGCACCGTGGCTCATGCCTGTAATCCCAGCACTTTGGGAGGCCAAGGAGGGCGGATCATGAGGTCAGGAGATCGAGACCATCCTGGCTAACATGGTGAAACCCCATCTCTATTAAAAACACAAAAAAAATTAGCCAGGCGTGGTGGCGGGCACCTGTAGTCCCAGATACTAGGGAGGCTGAGGCAGGAGAACGGTGTGAACCCAGGAGGCGGAGCTTGCAGTGAGCCGAGATGGCACCACTGCACTCCAGCTGGGGCAACAGAGCAAGACTCCGTCCCAAAAAAAAAAAAAAAAGAAAAATCAAAGAAAAACTGTGCCACAGAATATAGATGATTCACTGCTGCAAGATATACTTATTTCTGAAGTATAAAAAATGTCATAATCATAGATTCTCAATTGCACATTATTTTCAAAGATACTGTCTTCCTGTCTGTGTCAGCAGTCAGTTTTATGCATGATAGTTTCAGCACCAAAAGTAACATGTATTTTAGGTTACAAAGTAAAAACAAAGAATTACAGCCAGAAGAATGAAATGTTTTGAACCTGAACAGCCCATGTAATTTCTCTGGGGTGATTCAATCAACCTTTGATTAAGCTTCTGCAAACTTGCTGAAGGATGGATGCAGAGATGATTATGACCCAGGTCCTGCCTTCAAGGAGCTTAAAGTCCAACAGGGAAGCCCTCATGAGAATTAATATAAGACAAGTGGTTAAGTGCCCATGATGACAGAGGTGGCTGTCACAAAAAAAAATAAAATAAAATAAAATAAACAAAGGCATTAATTAGGGAGAACTTTTACTGCTACTGAAACTCAGGGAGAGAACTCACTTCACTCCCTGGACTGTTAAAATGAATGACTTGGAGGCATGATGGTGTGACACAGTAAGCTCATCCTTCTCACAACCCGGGCACCTCCACTACTGCTCAGAAAAAGAACAACACTTCTTTTTTGTGTGTCTGAACTATTGAATCCTAAATCCCAGTTTATTCCCTTTATGATTCAATGTTCCTTTGGCTTACAGTGTGAATGGACAGAAGCATTTTTGGTCAAGATTTTTTTCTCCATCTAGGTGCTCACATAGAGAATTGAAAGAACTGAATCAAACCTGGATTTCTCAGTAATTTGTCTATGGTGCACATCTGAGGTCCCATGGCATGACATTCACCTTCTAACTGCTGGCTTCAAGTGAAGCATTTTCCCAATGGCTTTTACCTCTGTGCGTTGCTCTTTCAACTGGGAAAGCAAATGCTGTTAGGGCAACCCACCCTCTAGCCCTGCAGGTGCAGTGCTGTGGAAGGGGGCAGGGACAAAGAGACCCTCCTGATAGGTCCTTAAACGCTGGAGTAGAACTTCTGGCTGCTTTCCTCGCAGTTCAGGCCACACCAGCCTAAGGAGGACCACAGTCCTCAAAGCCCTATCCTTACACTACTCAAATTCATGCCTTCCTCTCTCTCTACCCATTCGACCTGGTGATAGTCAGTGGCAAACCAATCACCCATGTGAGTGACTACATTCTCCTATAGGAGGAATTGATCAAGGGGGAACACAAGGAAACAAAGCACAGACATGAAGATCTGTGACAGTTCCCAGAGCAATAGGCCTGAAGGTAAGGAAGAGCTGAGCTGTTGACTCAGTCTTGCCTTATGTTGAGGTTTGCCTCTTTTTTTCTGTTTTATTGCTCTTGGTTTTTTTTTTTAATTGTGGTTTAAAAAACACATAACATTTATGTAAAATTTACCATCTTCACCATTCTTTAGTGTGCAGGTCAACAATGTTAAGTATATGCATTGTTGTGCAGCAACAAATAGCCAGAACTTTTTCATGTTACAAAACTGAAACGCTATATCCATTAAACAACAGCTCTGCAATTTTCCCTCCCCTCGACTCCTGGCAACCACCTGTTCTTGTTTGCCAGATAGAGTGTCTGGCATTAAACTCTTCCACATCTTAATGGTATCAACAGTATGTGACATTATGTCACAAATAGAAATAAAATCGGATGAAAGACATTATTTAAGGAAAATTCTACAATTAAAGGAAAGATTCCCTATTTATTATTCTTTCTACACTGTAATGTCAGGTGATAACTTTTTTGGGGAATGCAACTATGGTTGATCAGGCACCCATACGAGATTCAAGGATCTATTTGGGGGAGGGGGTTAACAAATCTACTATTTGTTCTTATGTTCTTGCCAATGATCATCAACGATACAAAATCTGTGGCAACTTAGCAGGTAAAAATGGTTTGAAGAGCAGCACAGAGGATAACAATGAAATTAACCACATCAATTTCTAGGGCCAGCTGATGACTTCAGAAAATACCACATCAGCCAAGCTGCCCCTCCAGAGTAAATAGATTCATCTTTTCTCAGCAGCTTCAGGCTCCTAAGAATGGGGAGGCTAGAAAATCTAACAGATGACACAAACCTCTGAGGTAAGACCCACACTCACTCATTCTAATGTGCACACTTCATGGCACACCACTGGTCTAGGCCAGGACTACTGAATGTTCAACTGATGGAACTGTCAGCCCAGCCAAAATTACAAAAGGAATAGTTCCACCAAAGAAAATAAGTACTTGCACTTGAATAACCAATACATTCATTCAGAGAACCTTTACAGGGTAGAGACAACTCTTTGCCTCTCTCTCCTTAACTTTTAATAAAATAAGTCATTATCTGTTACACCAAACCATCCTTGTCCTTTTCATTCCAGGGCATCGTCTAGACTGAAGTCATTTTTTATTTAATTTCTATTTCTTCAAATTGAACGGTCTTATATGAACTCTCTCCTTGACTTCTGGAGGTCCCTCCAGGCTCCAAGCTTAGTGTCCAGTCTTCACTTTGCATCAGGAAGAACAAGGTGACAGTGGCATGCTGCTTCCCCAACTGAGTTTCATAGAGCACTCTTTAAAAGACAGCTAGGCCTGATTATCTAGTTAACAACTCAAATATACAGAAAGAAAGAGAAAACCCTATTCTAAGCTTGAATGCTAAAAACAACTTTCAACCTCTCGATTCTGTTCCAGACCACTTCCAAAGTCCTGATAAATTACCCAAAGGGTCTCTGCCTTCCCCTCCCTGCCCTGCCCTTACTCTAGGCCCTGGTCATCTCCCAACCAGATTAGGCCCAGAATTTGCAACCCCTGCTGGCCCAGCATCCAAGGTCCCTCCTTCGGATTCACTTAAACTTTTTCATCTTCCCAGCTACAAACGCTGAGCTCCAGTGAGACCAGGGACTGTGTCCTGCGCACCCCCATGCCCCTGTTCCTCTTATTCTCATTTCCTCCACCACACCTGTGCTCATTATTATACCAGCTACCATTTGCTGGACCCCAGTAGCTGGGTGCCAGCTCTGTGCCAAGTATCTTACACACATCTCACACAGTTCTCAAAAGAACTCTGCTGCTATCCCATTTTACAATGGAGGAAGCTAAGGAAGAGCGGGTTTCATGGGAACATTCTAAAAATACTAGATTCGAACTGCCTCCTGACTTCAGAGCTTTTTATTTTCCGAGCTGTCCGTTTGTGTTGGTTTGCCTCTGGGTGCATTCCCTCAGTCGACCACTCCCTCTATATTGAAACAGTCCTTTCCATTGGCTTCTGTGACACCACGTTTCCCCTCACCTCTCTGGCTGCTCCTTCTCAGCTTCTTTGGAGGGTCTGACTTACTCTACTTCACCTGTGAATTATAGTAGTTCCTCAGGGTCCAGTTCCAAGCCATTATCCTTGTCCCTCTGACCTCGCACCCTAGACATCATCACCGACTCCCATGGCATCGTTACCATCCAATGCTGGCTGCAAAGCTCACAGTTCCAGCTCTGCCTCTCCTTTGAGCTCCAGACATTTCTCTCCTTCAGTGTCTCATGTACCTCAAACTCAACATAACCAAAACTGAACTCGTGATTGCTCCCTCTCCCCACCCCTACTCTTCCCCTAACTCAGGTTCTGCCCTGCTCTCTCTCATCTCAGGGAGAACACCCCTACCTGCACACCTGCATCATCCAGAAACTAGGAGTCCCCTTTAACACTACCCTTCCCTCGCTCTCAAGATCCAGTTGGCCACCAAGATCTTTTGATCCTACCTCCTAAATTACTCTTGAATCCATCCACTCTTCTTCCTGTCCCAGTAAAAGCCATCTTTCCTGTTGCCCAGTCTATTGTGACAAGCTCCTCACTGGCTTCCTCACATCTATTCTTGTTACTTCTTCACTCCACTTCCACTCTTTATATAGCAGTCCTTACAAGACATCCTGCAGCCGGAGTGATGCCTTTAAAATTCAAGGAGAACATTAGCATATGTGCTATTCTATCCTATTTTATGTGCCATTCCATGGCACCCATGTGCTATTCCACGGCACCCCATTGCTCACAGCATAAAATCCCAAACCCTCACCCTGCACAGCAGGGTCTTGCAGGGTTTGGTCCCTGTTGGTTCACCAGCCCCCAGTGCACTTCCTGCTGGCTCCAGGCACAGTGGCCTTCTCTGAAGTCTTCAAAAACTTCTTCCTGCCCCCACCCTTCATAGATCAATTCCCTTCCTCAGCCCCTGCTTCCCTTCTCTATATATCTCGGTTCATAAACACATTCCCAGGGAAGCCTTCTCTGACCCCCATCAGGCCAAGGCCCCTGGTAGAAGATCTCTAGCCACCTAATATCCTTTATAGAACTTGTCATAACTTAAAGACTGGGGATTACTTGATGAATGTCTGTCCCTTCCCCACCCCAACTAAGATGCAGTTACCACGAGGGCAGTCCCTGTGTCTGGGAGCACACTGTCTTCTCTGGCATTGCATGATCCTCACCTAAGGATCCTCGCCTCGCCTCCATAACTTTTGTTAGTGGAGAATGTTCACATGTGCTACA
Source organism: Homo sapiens (assembly GCF_000001405.40). Lineage (NCBI taxonomy): Eukaryota > Metazoa > Chordata > Mammalia > Primates > Hominidae > Homo > Homo sapiens. The sequence goes on from NC_000014.9 coordinate 58,053,828, forward strand.
GGTCACGTCAGTCACAACCCCATTCCGTAGTGACAACCACACATGGGTCTTTACGTCATGTTTTTCACTTTTCTATACCATACAGTGCTTATAAATATTCTATCACATGCTGGATTTTAAGCTCTAGAGAGACAAAAAGATTTAGCTTCTCTGAGTTGGGATGTTAAGAAAATAATATTTAGATTTAGCGCCCTTGGTACGTCTCAAAGACTCTGTGAAAAGTATTTAATCTACTATCCCCATTTTACACATGAGAAAACTAACACAGAGAAAAGCAAAATAACTTACACAAGTGGTGGGGCCAAAAATCAAACCCTGATCTGTTGGGCCCAGAGCTCAGGGTCAAGTAGAGCACATGAGTGATGGCAAGGACAGTCTGTGACTCTGCCTGTGAAGTGGGGAATGGAGCTAAGCAGGTTTTGTGTGAATGATCACATAAACCTCCCACTTCTCTATGGAGACTGGTAACACACAGATTCTTTGGCATTACCACGGCCACTTTCCACTCCTTTCAGTTTCTATGTTGGCCAGCTGAGTGATGGGAAAGGCTTTGAAGTCATACTGAATAGGCAGTGAAGATTTAGCTGCCTGCAAGATTATATCTATACGGTTTCTTAACTACATAATATCCAAGGACATCGTTTCTTCTTCCAAAAGCAATTATGTGGTAATGTCACTTGCCAGTGAAACCACCAAGGCCTGCAGTAGTACATACAATTTGTATGTGATGGTTTATGCACAAAGTGCTACGTTGCATTGAAAATTTGGATATAAAATATAATGTTCCAGGCCAGGCACAGTGGCTCATGACTGTAATCCCAACACTTTGGCAGGCTGAGGCAGGCAGATTACCTGAAGTCAGGAGTTCGAGACCAGCCTGGCCAACATGGTGAAACCCTATCTCTACTAAACATACAAAAAATAGCTGGGCTTGATGGCAGGCACCTGTAATGCCAGAAGAATCACTTGAACCTGGGAGGCAGAGATTGCAGTGAGCCAAGATCGTGCCACTCCAGTGTGTGCAAGAGAAGGACTCTGTCTCAAAAAAAAAAAAAAAATAATAATAATAATAATAATAATAATGTTCCATACCTCACCATTTAATTTCATTTGGGTCTGGTTCAGGGCAACCAAATATGCTCATGATTTCCCACCTGTCCTGGTTCAGACCATGGAGTCACCCTCTCCCTTACACCTGGATTTCAAGAAAGGCACACACTACGCTGCCACTGCTAAATAAAGAAAGCCATGTAAACTTTCATAACTTCACTCTAATAGCTGCAGTGACTGCCCCAAGCCCTGAGGACTATTCAAGCCATTTGCTAATGTGTATGTCAATAGTCTCTATTATAGACAGGAAAATAAAGCGCTAAGAAAAAGTATTTCCAATTTGATTCTCTATGGGGCCACATTTCCTCTCATAGATTAATTCTGAGACAGAAAGCAACAAATATGTCCCAGGACAGATAGCTGTATATAACCTCTACTCACCACGTGGAATGAAACAGCATTCAGTTAGACTTTTCTACCATTTAACAATTAGTTTCAAAGGCTTATGGAGTACACGAAAGTGTGCTAAATTTATAGGAGAAGATGAGGTAGAATAAATAGGGCTCTTTCCTGGGTGTCAGGATCTTACAGTCTTAAAAAGATAACAGATACAAATCACTGTAATATGAGGCAACATAATTACCCTATATTTAATCAGCTAGTAGCAGAACATCTTTAAGTGTCATGTAAATGGGAAATATTCCTTACATCCTTGCTCAAAGCTCAGTCCACAGACCAGCAGCATCAGGGAATCATCTGGGAGCTTGTTAAAATGCAGAATCTCAGTCACCCCCCACCCTACACCTCCTGAATCAGAATCTGCACTTTAATCAGATGCCCAGATGACTCAAATGCTCAACAGAATTTGGAGAAGCACTGCTGTACTTATTTGGTACTTAGTCACTCCTACCAGGAACAAACTTGATGGAGGCTGACTTCAAAACAGGGACTTGGATTTTTATAGAATAAATGCTTAATACACTGTTTTAAAGTGAATCTCTAAGGGATTTGTTTTAGGATTTAAATGTACAAAATATGATTCAAAAGCTCAGCAAACTACATGGTCCTGCATTTTAATATCCTGTAAGTACTCAGACCCTTGCCTGAAAGGCTAAAGGATTTAAAAATAAAGCTCTATTCGTAGAGGTGAGAATATTTCCTTTTAATGTGTATTAAATTGACCTTGCAGAAGCCACTGGAGGAGACGGAAACTTTTATCCAGAAGTTCAACTTGGTGATAATTTTTTAGAGGGAGTGCCACCATAGGAAACCAAGATGGGATTTCTCCCAACTTAAGAAGAGCTGCTGAATCATAGAATCATAAAATTTGAGCACAGAACAGATCTTAGAGGTTATTCTCTCAGCTCTGCTTCATTCCCAAAGAAAATCATTCTGCAGTACTTCATATCTATAGTATCTTTATCAAATGAGTTCCAAATTATTCATATTCACCAACCAACCAATCAACCAACTTACATATACTGTTTGATCTTCTTCTGATACCTTCAAAATGCTATGATATACTTGTTCCTTTACAAAGCCCATAGTTTAATGAAAGGAAATAAAAGCTCTTAGCAAATAAAGTTGTATTAGTTATGTCCCATGAGATGCACAGTGAAGAGATGCTTTAGGAGGAGAAAGGGAACCATTGAGACAAGGTGATCAGTGAGGGCTTCATACAGCTAGAAGAAATCTTGGAGATGAGCAGTCCCAGGTCTTCCTTCATACTAAGGAAACTGAGGTGCAAGGGGTTAGGCATGTGGCCAAGGTCATAATGCAAGCCTCGGGCTGAAGTAGAGTCAGAAACCAGGTCCTGACTAATTCCTTCTACCATGCCACACAACCCCTCATCAGTGTTGGCTCTCTAAGGCAAAGCTTGCTAGTTGTCCATTGAAACCCATTCTCCCCTTTTTCTGTAACAACAAAACCCTAATCTGGTCATGGGTTGCCTACCTGCCCTAGTTTTCTAGTCTTTTGCAGTTAGATATGGCCCTGTGACTATGTTTTTGCCAATGAAATGTTAGTGGAAGTGATGTGCAACTCAGGGCCCACACCTGAAGAGAGTAAGTTTGCCTCCTTCACACTCTCCTTCCTTCCCACCAACCATACCCCAGACATCAACAATGCCCTACTAGGTGGCAGAGCACAACTTCAGAAGGACCCTGGATCCCTGAATGATTTGTGGAGCAGAGCACCTACCAATTTGGAATGCTTACCTCACACTTTTATCTGAGAAAAAAAATAAACTTCTCTCTTCTTTAAGGATCTCAAACCAATATAGTATATAACCTATGTAATATAACTAGAGCGATGTTAAGCGAAATTGTCTAAGAAATACAATAAGAAGTATGATGCTTTCCTATTTAAATAAGAAGTACCTGTTTGCATTGACTCTTTGACCTGGCTCAGTGCCTTGCACATATGAGTAGAGAGAGAGATTTTACAGGACACTTAGGTACTACGCAATTTGTTAAGCAGTTTACATATGCATTAAATTATTTAATCCTTACAACAACTTTATGAACTATTGTCTTCAATTTACAGATGAGGAAAATATACAGCTTAGAAGGATGAATTAATTAAGTCATATAACTAGTTAGTGTTGAGTAGAATTCAAACCTAGGTGTTACTAGCTCAAAAGGTGGTACTCTTGTCTAAAATGCTATCTTCCAAAGGGTGTGTGTGTGTGTGTCTGTGTGTGTGTGTGTGTGTATTTTGATGGACAGAGATCAAGTGAATGAAATTAGCGTGGCAGGTAGATGTAGTGACCAAAATGCTGGACTGAGAGACAAAAGACCAGGGATTCTCACAGGTTATAACTCTGGGAAAACTATTTAGCTGCTCAGGAGCTAAGTGTCCTCTAGAGTAAAAGTGTTACCTGAACCATATGATCTTTAAAGACAAGCTCTAATGGTCTGCAGCAAATGTGCAAAGACCCAGCTGTCCCTTATTCACTACCACCTATGCAACCACTCTACTTTCAAATCAACAAGAGAGAGGACCTTGCTAGAGAGATAGGTTAGTAAACCTATTTGAGTACGGCAACACAGGAACAGTACAGTATGAGAGTTCAAACAAGCAGTATAAAACAACCACAGTACACACAGAAACTCAAATGCATGGAGCTTCAGCATGTCATAGGTTGTTTACTCTTTTTCCTGTTCAAATCTAGTTTTCACTTTTTCTTCAGCAAAGGAAGATAGTATAGTCATCCCCAGTATCACGGGAAATTGGTTCCAGGACAACCCTTGGATACCAACATCTGAGGATGTTCAAGGTAATGATATAAAATGGTGTAGTATTTGCATGTAACTATGCACATCTTCCCATATATTTTAAATCAACTCTAGATTATTTATAATACCTAACGTAACATAAATGCCATGTAAATAGTTGTTATATTATTTAGGGAATAGCAACAAGGGGAAAAGTCTGTACATATTCAGTAGAGATACCTTTTTTTTTAAGTGAAAGCAAGTTTATTAAGAAAGTAAAGGAATAAAAGAATGGCAACTCCATAGGCAGAGCAGGCCCAAGGGTTGCTGCTTGGCTATTTTTATGTTTATTTCTTGATTATGTGCTAAACTCATGAATAATAAGGGGTAGATTATTCATGAGTTTTCCAGGAAAGGGGTGAGCAATTCCAGGAACTGAGGGTTCCTCTCCTTTTTAGAGCATACGGGGTAACTTCCTGATGTTGCCATGGCATTTGCAAACTGTCACGGCACTGGTGGGAGTGTCTTTTAGCATGCTAATGCATTATAATTACAGTATAATGAGCAATGAGGACAATCAGAGGTCACGTTCGTGGCCATCTTGGTTTTGGTGGGATTTGGCTGGCTTCTTTACCACATGCTGTTTTATCAGCAAGGTCTCTGTGACCTGTACAGATATTAATGCAATTTTTAAAGAATATTTTGGATCTTCAGTTGATTGAATTCACAGACACAGAACCCACGGATACAGACGGCCCACTGGACTAATAATTGCCCCAGAATGAAAAGGTAGGGAAGTCAGCATTTTTCCACCATTGTTTTTCATTGCAGACTTGCTCATAAAGCAGTACAACTAAAGAAGTAAGCACTGGAATGTTCTATCATAGTCCACAGAATAGAAAGAGAGATGTTGGGAAGAGTCTTAGGGACAGTCCTTAAGGATTCATGAAGGAGGTGGCTGAATCTTATGATAAGAATCTTTAAATGCTGAACCATGCGGTAGACAGAGGTAGAAAGAGCAGACAGTTTAAGGTTGAACAAGTAATCTATCCAAAAGATGCAAAGAGAAGGTCCTGTGGGGTTTAAGTGATCATCAGCAGAGAGCTGCATTAGCACAGGTCAGGCTGGGCATCTTCAGAAACAGGAGAAGCCTGCATAACACATTTAAATGGCCCTTCGGGTGTTGTATGTTTCCCAGGGTCTGTATAGATCTGGGAAGGCATGCTCCCAGGGGACCTGAGGAATGCCAGATTCAAGGCCACTCTGCCAAACACTCTGTGCAACCCCAGACAGTGATATCACTGTAGAAAGCGGGGCAAGATTTCAGAAGAGCCCGGCAAGGATGCTAAATTTCATCAGAGTGAGCTCTAATTAAAGTCAACATTTTTGACCAGTATGCCTTCCCAAGATCTAGAGAATATAGATTCAAAATGTCCCTTCAGCTGCTGCCTGTGGATAGGGTTTCAAATGGACTATTGGAAATGGTTCAACTAATACTTAACACTAATTATCTCAAAAGTACCTTGTAAATACCAGTTTATACCACATCATTCACCAAAAATGTGCCACTGAAAACCCTCTGAAGCAGTAATTCTCTCTTTGTATGGCATTTATGGAGAATTAATGACCAGCTAAGTCTGTGGACTTTGATCAGAGCCAGTAGTTATTAATGCATAGGAAAAATTTTACACTCTTGTTCATTTTTCCAAAGGTATCATCCTTCGATGTGTGCAGCATACAAAGCCCTAGACACTGCGTTATATGTGAGCTCCCTGTTTTTTTTGAGCAGACCGATAGACTCTCTTGTGACTACAGCTCCAGATTTCAAGCAACTGAAAAGCTAAGTAACAGGATCTGTCAGGAGGATGTTTACAGGTTTAAGCCATGTTGTCAATACGTAGAAAATAAAGTGAGATTCAGACAAACTAAAACACAAAACCACCCTAGAACCTGCAAAAAGGAGAAATGCTTTCATGTCTTCATATTAAGTCCATTGTATTATAGTCCGTTTTAATCAATATTGGATTCATTTTGGATCTTATTAATATGATCACAATTGTCTTTACTTCTACTTTTCCTGAGCTCCACTTTATTCACTCTTTCATTTGTCTACCTACACTGAAAAGACTGAGTAATTAATTCATCTCTAGACTCTCCTAAACAAGGCAGCATTAATGAGTCAGCTTTGCTGTTATTTCCTCATAACTCTTTGCCACAAAGAAGGGAATCCCATGTCCTTGGCTTCGTACTCCCCTACACTAATTTCCCTCTTTATTCTAACTCGTGGAAGGCAATTTGGTCCTAATTCTAACAGATAAATTGACTGCCATAACCAAAGACTGGTTAAGATCTGGTAGGGATATAAAGACTTTGAAAATAACTTTACATTTTATTAACTGATGGTACTCTGAAACTGTGGTTTGATCACTAAACACTGTGGCATTTGTAAGTCTTAGACCCAGATACTGCCAACCAAGAAAAACTAAGCATCTGTGACATTGACTTTGTAGATTATCCTCCCCAAACTGTGCCCATCGAATCTGTATTAAAAGTTGTAAAAATAAGACAACCAGATGGAGCATTTCTAAGCATATGATTTACAAAATACCTCTCTGTCTGAAAAAGGTCACTACTCTTCAGAAGCAATGAAAACCAGGGAGAAAAGGTATCTCCGGGGTGTTTGGGCTGGCACAGGGCTTTTCACGGTGTATGTACAGCAAATGCACAAAGGGAAGAAGTTTTTAGAGTTCCCAGATTCCCAAACTGCCTCTGCAATCACAAGCAATAATGCTTGCGGTGGTCACAACAATAATGCTTTATTCTCCTTATCTCTCACCCCTCCAGGTCCTCTCAGCTGGAACCACTGATGCAGCCTTGGCCTACCTCAGTTCCCAAGTTAAGGGTGACAGAAGCAGCCTGCATCAATAGCCCTGCTTGAGCCCCTCAGACCAATTTGGTGAGCCTTAGAATAACATCACATTCCAGATTCCATGCTGAGCTCCAACTCCGTGAGGCTCCTCCTTGACTAGCCCAGCCAGGCCACACTTAAGGAGGAATCGAATCCATCCCTCTCAGCCCTGACACCCTAGCCCTGGGCTGGCTCAGTCCAGAGCATGCAGATTCTCCTGAATTTCAACCAATTGCCAAGTCTAGGACGAGCGACCTTTCCTGACCTCCAGTTCACTGGCCAGTCCTTCCTCCAAGGTGTGATCTTGACACCCCACCCACCAGAATCCAATTCCTATACCTCTAGTCCTCCTCCTACTAGTGATAACCATTACCGTGTAAAGCCACACACGGGCCACTTCCAGCCTTCCCACCACCTTACCGAGCCCACCTCACTGCCTGCCTAGAATCAATCCTTTCTGAAATCAGGACTGACACTGTAGCTTTCCATCAGACATTATTTCTGCTTTCCCTGCTATCCTCTCCAAAGCCAGAATCTGGTTAATCGCTTTCCTCAAGAAAGGATATTTCTGAGAGTTACAGGAGAAATGAAAGCCATGGGTCCTGATAACCACTGAATGTAAAGGCTAGTGAGATAAAACGTCAAATATGACTATAGTTTCAATCGTGTGGGGTTTTTTGCAGCACCTTATGAATATTCCACAGATCCATCTCTGCACCAAAAGTCGTGTCAGGGAAAAGGGAGGCAGGGCTGCTGCATCACATTCTACTTCAAGTAAATGTCACCCCTTGGAGCTGTGTAAGGCAGCAAGCACACAGCCTACGAGGCAGCCTTCAACTTGGAGGTGGGGGTGGCCAGGGGATGAGCCAGAGGTGGGGTTAAAGTCAGAATCCAGCTTGCACTGGGCCCTCTGCTTATGTTATCTCATTTACTCCTCACACAAGCCCAATCAGGTCAGATTTACCCATTTTATCTTTAAAAAAAAAAAAGCAAACAAAAACAGGGGCTCAGAAAGTCTAGCTTCTTCAAAATCACTCACTTAAGAAGAGCAAAGGTGGCTGGATGCAGTGACTCATGCCTGTAATCCTAGCACTTTGGGAGGCCAAGGAAGGAGGACCACTTGAGGCTAGGAGTTTGAGACCAGCCTGGCAACATAGTGGCACCCAGTCTCTAGAAAGATAAAAATAAAAATTAGCCAGATGTGGTGGCACATGCCTGTAGTCCCAGCTACTTGGGAGGCTGAGGTAGGAGGAACACAAGCACAGGAGTTTGAGGCTGCAGTGAGCCATGATCATGCCACTGCACTCCAGCCTGAGTGACAGAGTAAGACTCTGCCTCCTGTCCCCCAAATAAAGAAGAGCAAAGCTGAGAATTGAGCCTAGTGCTATTAGATTCCAACACGTGGGCTCTATGCATTAGCTACAATGTCTTCCCAGGAAAGGCTTAACAGAAGAAACAGGCAGAGGCATGGAGGATAACTAGACGGCAATGGAATGGAGAAGAAAGCAGCCAGCAGAGTCCAGAGCTGCAGAGTCAGGCAATGGAAGAACTGAAAAGGGATGACACATGCAGCAAATGATATTAACAGAAACAGTGACCACTAAATGTTAGCTATGTGCCGGGCACGAGGCTAAGTGTTCTAGCTATATTAACTTTTTTAATCCTGACAGCAGCCCCCAGAGATAGGCCCATTTTACTGAGAAACATAAACTAAGTCTCAGAGAGGTTAAATAATTTGCCTAAGGGCATACAGCTAGCAGGGAGCAGAGTCTGGGCTTGAATGCAGACAATAAGGCTCCATAATTTGCAGCCCCTCCTGGGAGGTTACTGAAGACCTCAGCAAGGGCAATTTTAGGAGAGTGGAGTGATCTAGCCAATTTGCAGCTTGGCCATGAAGGGGAGAAGAGAAGTAAAGAGCAGTCACTCAAGGGGGTATACTAGCTCCCTGGCACTGCTGTAACAACACACCACCCTCAATGTGGCTTAAACAATGGAAATTTATTCCTCAGTTCTGAAGAATACAAGCCCCAAATCAAGGTACTGGCAGGGCCATGATCCCTACAGAGCCTCTAGAGGAGGTAGAGGAGGGTCCTTCCTTGTCTCTTCCTGGCTCTGGCAGCTCCAGGGGATCCTTAGCTTCGGGGAACATAACTCCAATCTCTACCTCAGTCTTCAAGTGACCTCCTCACTCTGTCAATGTGTCTCCATGTCTTCTCATGGCGTTCTCCCTGCATGTCTGTGTCTGTGTCAAAATGTCCCTCTTCTTATAGGGACACCAGCCATGTTAGATTAAGACCCATCCTAATGACCCCATCTTAACTTGATTAAATATATGAAGACTTTATTTCCAACTAAGGTCATACTCACAAGACCCCAGGGTTAGGACTTCAACGTATCTTCTGGGTTGGGGGAACACAATTTGACCCATAATAAAAGCCATAGGTTCAAGGGGGAGAGTTTTTCAAGATAAAGATGGGAAAGAAGATTCATGTGTTCTTTTAAAATAACATTTTATTAAAGATCAGTAGGCAGGTCATGGTGCTTTCCAAATAAGCAGAAAATCTGATTATCTGCATCCCAAGAAAGCTTTGCAAGGCACTACAGAAACTACAAAAAATATCATTTTTAGAACTCTGCTTTGATTTAATGAGTTGGAGAAGGACATGGCTGAACAACTTTTGCCAGGAACACTTTGGTACTGTCATCTATCACAACCTCCCAGCTCATGTCTTCCTTGATCAATAAGAAAGCAAAATCAATGCCCATGTCAAGCTGCACGGGTAGCTCTCAATCACACAGACTGACAGAGGCAAGCAGTGGCATAAACAATAAAACTAACAAACAGAAACGTTCCACCTGGCTGGAATTTGGTCTGTTTTTTAATTGACATTTTTCTTAGGCAATTAAAAAATGAGTTTGTAATCTGTTTATATCAAATGGAAATAGCAGTGAAAGGAAGTAGCTTGGAAACAGCCAGATTGCAAAAGGAAGCCAGCCTGGAAGTAAATGGCTGGTGTAGGTAATACGCACACTTTTAACAAAGATTTAGCTATACTTACAATATCAACAATAGGTTGAGCCAACACCCAAAATGTTGGCATTAAAATTTTGCCTTAACAATTCCAACACACGATTATCATATCAAGAAACGGTCACTTATAATATTTATGCATTCATTAACTTTTCTCAAAACATTATTACCCACTCCCTGAATAGCTTAACATAGGATCCTAAGTAAAACTCTAATTAGAAAATTTAGCAAAACTCTAATTAGAAACACCTATAAAGAATAAGCAGAAGATAGTTGTCAGTGTTTCTAATGCCCTGAGATACCTCTGATTCTCACTATCTTTGCTATTTAAATTCACAACCACTGTATTCACTACAATATTGGAGGCAAAAAATGGCAACTCTCAGAGGAGGCAGAAGACGACATTATCAAGGAGTAAGAATGCTCTTAAACACACAACTATTTATACAAACGGATGTTTTTCTATTCCAATAAGTCAATCAAAGACTACACTTATTCCAATAATGTTGATACTTTGAAAAACTCCATTCCTACAATTAGCACCAGAGCAATGTGACAAAGAATGTAAAACATTCTTTGGAATGCACGCATTAGAATTCATAAGAATTTATAAGAACTTACCAAATTATTTTTATTGCTTGCCATATATGTGATATTGTGCTAGGTGCCATTGATTTTTTGAAAGAGTGAGGAGTAATTCAGAGCCAAAATAGATAAATGATATTGTTGATCAAGCAGGGTTAACACTATTTGGGATCAAAAAAATGTTTCACAGAAAGTATGTTGTCAGCCAGAGTACAATTCACTCTTGAATGCATCAAATAGAGCCCCCTGATGGTTTCAGAATTTTTTCAGAGTACATCTAGGTAATGCTGGATCTTGTAGGATGAATTCTACAAGTCAAACGATGCCATTGACTTAAGAGAATCTGGCCAGGTGTGGTGGTTTATGCCTGTAATCCCAGCACTTTGGGAGGCCGAGGCGGGCAGATCACGAGGCCAAGAGATTGAGACCATCCTGGCCAACATGGTGAAACCCCGTCTCTACTAAAAATACAAAAATTAGCCGGGCGTGTTGGTGGACACCTGTAATCCCAGCTACTTGGGAGGCTGAGGCAGAAGAATTGCTTGAAACTGGGAGGCAGAGGTTGCAGTGAGCCAAAATCGTGCCACTGCACTCCAGCCTGACAACAGAGTGAGACTCCATCTTAAAAAAAGAGAGAGAGAGAGAGAATCTATCTGCATGTGTTGCCTATGATGTGATTGCAGCCTTTCATTCTTTGGAGCCTTGAGGCTCAGGGAGATACCTCAAATCAGACATGGAGGCTAAACCTACCAAGCATCATAATTATTTATCATATTCCTCGAAGAACCTCACTGATTTCCAGTTTCCCTTGACAAATCAACACAAATGGTGAGTCTTTGTAGGTTCTATGCATACTGCAAGTATACAGCATACCCTCGACAGAGCTTCTCTTCATGCCTACACTGTCCTTAAGAATGAGCCTGTTTCATTATCTAATTTATTCTTTACTGGAGGAGAGAAATTAACCAGCTCCATGAAGAGATGAGTGACTGCATGACTGCATTTACACAGCAATGTGGCTCCATGTTATCACCACTTCCTACTACTATGTCTGTGAGTAATCTCTTCCTCTTAGGTGTGGGCATGGCCTGTGACTTGCTTCTAATCAATAGAATACGACAAAGATGATGGGATGTCACTTCCATAACTGTTACATAAGATTGCAATGTCTGCCTTGCCAGCAGATTTTCTCTGTCATTGGCTTTGATGAAGCAAGCTGTTGTGAGCTGCATTGTGGTGGGGTCCACATAGCAAGAAACTGGGGGCAGCCTCCAGCCAACAGCCAACAAGAACCTGAATCCCTCAGTCTTACAGCTGTCAAGATACTGAATTCTGCCAACAACCATGTGAGCTTGGAGGCAGATCCTCTTCAGTGAATCTTAGGAGGAGCCTCCACTGATTCCTTAAAGCTGAGATCCTGACGTGGGGGACCTAGCTAAACTAGGCCTTGCTCTTCACATTATTTCATCATTAGAAGCTTTTCTTGCCATGTTAGTAGTCTTGATCATTCATTTACTTCAATTAAAATGTGCACTAATTTTTAGAAACTTCCAGGATAATTCTGCAACTGCCAACAGCATGTGTGTTTAGTGGTCAATCCTGGTAATACTATCTCAGCATGTATAAACATGTTATAATGTGTCACAGCCATGCCACAAATCCTCTGCCTCCACATGCCAGTTGAGAAAGCCAGTCCTGTTCTTCATAGTTACCTTGAAGAGTAAACAGGGAATCCAGAATAGGTAAATCTGTAGAGACAGAAAGCAATCTAGTGGTTGCCAGGGCTGGGGCAGAGGAGAATGGGGAGTAATTGCTTCATAGGTACAGGGTTTTCTTTTGGGGTGATGAAATTGTCTTGGAGATGGATAGAGGTAATGATTGCAAAACACTGTGAGTTTATTAAACACCACTGAATTGTACACTTTAAAGTGGTTAGTGGCTAATTTTATGTTATGTAAATTTTACCTCAATAAAAATAATTAATGTTATAAAAAAATAAACAGGGAGAAGGGGGAACCATGAAGGCTTTGAAGAGTTCGGAGAAACGTTTTTAGCCAGAAGGAACGTCAGTATGTTCGCTTTTCCATGAGGAAAAACCAAAAACAGCTGTACTGCATACTACTTCCAAATACTATATTTCATGGATCTTGAAAGGTCATGGATTATAAGATTTACTGTTGACATTAAGTATATACACTAACCGCAAGACTTACCCATGATTTTAGAAACATCTAAGTGTGAAAATCATTTGTATCAGACTCAAAGGAAAATACTATCACAAATAAACAAAATATGGTTACTACTAATTTTAGCAGATCCAGTTTGCTTGACTAATCTACAATGTAACTTAGAGTGACCTGATACAAAATGGAAAAAATATAATGTCAACTAGGGAAAAATGAATAGAAAAAAGACTGGAAGAGAATAGGCCATTTGTTTCCTATGCGTAGAGGAATTGTTGGTGAGTTTTCCCATCTTCTTCAAACACTTTTGAAATACAGCAGGATGGGGTTTCTTCATCTTTTATCTGCTTTGTACCCTTCCATCTTCTAGCCTAAGGCATCAGCATTATACTATGAGAGGTGGACACTACAGAAACAGAGAGGGTTATTTGTCTGAAAGTTTCATTTATTTATTCAACAAAAATGTATTGAGAGTCTGTTACATGGTAGGTACTGTTCTAGAACCAAGGAGACACATGTGAATAAACAAAGTGTCTGCCCTCCTGGAGCTTCCAATCTAGTGGGAAGAAAGTGGCCTTCTTAACTAAGCAATGCAAAACAGGACTTAGTGGCTGGTTCACAAAACTACAGGATGAAGCTGGAGTCCTGGGAGAGACTGGTGAAAGAAGTGGGGAGGCAGACCAAGAAAGAGGGATTTATGAGAATCTGTGTAAGGACAGCCAGCATAGCCTGGAAGGGAGATGGTAGCAAGACATTTGCATCATTCTGTGGCTTCCAAGTGTTTGTGCGGTCTGCTCCAAAAAAGAGTTCTTTATGGTGGTGGACAGAGCCAGAGACCTATCCACTTGTTCCTGGGTGTAAAGCCAGGGTTATATAGTTTATCCAAATGTTTTTGCTTTGAGTATATCCAGCTTCATAGCCAGAATAAACAAACAAATAAACCAAAATGGGGGAAATGGATGAATACTAACACCTGCCTTACTCCTTTTAGCCAACCAGGGACTTGCTTTTAGGAGGTGATAAGTCATTATCTGCAAAAATGATCACCTTATGAAAATATGTAAAATAAGAAATCCCAAGAGAAGTTGAAAGTTCATGTAAGGAAAAGAAGAGAAAGAACAAGTGAAAGAGAGTGTCACATTTCTCTTTGGAAAGTGCTGGCTTTTTGTGAATTCTAATGGATGGTATGTCATTGAAGCACCATTTAAGTGACCTGAATGATTCTTCTTTTCAGGATGATAACGGATGTGACATAGGTGCTAGGGGATTAAGAGGAAGCAAGAGTGTGAGTTAAGCAGATACTGAAAAGATATCCTGTAAAAGCTTTTAGTTCTTTTTATTATTCACATCCCTGAAAATTGATATATCTGCAAACTGACTACAAAAATCAACTTTCCACGATGGGAGGAGTTATCAGTTAATTCTGTCTACCCCCCAACCCCCCTCCAAAAAAGCTTTAGTTGCTGATGCTGATGTTTCTGCACTAAAGGAAGCATTAATATTCCCACCTTAAGCTTTATATATTGATCACTATTCAATGACTAGAGTAATTGCCTACACTTGAAAATGTTGTAGTCTTGAAAGATGTTCTTTGCTTCTCAGAACGCCACATCCCTTGTGCTTGTCATGATTAGATAGCATCATATTTGCCTTATTCAGCTGAAACTAAGACATCTCACTAGCCTAATGATGCCTACCTGACAACCAATGCATTTGGGGATAAGCCTAATGATCTGTCATTTAGGAACACAGAAGTGGATTTCAGAGTACCAGGAAAAGAGACAGTGACAAGATACATTCAGCAAACTACACTTGTTTCTCAGCCAGCAGACAAAAGTGTTACCAGGAAAGTGTTCCAACTCTTGGAACTGAATTGATATAACCAAAATAAAGCTATCAACTTTTACAGCTTAAAGAAGACTCTAGGCCACGCGCGGTGGCTCACACCTGTAATCCCAACACTTTGAGAGGCCGAGGCAGGCAGATCACCTGAGGTCAGGAATTAGAGACAAGTCTGGGCAACATGGTGAAACCCCATCTCTACTAAAAATACAAAAATTAGCTTGGCATGGTGGTGCGCACCTGTAATCCCAGCTACTTGGGAAGCTGAGGCATGAGAATCACTTGAACCCAGGAGACGGAGGTTGCAGTGAGCAAGATCGCACCACTGCACTCCAGCCTAGGTGACAGAGTGAGACTCTGTCTCGAAAAAAAAAAAAAAAAGAGAGACAGAGATAAAAAGGACTCTAAAGATCTATAAAGATCTAGTCCAAACATCCCCTGACCATCATCAGTTCATGATCTACCTGAAGATATCAAAGACTTACCTGGAAGATCAACAAGATCAAAGCTAGTATTAACTTCCAAGTTTCTTCTTTCCACAATTACTGACATTTCCATTGAGATAAGAAACATTGTGATATCCACTTCCACCCATGCATGTATGCAGAGTACGTTCATTCATTTATTTTAGTAATCAACAATCACTTATTGAGCCCTGAAAATGTGCTATATGCTATGATAGATCATAGGCAATACAACCATGAATATGGCATAAATTTTCTGCCTTCAAGTAGCTCACAATCTCATATGACAGACATTTAAAAATACAATATAACACTATGAATAAAGGACTGTACAAGTATAAACAAGGAAGTAATAGATTAATGAGAATTCTCCCAAATAAGATGACAGTTTCATCTGATAGGGAACAATGGGTAGGCCAAGGGAGAAGTTGGAAAGGGAATTCCAGACATAGAGATCTGGATATGCAAAATCTTAGAAACATGAAAGAACACTGCATGCTCAGGTTAAAAAGAGTTTGGTGGCAGGGATATAAAGTATGCAGACGGCAAGAGAAGAGGCATTCAAAGGTAAGGCTACAGGAAGGGAAATTTGACGTACAGCATCAAAGGCCATGCAAAGGAAATTCATTTTATCCTATAGGTAATATAGGTAGCCAACACAAGGATTTCATTTAAATGGGACCATGCTGTCTTATTCAAATTGATCATCTCTCAGAACCTGTTATAACACCCATTCACACCATAAATATTTGTTCAGTGGAGTTGCTGATACTCAATTAACATAATAAGATTTGTGTTTTAGAAAGATATCTCTGAACACAGTGTGGAGAAGGGACTGGAAATAGAGGAACTGCAAGCAAGAAAGAACATCAGTAAAGAGGCTCCTGCAATAGTTTGGGCAAGACATGATGCTGGCTGAAGGCAAGGAGGATGGCAAAGAAGGGTAAATTGAACAGTCACTCTTAGGAGACAAAATGAATGGGGCTTTGCTACTGAGTGGATGCGAGAACCGAGTGAAGCAGAGAAGAATTAGAGATGGCACCCAGATTTCTAACTTAGACAATGAGGGTTCCCAAATGGCTCAGTTTCCTTAACAGCTCAAAGAGGAGGAAGAAGGTGATAAGCTCCAGATCGCATGCAGGTGGCAGGGCTGTACTTGAATAGGGGTTAGGTCACCTCTTTCTTTGAGTCAAAAAGGAAGGTGGGCCCAAATACACTGGGGGTGAGCACAGAGGAAAAATGAAGGGGTTTCTACATGCTGACCTCACATCAGGCCCCTTTTTACAGATGAAAACAGTAAAGGCTCAGAGCAACTAAGAGTCACCCAAGACCACACCATAAATTAATAGCAAGGCTAGAGCAATAAGAAGTTTCCCCATGGCTCCTCCCAGAATATTACAATGTTTCCCTTTACAAGTTAGGACAAGACCAAACACTTCAATTTCCTGGACATAAAAATGGCAAGGGGTTCATCTACAAAAGCTAAGAAGAACTGTGTACAATTAGGCCTTTCACTGTTCTGAATGTCCAGCTCTTGGCAAAAGCACATTATGGAGAAGAATGGGGTATCCATCCCCTCAAGCTTTTATCCTTTGAGTGACAAACAGTCCAATTACACTCTTTAAGCTATTTTAAAATGTACGATTAAATTATTATTGACTATAGTCACCCTGTTGTGATACCAAATAGTAGGTCTTCTTCATTCTATTTTTTTATTTTTTTGTACCCATTAACCATCCCCAGCTCCCTTGAATCCTCCACTACCCTTCCCAGCCTCTGGTAATGATCCTTCTACTCTCTATGTGCATGAGTTCAATTATTTTGATTTTTAGATCCCACAAATAAATGAGAACATGTGATGTTTGTCTTTCTGTTATTTTGTAACCTGATACATTTGAACACTTATTTTCTTTATTCTAAGAAAAATGGTTATAGTCCTACTAGCCTTGAGGCCATACCTTTTATAATGTGAAAAATAAATGTTCTTTTGGATGAATAAGGTGAGTGCAGGCCCCAGAGTCAAGTAAAATATATATATATAATATACGTTATATATATTATATACAATAGTACGGGTAATAATTATAATAAGGAACTTTTGCAATGACAATGATAAAAGAGGCAAGAAAAGTTGTTAATGATTCATCAGAACACATTTCTGCTATCTTTTCAATACATACAATTTTTTTGGTCTCCTGGCTTTACTCATCCAAAAATCAGTATTTGGAACTCTTAATAAATTGAGTTTAGGGTTTTGAAAATATAATTCATGAGTCACTAGAGATAGAGCAAATACCGATAGAATAACTTCATGTTTCTTATCAATATTTCCTTCTTCATTATCTTCTTAAAATGTCCAAGACCTAATGCAATAGCCAGTTCTTTATTGCCAGTCAGGTCATATAACTGGTGCCAAATTGGCTCCCACTTGTGTTTTAGGCTGACTTTGACTTCCTGATAGAAACTGAAGCTTTTTTTTTTAACTCAAACACCCCAGTGAGGAGTAAATGTAGAAATAAGGGAAAGACAGACTGCTTCAACATTTGATTTTATCTTTCATATATCATATGCTAATAAAATAATCAAGAGTATTTGTCAAAGTATTTGACAAGACACTAAGCAGTTTTCAGTATCTCAAGAGAGATATAATGACAGCAATATAAATCATGATTAACCCTTTAGGTATTTCAAATTATCTAAGTAAAATCAGGAGGAAGGATATTCTTTATGCATTTCAAATAGTGCTGACGACAAGGGAGATAAAATGCACCATGACAAGAACCTGTGCGAATGTCGGATGGAGTAAAGGAATCCAGATGCTGTCTTTCTAATTTGTGCCCCATGGGCACCTTTTTACATGCTATTTTATGCAAGAGATCATCTCTGACCCCTCAACTCAGTTTCCCTTGTTGTCTCCTTCTATTTCATCTAGTGCATTTCCTATGATTATACTAATCTTGCTGTACTATAATTTTTTGTATTACCTCTTTAATTGCCTGTCTCCCCACCAGAGAGTAAGCTCCAAAAAGCCAGACTATCACTACTGTTTATCATTGTAAGCCTAAAGCCTAGCAAGTCCCTCACAAGTTGTAGGCACATAGGAAGTATTCGTTGAATGAATGAATGGATAGATGGATTGCAAGGTTTACAGAAGCAACTTTTTTTTCTGAAGAGACTTATTGATTATAAGACGTCACATTTTAAAAGATAAACAATAGTATGTAATGAAGGATTTGGGTTTGGGGTGGGAAAGAAATCTAGATAACTAATTGTAATAGCTACTTTCAATTGTAATAGCTCCTTTCCTTTTCCCTCTAATAGAATCCTTTTGGGCCGGGCACGGTGGCTTATGCCTGTCGTCCCAGCACTTTTGGAGGCGGAGGTGGGTGGATCACCTGAGGTCAGGAGTTCAAGACTAGCCTGGCCAACGTCGTGAAACCCCATCTCTACTAACAACACAAAAAAAATTAGCCGGGTGTGGTGGTGTGCACCTGTAATCCCAGCTACTCAGGAGGTTGAGGCAGGAGAATTGCTTGAACCCAGGAGGCGGAGGTTGCAGCGAGCCGAGATCGCACCACTGCATTCTAGCCTGCGCAACAGAGTGAGACTCCATCTAAAAAAAAAAAAGAATCCTTTTGGCCAGAGCGTTCCTTTTTAGTTGACTGCAGCGACACCTACTGCTGAGTTCAAGGAAGAGCCATCTTTTAATTTGCTGATGGTAGGTGGTGCCTGAGACAAGACCACAGGGTGTTTGGATGTCACCCTGTCATCATGCATAATGATTCTTACAGACAGGTATCCCCATTCCATGGAGAAAATACTTCTGTGTATATTTCATTAACATATCACAGTAAATTAGGGACAGAGCCCTAAATAGCAACTTCTGGCTACAGCGCCCCTCCTTGGGGGCTTGCTCAAATAAGCAGAAGGGACGATATCACATACATTTGCCTCACTAGAGGAAATGCATAGCAAACACAGTTCCTCTTTATCTGAATACCACCTTTATGTCTATATTTGGCTTCATGAAATTCCCACCTCTTTGGGAATTTGCCCCATAAAAATATGGCAACTCCAAGCTAAATAAATGATGAGAAGAAGAAAAGAAACACACCAAAAGCCTAGAGTAGTATAAGGAATCATTCTTATGCCATTTTTAAAAAATAAAAAACTGTTGTTTTTCTAGTGTCCCTTGTTCACTTAAGAAGTCACTCTGTGTTATCCTCATCACTAAAGTCAATCTGCTGGTTATGCTATAAAAAGTATAAAAGATACTAGAGGCTGCTTTGATTGTGATTACACTCAAACATATCCCAAGCTGCTGTCCTCTTTATCAGGTTGTTCTATTACTGAACACCTATTCTGGTGTGGGCACATTCATGTTCACTGACTTTGAGTTCTAAAGTAGTTATTATCCTAACAAGCAATCAACTGTTACTTCCTCTTAAGCTCCTCACTTAATCAGAAAGGATGGGTTTATTTACTTCACTGGGAAAAAAAAATAGTCTTCTAACCTTGCAATCTACTTTTAGACAGACTTTTTTGTTCAACGTATGCTCAGAAGACATAAGATGATGTGACTACTACTAGCTCAATGGAGTTCTTTGTTTAAGCAGATCAAAGAGAAGAGACGTGAGAAATCAAGGAAACCACCCGGAAGCCCTAGACCTGGCCTTTCTGCTCACTATCTGTGCTCTTGGAGCAAGTTATGAACTATCCTGAGCCTCAGTGTCCTCAACAGTAAATGGTAACACTAATAACTCCCTGTTTATCTCAATGCTAGGGTTGTTAGAATTATTAGAGGAACAAACAAGATGTGTGCTAAAACATGTAGTAAACTACAAAAAGGCCATACAAATTTAACAAAGTATCATCTCAAATCCCAAAATTGAATCATTGAGGTTTTATTATATTTGCCTTTCTCTTGATAAACCAACAAGCACATTTAAAAGGCTAAGTACAACAAGCAGCCATAAAAATTCAGAATTTAAGAATGCAGGAAACCTGAAATTCACCTTGATTCAAGCTTTTGCTTAAGATGAAGTAATTGCAGGGATAAACTCATGGGGACAACCTCATGCCAGGCTGCAAGTCCCATGCAGCCAATTGATTCTCACAAGATGATTTCACTGGTTTTTGTCAAGTTTTTCTATCTGTAACTAACTTATGCTTGCAATTCATCTACCATTTGACAAGTGGAGTTGTACCCTAACCCACTCTTTTCCCAATAAATTTATGAACATTAAATCAGATATGTAATCTACTGTTAAACTATTCCTTATCCTGATATGAATTATATTCATTAAACTGAAGCTTCTCTCCGCTTTGGCAGTGGATGCAACACAGTTCTTTTTTTTTTTTTTTAGTTTAATTTGCAGTATTAACATTACTCCATCACTTTAAGTCTAGACAATCAACAAAACAGTAAATCAAGCTCTGATTTGTAGTATTTATTAATTTCTGTGGTGTAAATCCTCCCACCATGGCCAATTTCCAACCACCAATATGACATCACAGAATGCAGAGTTGGGAAAAGATACACAGTAGCACACCATGATGCGGTTTTCCACCATACCATGCAATAGACGTAAATAGCCTCGAAAGCCCAGACAGAAGTAACATGTAGTAAAATAATTAGGAAGTGAAGAGTTTTGAGCATATGAAAATATTGTAATATAATTTATTTAGTTGTAAATTTATATAATTTGATTTCTATTAATGGCTAAGTTTAAGAGCTGACTTTAAAAATTCCCAAAAGTTTTAACCATTAGCTCTTGCAATTCAATATGTGCTGGCTCCAGCACAGTGCTGGAAGGAACTCACAAAATTATGAGAGGGATGTGGCTTTATATATTAAGAGCCGCATCTTCTGCAGCCAACAAACATATGAAAAAAGCTCATCATAACTAGTCACTAGAGAAATGCAAATCAAAACTGCATTGAGATACCATCTCATGCCAGTTAGAATGGCGATCATTAAAAAGTCAGGAAACAAAACAACAGATGTTGGAGAGGATGTGGAGAAATAGGAATGTTTTTACACTGTTCGTGGGAGTGTAAATTAGTTCAACCATTGTGGAAGACAGTGTGGTGATTCCTCAAGGATCTAGAACTAGAAATACCATTTGACCCAGCAATCCCACTACTGGGTATATACCCAAAGGATTATAAATCATTCTACCATAAAGACTCATGCACACATATGTTTATTGCGGCACTGTTCACAATAGCAAAGACTTGGAACCACCCAAATGCCCATCAATGATAGACTGGATAAAGAAAATATGGCACATATACACCATGGAATACTATGCAGCCATAAAAAGGATGAGTTCATGTCCTTTGCAGGGACATGGATGAAGCTAGAAAGCATCATTCTCAGCAAACTAACACAGGAACAGAAAACCAAACACCACATGTTCTCACTCATAAGTGGGAGTTGAACCATGAGAACACACGGACACAGGGAGGAGAACATCACACACCGGGGCCTGTTGGGGGGTGGGGACTAGGGGAGGGATAGCATTAGGAGAAATACCTAATGTAGATAATGGGTTGATGGGTGCAGCAAACCACTATGGCACATGTATACCTATGTAACAAACTTGCACGTTCTGCACATGTACCCCAGAACTTAAAAGTATAATAAAAATTTGGTGATGGTCAAAAAGAAAAAAGAGCAGCATCTTCACAATCAAATAAACATGCGTTCAAATCTTGGCTCTGCCATTTACTGAAAACATTACCTTGAGCTTTAATTTGTTCATATGTAAAATGGAGAAAGTTTCACTATCTATATCTTAGGGTTATTGTGAGGATTAAATAAGGTCTTATAAGTTACCATTATAACCAATACCTGGTACTTATTAAAAACACAAGAAGAAATGTATGTTTAAAAACAAGAAGGAAGAAGAATAAGAAAGAAGGAAGAAGAAAGAGGAAGAAAGAAGAAGGAGGAAGAAGAAAGGAGGAGAAAGAGGAGGAAGGGGAGGGGAAGGGGGAGGGGGAAGGGGAGGAGGAGGAGGAGGCAGCGGCGGCAACTATTATTTTTGTCGTTGTTGAAGAATTTCTTCATCATTAAGCAGAGTAAGTTTCCAGGCCAGAAGATCAAATTCTCTTCTGTGAAAGTTTGTGGAAATGGGAAAAGATGCCCATGTGCCTGGAAAACACTGTGGGGATGAAGCCAGCAGATAAATGACCCTTTAGGTCTTAAAGTCATTATCCTGCTTTTCCCAAGAATCATGGCTATCTACTGTTATTTAAAGCAATCCAACCAATCTTTTCTTCCCTATGTAAGTGGCTCAGTGACTGGAAAGGACTAAGTGCATTTTCATTTCAACCTGGAACTCTAATTTGTAACCCTGTTTTCAGAATCAAAAGAAGAAAACAGAGGTCTGCTGCCTGAATGCAGTAGCAGATCCCAAACTTGCTTAAAACCTCACCCATATTCTTAGGGAAAATATGCAAATATACTCGAACACATTGAATTGGACATTTTAAACTACTGAATTTTATTATATGTAAATTATATCTCAGTAAAGTTGTTTTTTTAAAAAGAAAGAAAATGAGAACAAAGCTTTGGAAAATGGAAGAGGGATAAAGGTGGTAGGAACTTGATCCTGGGTAAACTGAGAAAGAAGGGACTAGGGCCACCACCTGATGACAGCAGACCTGACAAAGGGGAACCTGCAAGAGCACTGCTTGAGTGTTCATGAGCTATTTGGGAGCAACTAACTGCTAACTGACTGTTCACCAGCCACCCTGCCAAGAATCCTATAGTTGAACCCAGACTCGGGCCCCTCATTCCTCCCATCGGGGCCACTAGACTTAGCTTTGTCTACACCAAGGCTTCACCCTCTACCCGGCCAGCAGCAGTGATGTCTGCCTATACCATAATCTTGCTTAGCTTGGCCCCTTCTGAACACCCCAGTGGGCCCTCCATACCACAGCCAACGTCCCAGACCAGTCATAAGCCCAATGAGGGGGTCATGGATGCTAGGTGGTAAGATGTATTTGATGGGTCTGCAGGACCATGGGAGGCTGAAGAAACAAGCTAGACAGCCCTGAGCTAACCCACGTTTAGTGATTAATAACACACTGGTTACAAAAGGGTGGTTGTTCTATTTAAGAATGAGTAAGATTTAAAGATGGTAAAGAGTGAGAATTGATGAAACCATGTATCAGGCAGAGTGAAAAAATTAGGTAGAATAAGAGTAGACTGTGCGTGGTGGTTCAGGCCTATAATCCCAGCCATTTGGGAGGCTGAGACAGGAGGATGGCTTGAGCCCAGGAGTTCAAGACCAGCCTAGGCAACATGGTGAGACCCCATCTCTACAAAAAATACTTTTTTAATTAGTCAGGAAGCGTGGTGCACACCTGCGGTCCCAGCTACTCAAGAGGCTGAGGTGGGGGGACCGCTTGAGCCTGGGAGGTCAAGGTTGTAATGAGATGTGTTTGCACCACTGCACTCCAGCCTGGGTGACAGACTGAGACTCTATTCAAAAAGAAAAGAGAGAGAGAGAGCAAGAGTGGATGCACTGGCTGGCAAGAACACTCTGTATGGGTAAATATTATTCTCCTAAATTACAAATAGGAAAACTGAAGCTCGGAGAGGTTAAACTCTGTTCCCAAATTCACAGAGCTAGCAAGTGATATAACCAAGATTGGAATCCACATCTTTTTTACTCCACTGCTCCCACACATCCTGTCTCTTTCTTCTGAAATCCAAATTCCTCTTAAAACCACATTGCTACTTAAAATTCCACCCTTTGCTTCCTCATCAGGTTAATTTGTAGCTGTACTATCAGAATAGAAATTTTCAGGAACTACTACCAATTGTGTACTGTGTACCCATGTAGACTCAATGGACAGAGATGATACTTTTCCCTTAGCTTTCTGATATTTGCCTTGCTGAAGTCCGGAGGTATTCCTAAATAAGCCCAGCATTCTCTCCTACTCTAAGATGAAACAGACATTACCTCTCATGTTTCAACTACCAGTTCTTCCTTGATTAGATTAGCAGTTCTTGTCTCCTTGATCTTCAGAAATTAAAACTACCAGCAGGGCAGGGCAAAAGCTTATGAGCTCCTCTGGTCAGCTGCTGGTGCTCCCTGTCACAGCTGCATGTGGCTGCTGGGAACTGCATGGGCCCTGCACTAGTTTAATAATCTGAATTTGAAAGGAATGTTTATATCCCACACATGCCAAGACCTAGGAGTCATCACTTCTTTTTCTTTCTATTTTTACCCTCTCATCCAATGCATTCCTCTGGCTGTAACCTGTACAATCATGTACTGTCTCTGAGGTGCAGCCACCTCCCCACACAAAAGTCTGTTATAGCACCTCTGCTTCATTGGGATAAAGAGGCCCTTCTGTAGCAGTCACTGCTGGTTGCCTATCCAACAGCCACTCACTCTTTCCTTGTTGGGAAAAAATCCCTACTTCTGCCCATGTACCAACCATGTACCAACAATGGTACAGATATAGATCTTGACTGGCCTAAGCCAGATGTCAGCAAACTTTTTCTGTAAAGAGTGAGATAGTAAATATTTTGGGTTTATGGATCATAAGGTCTCTTGCAACTAACTCAATTCCAATGTTGTGAGGTGAAAGCAGCCATAGAAATAAGTAAACAAGTAGGCATGGCTGTGTTCCCAAAAACCTTTCTTTACAAAAACAGGCATCAGGCTGGATTTGTCTCAGGGGCTGTACTTTGCTGACCCCTGGCCTAAGCCAATGGGACCAATGTAGTTCCATTTTCTTGCCAGAAACTGGTTGAAACATAGGCATATGATACAACCATGGCCAATGTGAGATGAAGGCAGATGTGTGAGCAGCTTCTGGGAAAGTCTTTCTTCGAAAGGCTCATAAAAAGTAATAATCCCTCTTTTCTGCCACACATCATCACATCTGAATATGATGCTTGGGAATGTTGCAGCTATTTTGAGACCATGCAATTTGGAAACCCTTTTGACCTGTGGCACACCCTTAGGCTTCCTTAACTGTAAATGAGGAATAATGATAACTACTTATAAAACCTAAATGATGTAAAGTATATCAAGTGCTTAGCAGTATGGGCATTGTCTTAGTCTGTTTTCTGCTGTTAGAATATCTGAGACCAGGTAATTTATAAAGAAAAAAAGAAACTTATTTCTCACAGTTCTGGAAGCTGGGAAGTACACAAGCATGGTACTCGCATCTGGCAAGAGCCTTCATGCTGCATCATCCGATGGCAGAAGGCAGAAGGGCAAGAGAGCACATACAATACTGAAAAGAAAAGGGGGTTGCACTCCCGCTTTTTACCAGGAGCCCACCCCCAGATAACTAACCCACTCCTATGATAAAGGCATTAATCCCTTCAACAGGGCTCTGCCCCCATGATTTAATTACCTCTTCAAGGCTCCACCTCTCAACACTGTTGCAATGGGGATTAAGCTTCCAACACATAAATTTCGGGGGACACATTCAAACCATAGTAGGTATAGAGAAAGATCCCAGGAAATGAGAGCTACTACTGCTAAATTTACCATATATTTATGTGCCCACAAAAACTCTATGTAAAAGTAGGTATTCAATAAAAACTTTCTGAATAAGTAGGTACTTGGAACATTTTCCTCCCGTGAGCAAGACTGGATGTGCCCTTCCAACCCTGCTCTGACTAGGACTCTCTTGTGATGAAAAGCACATACACCTGGCTCTTTTCTAGAATTGAACCTTGATCCTTACCTGAGGGGAGCTGGGGGTTGGCTTCCTTGGCACTACTCTAACCAGCCACAGAAAAGTTCTAAAATTCCACACAACTTATAAACAAAATAGTAACTATAGAAATGATCTATCTGAGTAACTGGATTATGGTGAAAGAGTTGTCAGTAAGATTTGACACAGCACTTAAGAGTGACATAGTTCACCCTCATTGCTCATCTGCAGTAGGCAACAGCCAGGTTTGACTGCCAACGATGCTAAGACAAGGAGATGAGGTGCCTTTGTCACTATCATTAAGATTTATATTTATTTATATATATATATATAAAATTTTTTTTTTGAGATGGAGTTTCGCTCTTGTTGCCCAGGCTGGAGTGCAATGGCGCAATCTCAGCTCACCGCAACCTCCACTTCCTGGGTTCAAGTGATTCTCCTGCCTCAGCCTACCAAGTAGCTGGGACTACAGGCATGCGCCACCACACCTGGCTAATTTTGTATATTTAGTAGAGATGGGGTTTCTCCATGTTGGTCAGGCTGGTCTCAAACTCCCAACTTCAGGTGATCCACCCACCTCGGCCTCCCAAACTGCTGGGATTACAGGTGTGAGCCACTGTGCCCGGTCAAAACTAGCTAGTCTAAGGGTCTAAAGAATTCTGTCTGTAATGAGGGATGAGAAGGACCAAACGAATGTAGCCCTAATAGAAGTAGATATTATAAAATTCTAACTCCTTTTTAAAAGAGAGCCTCTGGATGGAAACAACTAACACTGGGGACTACTAGAAGGGAGAGAGAGGGAGGGAGACAAGGGCTGAAAAACTACCCATTGGGTACTATACTCACCACCTGGGTGATGGGATCATTTGTGCCCCATTGAAGTTTCAGGTGTACATGTGCAGGTTTGTTATATGGCTATATTGTGTGACAGTGAGGTTGAATTTATTTTTTTTAAGATTTTCATCATTAATAAAATAAAAAATAATAAAGAAATGTATATGTTTCTATAAAAATAAATAGGCCAGGCATAGTGGCTCACACCTGTAATCCTAGCACTTTGGGAGGCCGAGGCGGGCAGATCACTTGAGGCCAGGAGTTTAAGACCAGCCTGGGCAATATGGTGAAACCCCATTTCTACTAAAAACAGAAAAATTAGCCAGGTGTGGTGGTGCACACCTGTAATCCCAGCTATTTGGGAGGCTGAGGCAGGAGAATCACTTGAACCTGAGAGGCAGAGGTGGCAGTGAGCCAAGATTGTGCCACTGTACTCCAGCCGGGGACACAGAGCAAGACTCTGTCTATAAATAAATAAATAAATAAATAAATAAAGAGTCTCTCTTACTCTCCCAAGTGAGGTTTCCTCAACTTCTCAGATAAAAAGTGCATCCTCTGGCCCCTTGCCCCTCAAAGCGTGATCCACAAACCAGCAGCATCAGTCTCTCCTGGCAGCCTTGAACAAACGTAGCGTCTCAGGCCCCACCCAGACCTACTGAATCAGAACGCACCTTGTATCAGGATCCCCAGGGGGATCTGTGTGCACATTAATGGTCAACACTGTGCTTGCTTTCTCCAAAGGATTGTGCTCGCTTGTACAAAATGAGTAAAACAATTATGGTGCAGAGAAGTTGAATATAAACTTGTAAATATAAGCTTGTATGAGGCTACTAAGTAGTACAAAACACTCTCAAATTTTAAGTTCATATCTTTTTTTTTTTTTTTAGACGGAATCTCGCTCTGTCACCTGGGCTGGAGTGCAGTGGTGCTATCTCGGCTCACTGCAAGCTCCGCCTCCCAGGTTCACACCATTCTCCTGCCTCAGCCTCCCAAGTAGCTGGGACTACAGGCACCCACCACCACGCCTGGCTAATTTTTTTGTATTTTTTAGTGAAGATGGGGTTTCACCGTGTTAGTTAGCCAGGATGGTCTCAATCTCCTGACCTCATGATCCGCCCGCCTCGGTCTCCCAAAGTGCTGGGATTACAGGCGTGAGCCACCACGCCTGGCCAAGTTCATATCTTAATGCTACAGCCTTTATAACTAAATGCCTTTAAGGTAGTCATGTTGGGATTTTTTTCTTTCTTAATAGCATCCCATAATGATCGTACATGTTCCAAAAATTAAAATATATAATTAACCTGGGAAGGGAAAAAAAAAAACCTTAGATGCTAAAATATAGGCAGGATACCACAGCTTACCTATAACTTGAAAAAGTAATATCTGAAAAGTGAAAAACTCTCATCAATTATTTGTGTCATCTCTAAGACAGGCAATAACTGTAAATCTCCTCACACTAAACTGGTTAAACTTAACAGTCAGTCAAAGATTATGCTGACAACCACTGGGTCATGTTGGAAAAAGCAATGAATCAGCAATACTCCCAAGAACACTCTGGGTTTTCAAATTTATTTTTGATAGTGGATTCCTTTTCCTCAAATACAGTCATCTTGGGAACTCCCAATATATAAAAGCTCGAGGAAGTAGTGGGTAAAGGAACCAAGGCTCCAGCGGCTCACCTGCTCCTCTCTTACAATGCTCCTTTGCCCCTTTCTGCCTTTTGAAATCTGCCTAACCTTCAAGGCCAAAGATAAATGGGCTTTTGCTTCACTTTGCACACATAGATCTATCCTATGAGTGAATAATTAGTATGCTCTTTTTCAAGCTAAGGAAATTGAAGCTCAGAGAAGTTAAAAACTCATCCAGGGTCAATGGCAGCAAAGTGAAGGCTTCAGTTCAGGACTTCCTGACTCCAAATTCTAGCCTCTCAACTGCCACCCTGCATGTTGTCTGTAATGCTTTACAAGGCTCCACTTGGTACTTTCAGAGCATTTTTCTTCCCCAGCATATTTCACATCCTGCCTCGCATTACACATTTTTCTTCCCCATGACTCATCAGCTCCTGGAGAGCAGACATTGTTCTGCTCAATCACTCATGATCTAGCAAAAATTTATAAATAGCAAATGGAGTTTTCCCAGTTTTCTGGGGCTTGCCTTCCTTGAGAAAGTCCACCCCTGAAAATGCTAAGTGTTCACCAAGCCAGGCTGCTTCAGGTAAATGATATGTACTGCCATCACCCCCTGCCCCTCCTCCATCCAGCTGGGGTCATGTGACTAGTTCTCACTAACATAATTTGAAATGGAAGAAAAATAAAGCCATTCTAGGCTGATGAGTCCCAGGTAGCCTTCCCTAAGTTCTCTCTCTTTCCTGCCTCCTGGCTAGCTGCAGAGGATCCAGTGAAGTTGCATAGGTCCAAGAAGATGATGGAGATATGGGTGAAAGAATAACTGAGTGACAGTGGATTATGAAGAGGGCAAGGAACCAATATATTAATCCACTGAGACTTTAGAGTTGTTTGTTATAGCAACTGGCATTTGCAGACAGATACATTCCCACCTATCCAAAGTCCATAAGTCAACTTTTTTCATTAGCAAGCTATTCTTTCACTATAAAAATGTTTTCAAAATTTAACCTTTGGAATAATGGAAAGATATTAAGTATCAGCCAGGCATGGTAGCTCATGCCTGTAATCCCAGCACTTTGGGAGGCTAAGGCAGGTAGATCACTTGAGGCCAGGAGTTTGAGACCAGCTTGGCCAATATAGCAAAACCCCATCTTTACTTAAAAAATTAAAAATATTAGCCAGACATGGTGGCGTGTGCCTGTAGTCCCAGCTACTCAGGAGGCTGAGGCAGGAGAATTGCTTGAACTCGGGAGGCAGAGGTTGCAGTGAGCTGAGATTGCACAGCTGCACTCCAGCCTGGGCGACAGAGCAAGACTCCATCTCAAAGGCAAACAAACAAACAAACTCCTTTCAATGGAGTGCTGGCACCCCTAAGAATTATCTGACTCCATTAGGACTGTGCACCTGTCACTGCCTTTGAACTATTTTACAACTCTTTAAATTACAGATAACAAATAGCAAAACAAATAATTCTCTAAACAAGCAAATTAAATATCCAGAAAAGGGACAACCCTTGCTGACTGGAAAAAGTCAGTCTTGCATCCATCTGTAAATTCATTTCAACAATTTTTGACTCCACATAGATTGGTGGTTCTTTCATGTCTCATTTGAGCCAGTTATGGTATTTGCCTGGCTTCTTCATTAATAACGAGTTAAATAAAATCTCTGACATGTTCACTTTAAATCTATAGGAGAATCATGATTATACCTTATTTTAAAAATTATCTTTTAACAAGTATGAATTATTGGTGGCCCATCATAAAGTCACTAGACCAAGGTTTTAAAGTAAGAGTGTTTTGATACAGTGAGGGGGATTAAGAGAAGAGTGAAGCCTCTTGGGATCCCAGGACAGTCCTGGGGAGGTGTGGCAGGTGCTCAAATGAAGAATGCAAAGTGAGAATGATGACCAGGAAGAAGGAAGAAGAAAAGGCTGCAAGGTTCCACTGGAAACAAACTTCTAGCACAGAATTTTCCCCATGGTTTGCCCCACCTTCTTGTTACTACTGGAGTAAATAAATGAGTTGTCTTTCTATCTCTCTGTGGTTTCCATTGCTGGATCCTGAGCTGTTAGGTCTAGTTGGAAACCACTCTTCACCTTAACTCTGTGTGCATGGCCTCTACTATTGGTCTATTTCCCCCGTGGCAGGACTCAGAAGCCCAAGGCTCTGGTCCTGTGGGATGTGCAATACTTTATCAGGTTTGTGATAAACAAACCCAGGTGGTAGTTCACCCAATGCCTATGGCTGATTTCATACAAATCTTCGGCAGTTGAAAGTTGCCAATATGACTTCAGGTATTTACCCCCAAGGATTCATCAAATCCTTCCTGTTCCAAACAGTCACTATCCTCTTTCAAGAGAAGCAGCTCAAAAATTCAAATCCCATTATTTCAGAAAGATTTCAGCCCTGCAGGAAAACTGAGAGATGGAAGGTGTAAATCAACATCCCCTAAGTTGTGAGCACTTCATTTTAAATTCCTTCCCTGGGTCTTTAATCTGTTTGTAAAGTTTATTTTGAAAGTTCTTCACATGAATTGAACTGGGACCTGTTGTTGACCATATAGCTATATTTTGTGCCAGATTCTGTAAATCATTCTGTGCAAGCAGAAAGGTTCTGAGTTGGAAAAGCAGAACCCTGTGGCCATTAATTCTCAAATGCTGAAATGAAATAAACAAGTTGATTTCAACTTCACCTGATCACTAAGCTTCGCTTTAAGGCTTTAGCATCCTTTTTTATGGTCTCAGTTGGAGACAGGGAAAAATTACTTAATTGCTCTGTTTCTGAATTGCAAAAGTTAAGTGCATTCTTTCTCTGATCCAGATTAAGTAAAACAAGTAAAATTTGGGAGACTCCAAATATTCCAGATTCTTAATAGAGTGGACCAAGAGCATTTAATTAAGCAATTCACCTTAATTAGCACCATGTAACCACAAATCAAGAGATAAGGACCCATTTTGACTACTTTCTCCATTTTGTTTTAACAGTTGGAAACTCTTTAACATCATCTTTGTTCACTTTCCTCTGTATTTTTTCAAAGAGGACAATTTATACTTAATTTCTTCCTTTCTGAAAAACTTCCCAGTTTTCCTAGTGTTTCTTCTTGTTTAATTCCCAGAAGAGCCTACTAGATGTTTTCATATTTCAATAATTCCCCAACTGAGCCTACGAGTGCATTCTGATTACAAAGAAATTAGTTCACAGCATTCTCCTCAGATGTAATATGTCTTATTAATGTTTTTATTAACTGTAGTGGATGAAGAGGTTATTTTCTGGATTAGTTCCAAGTCTCCTTTTCTGGCTCTCCAAAGGAAAAGTGATTGCTGAATTTTCCCATAAGAAATGCATTTGTAATAAAAGAAATGTGATTTTTTCCAATTCTCTAATTCAATATAATTTAATTATGAAAATACAGAGAAGAGCTTCAGCTTCTAAGAAGCATTGAGTCTATTATTTCACACAGATCGTAAGAAGAAATAAAATCAAGATAGATAATTTGGAGCCAAGATATTTGGGTTTAGGTTTCCAGACGGCTCTTCCTAACCAACAAGTTCAAATTTACTTTTAGTGAAACTTTGGTACCATTAACCCAACAGCTCCTACAGGGCATTAAAGAAACAAAAAGAAAATATTTTCAAACCAGGAACCTAAAACATTTAAAATGCTACATCGTAATAATAATTTTCTACATTCAGAAGTGAGATACAAAAAGAAGACTTGATTCTCAGAACTGGGGAAGCAATGAACCAGTGGCAGAGAGAATCAGGTTTATAAATGTCTCACTTCCATCTAGGTGATGCAATAGTTGTTTTCATTCTTTGGTAGGAGCTGTCAAAGGCTTTATGTCTATAAAGCCACCTAATTAACTATTTGTAAATTTTTAAATTGCTCAACCACTCCATGAGAGTGCCATCTGATTTTCCTCTGATTCAGCGGCTAAGCTGATCAATGTAATTGACTCAACGCTTCTAAGGTCTGATCGTTTCTACAGTGAAGAATCACTCAAAGTTCATTCCAAAAATAAAAAATAAAATGTTAGGTGATGTTCTGGAAAAAACTAGCCTCAAAATACTCTCTAAAGTTTATGACCAGAAAGCAGGCTATAGTTAGTGGATTACTAAAGACTCTGTAGATATTAAAAACACTTTGGAGTAAGTAGAACCAGCAAAAATAACAATGAGGTGAAGCTCTACCTGCCATATGATAGCTAAGCTTAGTGTCAGTTATAAGCATGACAGAAAACCCTCAGTACCTGATCAGTTACCATGTTTTCCACAAATTAACCTTATGTTATCTAAAAACCTTGCCCCACCCCCCACATTACTATCCAGGAGAGATGCAATAGAGCATCCCCTTTCTCCTCCCAACTGTGCTTGAAAATTTCAGGCCCAGAATGGCGATCAGCTGGAAGAAAAATCCCTTTTAAAAATCAACAGTACTCCATGCTGTGTGCTAGATGTTCTGAGGTTCCCCAAAAAAATAAGCAAAATGAGATAGTGCAGTGAATAGAAATTAAATAATACTGACAAATGACTGGAAGAATTTCAAAAGGAAGGGCTCAGCGTGAGTTAGGGTTCCCAGGAAAGGCTTCGGCCAGATCCAGGTGTAGACACATGGAAAGGGGAGACAACTATTCCAAGAAAGAAAAACAATGGTAGAAAAAGTCGGTAGGGAATGTTTGATACATGTTCTGGTGATAGAGGTCTCAGACAGAGCAACAAAAAGAAACAGGCAGGAAGATAGACCAGACAGCACACAGAGATCCCTAAATATACCAAGAGTATATAAAAGAGATAAAGATATTTTAAGAAATGCTTCTGAACCTTGAACTGTTGGCTCCTCTAATTTCCTGATTTAAATCTCTGATTCCTTGTTTTAACATTTAATTTCTTCTTCGCTTTTGGTTTGTTGTATTTTCACTTTGCACCATCAATTCTTTTGAATTTCAAAAATAACTTCAGCTTCCTGAGGCCAGCTTGACAGTTCATTTAGGAGATCCTACGTAACCTACTACTTATAGTATTGCTTCTGTGAACCCTGAGTCGGGAGATGCAGCTGGTCCAAAGGTTGTTATTTTAACAACCAAGGTTAATTTTTCTTCCTCAACATAGGAACATCCTCAGGGAGGCTTTTCACCTGAGGGGTTAGCTGAGTGCTCTGGACATACTAAATTCTCATGGTGGCCACTGGACTATAGCGACACTCAACTAACTCTATTTTATGGGTTTCCTTCATTACATTAGCATTTGAGACTTAGAGCTGCTTCACGTTCATTTTCTCAAAAGAAAATTTAAAGGGAGGAGAAGGGAATTTGCAGTGTTCCACAGCTGACCTGGGCAAAGTGAACATCATCTGGGTTCATCTGGGTTCTGTCTATGACTCTTGGAATTAATGAATTCCTGAAGCTTCAGTGCTGTCTGCCTGAGATTTTTGGTGTGAAATTCCTACATAGCTGTGAAAACATCATTAAATGTCAGTCTTCAAGAAAAACTTGGACAACCCACAAAATTATCTATGCCATCAATCCTTTCCTCTTTCCAAATACCTTAAAGTGTCTCATGTTAAAGGAAAACAAGAATTTGACTGTAACCAATATCTAGAACTGTTCATCAGAAGTCTCGTGAACATAAAAATAAAAGAAAAACACAGAGTACCTTAAATTCTTTTTAGGCTAGCACCTGCTTTTCTTTAGGCTTGGCCAGTTCTCTTTCTGACTTTTGGTTCTAATGAATTCTGTGTTTGTAGTTCACAGTGCACATCTGCGAGAACAGTTGGGAATGAGCAGCAGGATGGAAGTCTATTCATTTTTGGGTATTTAACCTATTTATAACCTACGTCATGCTAAAAAGAGGATTTGGAGTTTCTAGCACAAATAGGTACGATACAGCAGGATATAAATACATAAGAGGAAAACTCAGGCAATACGTGCATTTAAAACCTACTAAAATCCTGAGTTTGTTGAATCCTTTACCACAAGCATATAGATATTCTTCCCTAGAAATTCCCAACTACTACAAATCCACAAGTAACCAACAACTCAAATGGAAAGATCTATGAATAAAAAAAATTATCAGGCTTAAAAGGCATCCTCTTATGTGTTCATTTCTCTTATGTTCAGTTTCTTTTACATGTTCATCCTCACAAGGCAGAGATCATTATCTCTGCTTTAAACTCTAGCACCAGGGTGTCTTAGCTAATGTGAAAAAAAAAAAAAGAGGTCTGCACCCAAGTCTTTGCTTCTCTTGTCTAGGAAAAATAATTCCATTCTTTCCAGAGAAAGAGTGAATGGCATTACTCTCTAATTCAGAAACCCTGGGTACCATCTTGGGGATGGAAGGACTCCCAGGCGTCTGGCAGATACCTACTTGAAGAAGCTCCTACTGAGAGAAGCCCACTCATCCTGGATACAGGTGTCTGAGTATACACCTCCATGGTCCAGATTCAGGAGTCTGTAATGTGACCATGAGCTTTCCGGGAAAATTAAATCATGAATATTGACTTTGTTTGATCTCTATATGATTATAAAAAGCTGAGGGTTTTTTTTAAGACACATTAATCCAACACATGAAAGATCATTAAAAGTAATGTACATTTTTGCTCATGGGGATTCCATTCACAATGTACAGCAACACTTCTGAAAATGCTCTTTCTCCATCTCCCTACATAAACAGAAGCTGCCTCACCCCTGGGGCACAACCAGTAGATTCGGTTTAAGACAGTTGTTTTATAGGGGTAGCATCCAGGTATCAATAATTTTTATAGCTCTCTAGGAGTTCTAAGAAATGGATTCCACTGGCAGCCAAGATTGAGAGCAGTCATCTGGGGGCTTTAGCCAATCTACCATCTCTCTTTGTGCTGGTTACATTGGGCTGAGGTTTCTTTCCTTCCACTCATTCCATACACATACTTAATTATGTTAGTCTTGGCAGCTTCGAGCAAACCTTTAGGCCATAGCTTAACATGTTATACATCAAAATACACTGACATTTGTTGCAATGAGGAGCTGTTTGAAATCTCACACTTCCCACTATTTTTTGCAAAGCATCTTTTCCTTGCTGCCACAATCTGTGTTGCACTATATTAAGTAGTCAATCTTAGCTACATGTTAAGTGTTTTAAATGGATAATAAGAAAAAAGGAGGAAGAGAAGAGAGTGCTGACATATTTTAGGGCTAAGGGTCTCACTTCCTCACAGTCAAGTGCTCTGTTTCCAGAAGGCCTACTTCCCACACTTAGGCTGCAATGCATTATACCCTCCTACCAATTCAAAACACATGCATCTTATGTTCCTCTCCCTTTCATCTTGCCAAATTAGCAGCTAATGAACCTGATAAATTAATCCCTTACAGTGCATAATAAATGATAATGTTTTAATGAGTTGTTCTACCCAGATAGCAGTTCTGCATTTTTCTAAGGCCTTCTGAAGACACGTATCAATGCAAAGGAAGGCTCTAATATTGGAAAGCAGGCGCTGTGTGAGGACAGCAAGGCTGATATAAATTAGAGGATCAGACAGCGCATCCTTGAAGTCACACCTCAAATGAGATGGCTGCCCACTCAAAGCAAGCCCTGGTGATAAGTGATAATTCAGTCCCTCACTATAGAATTGCTCAGCCACTGACCTCACATTTATGAGACCACACTCTGCCCCATGACTATGTATCTCTTTATCTGTCAGCCTCTCACTATTTTCAGAACATACAGCACACACTTTGTAGGTGCTCAATGAATATCTGGTTAAAAGATAGATACATGAGTGCTCCCCTCCATTCCTCTGTTTTACACAAACATCCCTAGACCATTAATTGAGCATCATGTTTGTTAAGGATTTCTAGAGAAAAATATACCACTTCCTCAATCAAGTGTCCATTCCAATGTTAGATGTAGACTTTTGAAAAAATAAAGACAGCTATAATAATTCTCAATTAACAAACCAATAGATTTATCCACCTGGAACATCAATCAAATTCTAAAGTAGACAAAAATGGTCTCTTCTTGAGATGGAACAATGCCACCCTCAAGCTCTCATCCAGAACTCATGAACTCAAACCAAATAAAGATAATAATTTAACAAGATTGATCATGGGATTCTTAGAGGATAGAAGAGACATAGATGTGTATCACCAACAAGAGAAGAAAATAGAACAACACAGAAACCATGCATGACACACGTGGTAACTGCCCTCTGGCTCCATCCATTCCACCCATCATGTGATCACATTCTCCTTGCCAACAATTGTTCAGAAATGGGCATGTGACCTAATCTCAGCCAAGCAGGGGCATGATATAGTCTACTGGGGGATTCTCGAAAGGCTGCCTCTCTCTTAAGAAAGAAGTACAGTGGCCAGGCACAGTGGCTCACCCCTGTAATCTCAGTACTTTAGGAGGCCAAGGCAGACGGATCACTTGAGGTCAGGAGTGCAAGACCAGCCTAGTCAATATGGTGAAACCCCATCTCTACTAAAAATACAAAAATTAGCTGGGCTGTGGTGGTGTGTGCCTGTAATCCCAGCTACTCGGGCTGCTGAAGCAGGAGAATCGCTTGAACCCGAGAGGTGGAGGTTGCAATGAGCTCAGATCACACCACTGCACTCCACCCTGGGAGACAGAGTGAGACCCTGTCTCAAAAAAAAAAAAAAAAGAAAGAAAAGAAAAGAAAAAAAAGAAAGAAGCACAGTGGGCCAGGCACAGTAGCTCATGCCTGTAATCCCAGCACTTTGGGAGACCGAGTGCAGGCAGATCACTTGAGGTCAGGAGTTCGAGATCAGCCTGGGCAACATGGCGAAACCTCATCTCTACTAAAAATACAAAAATTACAGGCATGGTGCATGCCTGTAAT
The DNA here is from genome assembly GCF_000001405.40 of Homo sapiens. Lineage (NCBI taxonomy): Eukaryota > Metazoa > Chordata > Mammalia > Primates > Hominidae > Homo > Homo sapiens. The sequence continues at coordinate 58,091,094 of NC_000014.9, forward strand.
CCCAGCTACTGGGGAGGCTGAGGCGGGAGAATCACTTGAACTCAGGAGGTGGAGGTTGTAGTGAGCCAAGATCACGCCACTGCACTCCAGCCTGGGCAACAAAGTAAGACTCCATCTCACAAAAAAAAAAGGAAAGAAAGAAGCACAGTGAAAAGACAGTTGCCTTCCTTCTCTGAACAATGTCTTTTCTGTGAAACCTGAAATTGTTCCAGCCATTGCAACTAAAAGGAAGCCAGCCTGAGGGCCAAGTCAACACACCAAGGATAGTAGTAGAGCAAAATGGGAAAAACTTGTGTCACTCCTGACAACTGGGGTTCTGCATCAATAGACCCAGGAGCTTTATTTCTGGACTTCTTGTTTTGAGGGGAAAAAAATGTATTTCTTCATTCTATAAACCAATTTAAGTTAGGATTTCTATAATCTATAACTGAAGGCATTCTAACAAATAAAGGAAGAATAAAGAAATGAATCACCAGGTATTAATTATATTGGAAATAAACATTAAAATGGATATGTTGATTCATCTTTGGTCATACTGATTTTTACACTTTAAAGATGATAATTGTGTGATTTATTATAGCAACAGGATAAGAAGTGGTGTGGGTCACAGTGTCTGCTCTCTGTACAGGTTCTTGTTAATAAATCTGAAAATGAACCTGTTAGATGAAAGAAGAAATTAATTCTGCATATGTGAATAGAGAGCTTCCTATATGCTACTAGCGTTTGACCCATCAGTCAATACACCTCAATCAAAACATGGAACTTTCACTCCTGATGCTCTCTATCCCAGCAACACACAGTTCACTCCACAGTCACAATTCCCTGCAGCAAGATGAAGAAACTAAGTTCTCTCCCTCCAAAGCTTCAGAGGCAATGCATATGTAACAGTGCAGAAAACAGAAGTACAGAGAATTTGAGGCCTGAATCTACTGCTTTGCCTTAGAAAGTCATCTATGTTCCTGCTCTTGGCACTTCACAGGAAATGAGACTATAATCTATTCCAAGAGTTTGCATTATTTTTAGTTCACTACCCACCTCAATCTGTTCATTTTTAAAAATTTATATGGGTTTTAGCATTTGCTTTGGAATACCATTCATATTGTAAAAATGGAGGTGATAACCTATAAATAAAACAACCCCATTTAAAAATAGGAATGAAGCGGACAGCCAATTAAAGTGTTATCATATTAAATAGGATTACTTTTCAAAGGATCTCAGTGTTTGCATTTTTATTGATTCATTACAGGAAAAAGTATACGTAATTTTACAATGTTTACGCTCTGAGCATAGCTGCCATGAGGCTCTGCTTTCAAAATGCTGCAAAACGCTGCTGCTCCTTAAATACCTATTGAAATCTGAATCCATTCCCTATGGCTGCTATAACAAATTACCACAAACTTCAGATAACACAAATTTATTACCTTGCAGTCCTGGAGGTCAAAAGTCTGAAATGGGTCTCACTGAGCTAAAACCAAGTTATTGGCAGGGTTGCATTCCTTCCAGAGGCGTTGGAGGAGAATCAGTTTCCTTGCCTTTTCCAGCTTCTAGAGGCTGACAGCATTCCTTGGCTGATGGCTACATCACTCCGACCTCGCTCCCATCATCACATCTTCTTCTCTAACTCTGAACCTCCTACTTCCCTCTCATAAGAACCTTGTAATTATAATGAGCCCACCCAATAATCCAGGATAACCTACCCATTCCAATTTAAAGATCCTTCCCTTTTTGTTTTTTTTTTTTTAGACAGGGTCTTACTCTGTCACCCAGGCTGGAATACAGTGGCATAATCATGGCTTATTCCAGCCTTAAACTCCTGGTGATATGGTTTGGGTGTGCCCCAACCCAAATCTCATCTTGAATTGTAGTTCCCATAATCCCCATGTGTGCTGGGACGGACTTCGTGGGAGGTGCTTCAATTATGGGGGCAGTTTCCCCATGCTGTTCTCATAGTAATGAGGGAGTTCTCACAACATTTGATGATTTTATAGGGGGCTTTTACCCCACTGCAATTTTCCTCCCTGCTACCACCAGGTGAGGAAAGACATGTTTGCTTCCCCTTCTGCCATGATTGTAAATTTCCTGAGGCCTCCCCAGCCCTGCAGAACTGTGAGTCAATTAATCCTCTTTCCTTTATAAATTACCCAGTCTTGGGTATCTCTTCATAGCAGCATGACAACAAACTAATAATACACCTGGCCTAAGTGATCCTCCCACCTCAGCCTCCTGAGTAGCTGGGACTACAGGCACATACCACCCTCAGCTAACTTTCTGCAGTTTTTGTAGAGATGGAGTCTTGCTATGTTCCCCAGGCTGTCCTCAAACTCCTGGCCTCAAACAATCCTCCTGCCTCAGCCTCTTAAAGCACTGGGATTACAGGTGTGAGCCACTGTGCCCAGCCTAAAGATCCTTAATTTAATCAAATCAGTAAAGTCTCTTTTTCCATGTAGGGTAATTTATTCACAGGTTCCAGATGTTAGGACATAGACATCTTCGGGGAGCCATTATCACAAAATCCATCACAAAGAAGGAAAGAGTTTCTACTATTTTACCTGACCTCAGAGTCTTTAGTAAACTGAACCATTTAATATTGATCCAGAAGTTGTTATTGGTTTTGAATTACTAGGAGATATTCCTGTCCTTCCGAGAAAAGGTTGGTGGGCTAATAAAATTCTAGACCCAGATACTCCTCAAACACAATCTTCTCAGTGAGAAGAACAGTTTGAAATATTTGTTCCTTGCTTTGGTTCCCAGGAAACCCACAATGCTGAAAACATGTTGACAAAATGAATTTATTAGAAAAAGAAGCAACAGCAGAAAGTAAGAGACACCTAGAGAAATAGTAAATAATAAGAAAAAGTCTGATATATTTTTAAAACTCAGGATCTGGAGAAGTCATTTTTAAAAGAATAAAAAATTACTAAACTGGTATCACTAATTTAAGAAACTTAAGCTGTGGCTGGGCACGGTGGGTCATGCCTGTAACCCCAGCACTTTGGGAGGCCACGGCGGGCAGATCACCTAAGGTCAGGAGTTTGAGACCAGCCTAGCCAATATGGTGAAACCCTGTCTCTACTAAAAATACAAAAATTAGCTGGGCATGGGAGTGGGTACCTGTAGTCCCAGCTGCTCAGGAGGCTGAGGCAGGAGAATTGTTTGAACCCGGGAGGCAGAATTTGCAGTGAGTCGAGATCGCCCCACTACACTCCAGCCTGAGCAACAGAGTGAGACGCTTTCTCAAAAAAAAAAAAAAAGAACTTTAGCTGTGCAAGGGGACTGAAATCAGGAGTCAGAACAGGAGGACAACAGAGCTTTTTGTCCTAAGCCTCAAGCCTGACAAGCCTTAAAATTTAACTGCTATTAGCCAAAACAGGGAACAACTCAGTTGTTCATCAACAGGTGACTAGATGAGCAAAACATGGTATATCCATACAATTGAATACTAGTCAGCTATATATATGTGTGTGGATGTGTATGTGAGTGTGTGCATGTGTGTACATGTGTGTATGTTATATATAACAAAGAACAAACTACTGATACATACAACATAGTTGAATCTCAAAATCTTTATGCTAAGTGATCTAAGCCAGACACAAAATGGTATATACCATATGATGTCATTTGTACAAAATTCTAGAAAATGCAAACTAATCTATAGTGACCAAAGGCCAGTGGTTATCTGGGGTTGAGGACTGGAGGAGGGATGCACTGCAAAGGGGCATGAGGAATCACTGGTGGTGGGATGATGGAAATGCTCTGCGGCATGATTGTGATGGGGGTTGCATGGGTGTATACAACTCTCAAAACTCATCAAATCATAAGCTTTCAGTGGGTGCAATTGTGTATAATACATACCTCAGTAAAGCTGATTCCTTAAAAACTTGACTCCTATTCAGTGGTAAATTTGCATTGAGGAGCATGATAATACCACAGCCCAAATGATCATTTTAGCCTTGATTCAGAGCCTCCTTATAGTTTTCTAAGACCCTCTAATTACTTATAATTACTCAAAGATGGTAAGTCCACTTCATAAGTGGTGAGACTTCATTTCTTTGATCACAATCCAGGGTAGATGCCATATGATGTTCCTAATTCTGTGCTAAGGCAACCCTGTCTCCCTCGCTCCTCTCTCCGGTAAAGTACTAGAGCATCCGAATATCATCCCATCCATACTGAAAGGCTGTTTAACTGTACATGATACCTCCATAGTATAAAGCTGTGCACAACCCGAGGAGTCACTTTACGTGTAGATTTGTGTCTGTTTTTAACCTGTTCGGTATAAATTATCTTTGTATTTTGTATCTTATTTCATTCATTTCAAACCTGTTCATGTAGAACAGAAGCATTTCAGACTAAATATTCATTCACTTGTTCACAGACCAGAGATAATCTTATTTTGTGTTTGTTTTATAGTATTTTGATATTATAATGTTTTGATACCCTTATAAGTTTTTACCAGTTTCATGTGACATGTTTTTAAAGTAATCATTGCCCAATGCATGCTGAATTTGGCCAGAAAGTAATTCAAGAAATCTTGTCTGTCCACTGGAAGCCCATCCCTTACTATCTTCTCTCCTTCCTATAGCATATTACACAGGAAATCCCAGCTACATGTCAACTACAACCTGTATGCCAATCTATAGAGTGCAACTCCCAGAATTACATCCAGAGCAAAGGCCCAGACCAACTTACAAGTTTTCAATGACATATCCCCAAAACTAGTATTTGTACCAGTTTTTCTGACTCTTAACCCTAACATCTGCCACACTGAAGGAATCAATGGGCCTAGCTGTTAAAGACTAGGAGCATTTTAGAGAAGAGTTTCCTTGGAGAAGAGATTAATTCACCTCAGGTCAAGGGAATAGGGCCTCAAGGAGTCACTGAGAGCTTAATAGCGTCTCCCCTGACAAGAGGAGAGGGACAGACTGGGGAGCTTCCCTGTCGATGTGGAAGGAAGTGCTGAGCTGAGGAGCGGCCTGCATCCTCCAAGTCTCTCACCACAAGCACGGGCCATGAATAAGAGAGAGTGAGCATGGAGTGGTCTGGCCACCCTAGCTGCTGAAATGAAATCGTGTTTGACAAGGTAATGCAGCCACAAGTCTGAACAGAAAAATCATGGGACTGCCCAACTGCTCACCCACAAGCAGGGGAAGAACTTCCCCTAGGTAATAGATTCCCAAAGGACAGAGCGGAACAAAAAATGCATTTGTTCTTCGACTCTGTCCCATGGTGCTGCTTGTCCAACATCCTGGTTACACGTATCTCCTCCCTGTGCGGATGTCCTCCTAAAGCCTACAACTGTCTCCCAACTGGGAAGGAAAAACTGAATTTCTTCCAAACATCAGGCAACTGTACTCATAATAGGCAGCTGGAGACTGTTTGGAGCCTGGCTACTTAAGGGCATAAATATAAACTCATCGAAGAAATAAGTGATCATTTTTAATTTTTAATTATCAGTTATTTCTTCGGTG